>NC_000016.10:56077651-56380682 GCF_000001405.40 Homo sapiens
GTGTTTAGGTCATGGGGGCGAATCCTTCATGAACAGCTTAGTGCCCTTCCCAGTGGTAATGAGTGAGCTCTCACTCTATTAGTTCACACAAGAGCTGGTTGTTTAAAAGAGCCTGGCATCTCTCTTGCCATGTGATGGCACCTGCTCCCCTTTTCCCTTCCATCATGATTGAAAGCTTCCTGAGGCCCTCCCAGAAGCAGACACCAGCACAATGCTTCTTGTACAGCCTGCAGAATCATGAGCCGAATAAAGTTTTTTTCTCACTCAGCCTCAGGTATTCTTCCTTTATAGCAATGCAAAATGGACCAATTCAGAGGGCAAAGTGTCTCACTTGAGAGATTGATTACAGGCTAAATTATTATAAAATTCCCTCCCTCCAAGAAATTCACTCTAAATACAAATTACACAAATAGTTGGCTACCACTCATTGATGTGAATTGAAAGCAGAAGAAGGAGAAAAAAACATGTGTATTATATTTCTCTTTTCTATATTTAGGTTTCTTTATCAAACTTCCACCCAAAATATAGGAAGAAGTTCCCACAGGACCAGAGCTGCCATGTAAAGATGTGTACCTTGTGCCCTGGAGAGCTCCAGGGCATCCTCACATCGCAGGCTGTGGCCATACATGGAACGCCCCAGGGCTTTCCCATTTCCAGATGCTATGGTCACAAAGCACCGGATAAAGCTTTCACAGTGAACAACCAGGCCATACGCTAACGACAGCCTGAGGCTCCACCTCTGGGTCTCCGATTAACCATCATTCTAGACCAAGTTATTTTTGCCAGAAGTAGGGACTAAGTGCTGTGGATTCTGCAGGGCCTCTCCTAGCAGGCCTGTTTCTACTTTTTCTCAAGGTCTACAGCTTCCGCCACCCTCTCTGGGGACAGCCCGGTCAGATTCTGGATGCTTCCTTCCTCATCTAACTGGATACATTCTTTTTTTTTTTTTTTTTTGAGACAGAGTCTCGCTCTGTCACCCAGGTTGGAGTACAGTGGTGCGATCTCGGCTCACTGCAACTTCCGCTTCTCAGGTTCAAGTGATCCTCTCACCTCAGCCTCCTAAGTAGCTGGGATTACAGGCGCGTGCCACCATGCCAGGCTAATTTTTTTTGTATTTTTTAGAGATTGGGTTTCACTTTATTGCCTATCCTTGTCTCAAACTCCAGAGCTCAAGTGATCTCCCTGCCTTGGCCTCCCAAAGTGCTAGGATTACAGGTGTGAGCCACTGCATCCAGCCTAGGATACATTCTAACCACCCCCACCACCACCGCAACCCGAAGGGCACGACTTTCTCCTCTAAGTGCAACACAGCTCTCTGGTTTCTCTGAGCTGGTTCCCTCCCTGGTACCACTTCCACAGGAGAACAGCTGACCATACTTGGGCTCTGAAGATAACTAGAGAAGAACCTGGAGTCTCCTCAGAGTTCCTCCCTACCCATCCCATTGTTTGAGGTTAGCCACCACTTCTGGCTCCATAGTTTAATAGATGGACTAATCTTGTTCCTCCTAGTATCTGTCCAGACCTTGTCACCAAAACCATAGGTAACTTGTCCTCGAAGAAGTACACCCCATTCTTCACACAATAACAGACCATCCACATGGCTTCCCAAATCTCTCCCTTGAGCACAGAGGGGCTTTACGAACACTGAATGCTCACAGCCCCAGTAGGCTTCATGCAGACATGATATGATGACCATGAAAATACACATTTACAGTTACAGCAGAGCCAAGCCTTAAAGTCACTAAAATGGAATATCGGATCAAAGTCTTTCAGATTCCAACCTCTCCTTTTTTTGGTTGTAATCACTCTCCCGCCATGCTACCTGTAGTATTCCATTTTCTTTCCCCCATCTTTGTTTTTGTGAAGATAAAAGCAGTTTGAAATGAGTACTCGAAGTCACCTACTACTCTGCTGGAGGTTGATATCTCCTCTTTTTTTCCCTCTCTATGTACAAATATATACTTGTCTTTTATGATCAAAGATAACGGTGATGTTTCGCCAAAAGACAAGTGAGAATGAAAGTAATAATAATCTATTCACGATCACACTGAGTCTTCGCACCATTTTGGTCAGGACAGCCTTACCCAATGTCTGAGTGCCTCTCTCAGGTAGCTAAAAGTGCTGAAATCTGCTTAGCCCTGTCCCTGAAATCTGTTCCTCTCAGCCATACAGTGGAGTACTTCAAAATAATTAAAAATAATAATACACAGTTCATTTATTTAAGCATTTGCTGTGTGCAAGCACTGCTCTCAGTTATTTCCACGTATTATGTCACTTAATCCTCCTGAAATCCCTCTGAAGTAGGTATTGCTAATATTCCCATTTTACAGATGGAGAAACTAAAGCACAAGAGATTGAGTCACTTGCCTCAGGTTACACAGCTGGTAAGTATTTGGACCTAAACAGTCTAGCTCCAGAGCACACAGGCGGAGCTCCAACACTCTGCTACACTGTGAGACTGTATGGATAGCTACAGCTCTGCTAAACTGGAGGAAAGCAATGAACAGTTCTTCACAGTTTATCCACAGCTATCTCTTTATTAAAGAGGTAGGGTGTGTTCTTCCATTTGGGCTGCTATAATAAAATACAGACTGGATGGTTTAAAACACAACAGAATTTTTTTTAAACCGCAGTTCTGGAGGCTGGGGAGCCCCGGATCAAGGTGCTGGCAGATTGGATGTCTGGTAAGAGCTCACTTCCTGGTTGATAGATGGTCTCTTCTCACTTTGTTCTCATTTGGCAGAAGGGGCAAGGGAGCTATCTCAGGCCTCTTTTATAAATGCACTAATTTCCCTCATGAAGGCTCTACCTTCATATCCTCATCACCTCCCAAAGGCTCTACCTCCAAATACCATTACATTGGAACCTGGGTTTTTTTCTTTCTTTTATTTTTCTTTCTTTCTTTTTTTTTTTTTTTTTTTTTTTTTTTTTTTTTTTTTTTTGAGACGGAGTCTCGCTCTTTCACCGAGGCCAGACTGCAGTGGCGCTCTCTCGGCTCACTGCAAGCTCCACCTCCCGGGTTCATGCCATTCTCCTGCCTCAGCCTCCTGAGTAGCTGGGACTACAGGTGCCTGCCACCGTGCCCAGCTAATTTTTTGTATTTTTAGTAGAGACGGGGTTTCACCGTGTTAGCCAGGATGGCCTTGATCTCCTGACCTCATGATCCACCCGCCTCGGCCTCCCAAAGTGCTGGGATTACAGGCGTGAGCCACCATGCCCAGCCAGGACTTGGGTTTTAACATAAAAATTTTGAAAGGTCACAGGCATTCAGTCTATAGCATTCCACCCCTGACTTCCCAAATTCATGTCCTTCTCACACACAAAATACATTCATTCTATCCCAGTAGGCCCAAAAGTTTTAATTCATTCCAGCATCAACTGAAAAGTCCAAAGTCCAACATCTCATCTAAATGTCATCTAAATCATATATGAGACCCAAAATGTGATTCATCAGAAGGCAAATTCCCCTCCAGCTATAAGCTGTAAAACCAAAGAAATTATGTGCTTCCGAAATACAATGGTGGGGCAGACATAGGATAGACAGTTCCATTGCAAAAGGAAGAAATAGAAAGGAAGATAGGAGTGACAGGTTCCGAGCAAGCCAAAACAGTGGAGCAAATTCCATTACACATTAACACTCAAGAATAATCCTATTTGGCTTGATTCTCTGTTTTCCAGGCCCTCTAGGATGGGGGTCTCACCCCTGGAACCCACTGGTGTTGTGTTCCTGCCCCCAAAGATTTCCCAGACAAAGTTTGGACCCCCAAGGCTCTGGGCAGCCCCACCCTGAGGGTGGCTCTGTGCATGGACTCTCCCCTAGTGGTTCTCTACCTGGGCGTCGTGGCTCCCTAGGGCTGGGGTCCCAAGCCAGAGGCTCCACTTAGCACACCTACACCATACTGGAGCCTGTCAGAGTCACATCTGGGGTGGCCAAGGAGCATGGCACCAGTGTGGGGAGTGGAGCCCATGATGTGAGGCAGTGCCAGGTAGGGTGTGCCAAGGTCAGGCAGGTACTGGTGGCTTCCATTTTGAAACTGTTCTGCCCCTGGTGCCCTTACACTCTGGGTCTGTGATGGGAAGTGGTGGGGGTGGGGTGGCAGTTGATTATTTTTGCATTGCTTTTGGGCTCATTCTTCCATTGTCGTGAACAATAGCTTGTGGATTCTGTTGAGATGGCTGATCCATACTAATCTTATCAAATGGTCATTTGGCCACACCCTTAGAGTTCTTGTCTGACTACACATTTTCATTTTAAATAATACAGATAGGCTGAAAATTTTCCAAATTTTCAAGTTCTGATTTCCTTTTTATTAATTATTCCATTTTAAAATCATTTTTTACTTCTTGCATTTTACTATAAGCAGTCAAGAGAAGCCAGGCCATGCTTCTGACACTTTGCTTAGGAATTTCTTCAGCCAAATACTCTATTTCATTGCTCACAAGTTCTACCTTCCACAAAACACTAGGACACAAATACAATTCAGCCAAGCTCTTTGCCACTTTATAACAAGAATGGTCTTTTCTCCATTATCCAATAATGGAGAAACATCTTATTGATGTTCCTCATTTCCATCTGAGGTCTCATGAGAATAGTCCTTACTGTCTCCATTTCTACCGATATTATATATAGGGTTACTTACATATTCTCCAAGAAGATTGAGATATCCCCTAAAGCTCTCCTTTTTCTTTTCTAAGCCTTCACCAGAATTTCCCTTAATGGCCCATTCATAGCAATGTAACCTTTTTGTAGGATGCATCTTAAAACTCTTCCAGCCTGTACCCATTATCCAGTTCCAGATCCAATTCCACAATCTTAGGTATTGGTTACATAAGCACCCCACTCCCAGTACCAATCTCTGTCATTTTATGTTTGGGCAGCCATAACAAAATATCATAAACCGGGTGGCTTATAAATAACACAAACTTATTTCTCACAGTTCTGGAGACTGCAAAATCCAAGATCAAGGGGCCAGAAGATTTGGTGGCTGGTGAGGGCCCTCTTCCTGGTTCATAGACAACATCTTCTCACTGCATCCTTACATGGTGGAAGGAAAAAGGGAGCTCTCTCAAGCCTCTTTTCTGTGGGCACTAACCTCATTCATGAGGGCTCTGACCTCATGACCTAATCACCTTCCAAAGGCCTGACCTCCAAATACCATCATACTGGTCATTAGGACTTCACATATAAATTCTGGAGGGACACAAACATTCAATCCACAGGATAGGGTCTCAGAAAAAAGTTCTGAACCTCACTGGGTTCCCCCTGCCACCTGCCATGGTGGCACTCTGCTGCTAGCCATGTTAGCACACCTTTGGATGACTCTCAAGTGAAATGTCCTTCTGGGATGCCCCAGTTTTCTCTATGTAGTGCCCCTTCTACACCCTTCACTCCCACCTACTGATCTGTGAAACTTGGTTTGCTCATTGGATATCATGTTTCCAGGCAGCCCTGCAAGTTTTGACAATCCATTGCCACTCTCTCCTCTCTACCCCACGATCCTCACATTCTCAACCAGTCCACATGTCCCTATGCTAGTTGCCCTTTCCAAAGTTAACATTTCCAAATGGCAAGATAAGTTCAGAGTTATTTAAAAAAAAATACATGCACTTGAAACATACCATGAAAATGTTGGGCTTTCTCTTTTTCTTTTTCTCTTTCTTCTTTCTTTCTTTTTCTTTTCTTTTTCTTTCTTTCTTTTTCTTTTCTTTCCATTCTTTCTTTTTCTTTCTTTTCTTTCTTTCTTCTTAAATCTCATCCTTATCCTCCCTGCAGATGTAGTGAGCTCCAGCAGCCTCCTATTTATTGTTTTTCCCAGGGAAGCCAATTTCAGTTCAGTTCCCACTGTTTCATAACACAAGAGCTCAACTTACACACTTCCAAACAGAGGGATGGGTACTCAGTTTTGTTTTCTTCTTCCCCCAAGAAAATGCCTCAATCTCAGTTTCAGGCTTAAACAGACTTAACAGCCATAAGCTTTATAAGCTCTGGCATGCCATAAATAGTCCTTTTCATCAGAATCTGCAAATCACAATTCTACGGTAAAAACAAGAGCTACTCAGATAGCTGCCCACAGCACTGAGCATGGTGCCCTGCATTTAGTGGCATTTAATAAAGATTTGTTGATGGACTGATTGACCCAGGTCTTCCATATCAGGTGTAGCCTGAGTTTCTTAGATATTTTTCAGGGGATTTAAAGTAAGATTTTTTTTTTTGAGATGGAGTCTCGCTCCTGTTGCCCAGGCTGGAGTGCAATGGCATGATCTCCGCTCACTGCAACCTCTGCCTCCCGGGTTCAAGCGATTCTCCTGCCTCAGCCTCCTGAGTAGCTGGGACTACAGGCGTGCACCACCACGCCCAGCTAATTTTTGTATTTTTAGTAGAGACAGGGTTTCACCATGTTGGCCAAGATGGTCTCAATCTCTTGACCTCATGATCCGACCGCCTCAGCCTCCCAAAGTACTGGGATTATAGGCAAAAGCCACCGCACCTGGCCTAAAGTAAGATTTAAAACAAACTCTTTATGCACCAACCCCTCAATTCTCATAATCCTTGACCCCAGAATCTTAGAACCTACTTATAATGCATGAGTTTCAAAGCCCCTATGGGGACCAGAGGGCAAAAGGAAAGGAAAGGCAATCTAGTAAAAGCCTCTACACTATCTGGACCATGGCACAGTGATAAGTGGTGTCCTCATAACAGCCTGGAGGAACTAAGAAAGCCTGAGGGGCCCTCTGGATCTTAAGAAAAAAGCAAACCAGGAATTTCATTATGACATTTGAAGGTTTTGGAGTCAAAAATCCTGATTTGACCATGTACCAGCCCTGTGGCCTTATGCAGGTTACTTAGCTTCTCTGGACCTGTGGTTTATGCAATCAAACCAAGTTGTAGATTATCTGTTAGGATGAAAGGCGGAAACATGTTAAGCCCTTTAGACAGTACCTGGCGTGTAGAAAGCATCAATAGTGTTTTAGGCTGGGCATGGTGGCTCACACCTATAATCCTAGCACTTTGGGAGGCTGAGGTGGACGGATTGCCTGAGCTCAGGAGTTTGACACCAGCATGGGCAACACGGTGAAAGCTCATCTCTACTAAAATACAAAATAAATTAGCTGGGTGTGGCCGCATGTGCCTGTAGTCCCAGCTACTTGGGAGGCTGAGGCAGGAGAATTGCTTGAACCTGGGAAGTGGAGGTTGCAGTGAGCCAAGATCACACCACTGCACTCCAGCCTGGGTGACAGAGTGAGACAGAGACTCGGTCTCTAAAAGAAATAAAAAATAAAAATAAAAATAATAGTGTTTTAAACAATTAGCTTGGCAATACAGTGAAGGAAAGTGTACTGTACTTTTAACTTTATGAAAATTGGAAGTCCATGCATACCAATTACAGTAACTCAGCTACCCAGAATATTCAATAATCAGAACATCCTACTCTCCCAACATGCCAAGTAGATTGGAGCTCACAGTACAAATGAAAGCACTGAAGGGAGAAGAAACAAAGTGGGAATCTGTAATTAGTGGATTTAATCAGGATTATAAGACACCAGCAGTGCTAAAATAAAATCATATGATAAATTTTTTAAATGAAATTATGACTTTGGAAACAGGTATCCCGTAGGAGCTATTCCAAAATTGCAAGAGGGAGGAGAGGAAGCTGAATTGCTACATGCTTATTTTAGTCATCAGACTTTAGTACGAAAAAGAAGTGGGAGGGGTAAACAAATACAACTAAGAAAGTAATTAAGGCCTTGGAAACAGCTGTTGATAAAAACACAGGTAAGGGAATTTTTAGAAAAATTATGTGTAACAAATCAGCAGGTGGAATAAAATGGATCCCTAGGCAGTGAAGAAACTTGTTTAAAAAAAAAAAAGCTTGCTGAATCATGAACAAATCACGAAAGTATAGTAATAACAGGAAATTTTGCATTAAGTCTTACAGGGAGCTTGGGAGACGGAGGCATTTTGGGCAGCTCAGTTGCTTCCAGGTAAAGAGGCACAGCGAGATGACAAAGGTAGCAGTGCAGGGAGCGCCCCTTGCTCGACCCCCCTCAGTGGTTGGGCATCATATTTAGAGGATGGATTATGGTCAGAATTAGAATGACCAAGACTATAAAAAGAATCAAGGTGGGGCATGGTGGCTCACGCCTGTAAACCCAGCACTTTGAGAGGCTGAGGCAGGCAGATCACTTGAGGTCAGGAGTTTGAGACCAGCCTGGCCAACATGGTGAAACCCCATCTCTACTAAAAATACAGAAATTGGCAAGGCGTGGTGGCAAGCGCCTGTAATCCTAGCTACTCAGGAGGCTGAAGCAGGAGAATTGCTTGAACCCGGGAGGCGGAGGTTGCAGTGAGCCAGGATCATGCCACTGCACTCCGGCCTGGGCAACAGGGCGAGATTCCGTCTCAAAAAAAAAAAAAAAGAAAAGAAATCAATTCTGCAAGTGTTCTTTATGCTCTTCTTATGTCCGAGGCAACAAGCCAAGTGGGAGATACAAAGATGATCAAGACTGGTTCTGGATCTTAGGAAACATTGGGACCATGAAGACAACAGCTTTAACAGTAACCCAGGGAAAAGGCCATGAATGCTGGGACATAATTTGCCCTGAGAGTATGAAGAAAGGCTTCCTGTGGGAGGCAGCATTTGAGCTGACCTTGAAGGGATAGAAAAAAAAAATAGGAAAAGTGTTTCAGGCAGGAAAATGGCATTCATCCATCCAAGTATCCATCCAATTAACAAATAGTTATTGGGCACTTACTTTCTGTTAGACACTGTGCTAGTAGCTGACAACAGACTTTCCAGTAAAAAGAGATAAAGTCCCTGCCCTTGGGGAACTACATGGGAGGCAGATGTTAACCAAAGTGTCAAACCTTCAGATGTAACTTGCATCTAGCCAATGCCGTGAGGGGCGCTCTGAGTTTCTGTCCAAGGCTCTGACAGCAACACCTAGCCCAATAAAAAATTCAAAGTGGGCCCTTGCTGAGGATAGCAGAATGAGATCCGAAGGAAGAGTCAAAAACATCCACGCTGAAAGAGGAGACCGCAGCATTCCCAAAATGGGGAGCAACATGCTTTAAAGCGAGAAACAAGAGTGAGAGTAAGGGTCTGAAACAGGTCCAGAGGCTGGTGTGTGGCAAGTGGGAAATAGTGCATGAGAAACAGGGCCACAGGGGCAGGTGGGGTCTTGAGGGTCTTGGTGAGAAGCCACCATCATTTATTCTAAGACCAATGGATAGTATGGGAAATATTTTTATTGGTGTCCTTGTGTGGAGAAGACATAGGAGGTGGTAAGGTGAGAGTTTTATCTTAGAAAGATGATCTAGCTGAAGTGTGGAGACTAGATGAGGGCCAGAGTGGATGAACCTGACTGGCAGGAGATAGGGTGGAGGTCAGGACTGGGAGGACAGCAGGGGGAATGGGGAGAAATGATGCCAAGAGATATCTGGAGTAGGTCAACCAGACTAGAAGGTAGATTTGGGGACTTTGGTAAGGAAAAGGGAAGAGTTAAGGATATTTCTGGCATTCAGGACCACATAGATGGTGGTGCCAATCCCTAGGTAAGGAAAGGAGCTATTATGATAGAGAGAGATGCACTGTGCGAAGACAGATGTGTGAAAATCTGGCTAATATTGTGTCCTCCCCAGTAGACTACAAGTTCCTTGAGGGCAGGGACAGGGACCCTGTTTCTTTTTGCTCAAAATTGTGACCTTGGCAAGTAATACAATGTCTGACAAATAGCAAGTGCTCAGTAACTGCTTGTTAATTGAATGGATGTTGGATGAATGATTCTGGTTTTGGACATGTAGTTTGAGGTGTTTTAAGGCATCCAAGAGGAAATGTGAGGTAAAAAGCTAGATATATGAGCTGCAGCTCAGGGGAGAGTCAGGCTGGGAGGTACAGATGCGCGATGGGCCAAGGACAGCAGAAAGAGGGAGAAGCTCAACAGGCTCTGGAATCAGCCTTGAGGAATTCTAGCACGTCAGATCCAGGAGTGGAGTGAAAGAGCGTAAAGAAGAAAGAGAAACAGCAGCCCAAGTCAGAGGGAGTGTTTCAAGGAGAGAGTGGTCAACGGTGTCAACTGCAAGTAAGATGAGAACTGAAGAATGTCCTTTGGGCTTAGCAACACTGAGGTCATCAGTGACCTTTGTGGGAGCTGTTTTTTGTGGAGCGATGGGGTTGAAGCCAGATTGGAGGCGGTGAGGAGTGGGAGGTGATGAAACACTGACAGGGAGTAGACTCAAGCCTTAGGAGGAGAGAGGTGGGGCAGATGTTGAGCAAAGGCAGGAGTACGCCAGGCACATTTGAGCAATAAGAACAGGCTAGCGTGGCTAGAACAGAGAGGTTCTTACACATTTTTTCCTGTCCCAACATCCCCTGATGGACAGACACTCCAGGTCATTAATGGACATCAGAGTATGAGGAGGAGTTGATTTCACTGGAGCGATGAGCTTGATTTTTGGAGATGTTCATTTTGCAGGGGGCTTGTGGAGCAGGCAAGGGTAGAGAGATGTCTGCAGGGTAGCTGGAAATACAGGTCTGGGGTGGCATCTGCAAACTATAGCCACGAGCCAAATACAGCCTGCCACCTGTTTTTGTATGGCTGGCCCACCAGCTAAGAATGGCTTTTACATTTTTAAATGGTTGGGAAAAATCAAAAGAAGAATAATACTTGGTGACATGTAAATCGTATATGAAATTTGAATTTCAGTGTCCATAAATAAAGTTTTATTGGAACACAGCCACACTCATTCATTTCCATATTGTCTATAGCTGCTTTTGCACTACTACAGCAGTTGAAGAGTTGGGACAGAGACCATTGGCCTGCACAGCCTAAAATATTTACTATCTGGCTCTGCACAGTAAAAGTTTGCCAATCCTTGGTCTAGGGCATAGAACAGCAACACCAGAGCAACTTCCTGTCCGTCTACATTTCAGAAAAGAATTAAGTTAAAAGGACCAGACCACACTGCACATTAAGAAACACAGGTGGCTGGCCGTTTGTGGGGTGTGAAGGTATTGGCAATGGCCTGATCCTTCTGGATCTGTGATGGACGTCTGCTATCCCTCAACGTGTCCCCCTCTTGCTGATGTCATGAACAAGCCCCCCACAAGGCTCAGTGTAAAGGGTACATCTTCAAAGAAACATTTCCCTCCTTCCTTAAGTGGGTTCTCTGCTGTCTTAAACAAAGCTTCTTTCCCTTCTCCTTATGGCACTTGTCACCATGGTAATTAAATAATTATTTGTAGAATTCTTGGTTTAATGCCTGTCTCGCCCACTGGACTGAGAAGCACTATGGTAATGACTTAAGACAGCAGGCTCTAAAAACCGGCTGCTTGATTCTATCCTGGCTCTGGTTACACTGGCTGGGTAACCGTGGCTTACTTACCCTCTCCTGGTCTCAGTTTCCTCATCAGTAAAATGTAGACAGTGAGATTCTGTACCTTTCGGGGTTGTGAGGATTAAATGAGATAATAGAGGCAAAGTGCTCAGGGTAGTGCCTGCAATAGATTAAGTGCTCAGTAAGTGTGTCACCATCAGCAGCCATTTGGATGGGGGGAGCATGGGAAAGGAGTGGGAGAAAACAAGGATGAAACCTGCATTTCATGGCAGCTGACAGATCGTGATGCCATTTCCCGAGTCAGGGAACATGAGAAGAGGAGTGGGCTTGGGGGACTTGCCACATCCAAGGTGCCTGGAGACACCCAAGTGTCAATGCAAGGTAGACAGGTGGGAATGGAGCTCAGAGGGTTGTTGGGTGCAGTAGAGGATTGTAGGTGTGTGAAGATGGCTTGAAATCACTGAGGGGGAAACATAAGATTGTTGGGCTGTGTTTTTGGCATAGGTAAAAATGCTCTAGCATTTGTCATAAGTGCTGTGTGATTATATGTCCATACCTTAATGAACATAAGCTATTATGATGTTATGTTCCTTGGGAACTGGAACTAGCTTGTCCTGTTGACTGCTGGATCCCCAGTACCAGTACTTCAGGCACAGCAGCTAGCATATAATAGATGCTCAATAAATATTTATCAAAGAATAAGTAAAGGAATGAAGGAAAAGAGAGACACTACATATTAACTTGATAACCAGGTTGGAGATTACTGCAAATGTTGTGACTCACCCTGGACCATCATCAGCAATCCCCACACATGACGACAGCTTCCTACTTCAAACACCTGTGTCTTCCTGCTTGAGGAATCCTCTGGTGACAGGAGCAGGCTGACCAATGCCTGGGGCAAACTGGAAGTGCTGGGGAGTTAATATCTCAGAAGGAGCAAATCTCATCCACTAAGGGATGGCCCTTGGTGGAAAATAGCCAGTGCTCTCAGCCCTCAGTTGGATGTTCTGTGAGCCATGCTCTTGCCAAGGAATTGGCTCACATGTGTCCCCACTGGATCCATGATCACCACACAGCATCCAGAATTCAGGATCACAGGAGGGTGAAAGCTATGGTGAAGTAGTCAAAGGGACTCCTAAACATCTGAACCACAGGTCCTCAAAACAAGATGAAAATGAGGCAATCAGCATTTGGGGCTTCTGCTAGGACCACAGTCATCTGACCCTTCATGTCTGGACCCCACAGCTTCCTGGAAGCAGGCTGGCAGCTGACCAAGCACTGATGAAGGTGTGGGACAGCTCTATAATGAAGGCTCTGGTCATCATGAACAAATGACATCAGAGTCAGTCTCCTTATCCGGCCAAAAGGAGGTAATTACCTATGTGCTTGCCTCAGAGGTCAGAAGAGAGTAGAAGAGACAGTGCTTTTTAAGGTCAGAAATCTGAACACACAGCGGGGAGAATGTTACCAAAGCACCCTTGGGTTCAATTTCCCCAAAAGCCTGCAGGTGGACAAATCCAAGTTGCTTCCTGGGTTTGCCACTTCCCCTGCCTCAACCTGTCCCACCTGAGAAGCACTGAGGAAGTAGAGACTGCACAGGTACCACTGTTACCCCTGCCCCCACCAAGAATCTTCTTTCTTGTGTAGTTTTAGTAGTGAAGGGAACAAAACCATAAAAGGAAGGAGCCAGTAAATGTGCACATATCCTGCATCAGCAGTTGGCCCTTTTCACATTCCTCTTTTGACCTTGCTAACAACACTAAGAAGTAAAACATCCCCACTTCAGGTGAGGAATCTGGGGTCTGAGGAGATTAAATAACTTGTCCAAGATCACACAGGTAATAAGTGGCAGAGTGGGAATTTGAAAACAGGAATTTCTGTGTGGCTCCCAAGCCCATGGGCTTTCTACCACATCCAGTTTTGCCTGGAAAATCCTCTCCAGTGATGTCATAAAATGTTACTGGGCCTCAACCCAGAGGGCTCCACCCAGTATCTTAAGAACATATGAATGTTCTTTTTTTTTTTTTTTTTTTTTTGAGACGGTGTTTTGCTCTTGTTGCCCAGACTGGAGTGCAATGGTGTGATCTCGGCTCACTGCAACCTCCGCCTCCCGGGTTCAAGCGATTCTCCTGCCTCAACCTCCCAAGTAGCTGGGATTACAGGCATTTGCCACCATGCCTGGCTAATTTTGTATTTTTAGTAGAGACAGGGTTTCTCCATATTGGCCAGGCTGGTGTCCAACTCCTGACCTCAACTCATCTGCCTGCCTCAGATTCCCAAAGTGCTGGGATTACAGGTGTGAGCCACGCACAGCGCCCGGCCAGATCATATGAATTTTCTCTGTCAGTTAAATACAAATAGTCTAACCCAGCTCTTGTGATTCCTTCCTTGATTCAACCCAACTTCTCCCTACCCTAACTCTGAACATACTCTCACTGTTTCTAGAGGGGCAACTGGGAAGCCCAGACATTCAGATCATTCAGACCGCAGGGAGGTGAAACAGGGTGAGGAGGGGAAAATGAAACTTGCAAAGATGCAGAGAGAATAGGATGCAGCCATGGAAACCACAAGGGGAGGCATGGCCTGTTTGGTTCCTTTCCTAATCACACAGAAATATATGTGTGTCAACATTATCTTTCACTGAAGACACTAGAAATTGTCAGTGCCAGTGCCTGGTACATTATAGGCATTCAAATTATGTAATGAATGAATCAACATGCTCATCCCTCCTTCCTTCTCCCTGTTCAACTTTTGAGCTATGAAATCTTCCTGGGTTTGATAATCATCTCCCACATCCTTTGCTCCTATCTTTCTCTATCCAATGTATTTCACTCCTGTTAGCATATTGGCCCAGCTGACCCTGGGCTTTCTGTTGGATTGCTGAGCCATTCATGACCTGTAGTTAGAATAAATTCAGAGACCACACAATCACCAGTTACTCCTGAGGACAGACAACCACATGGCAGTGACTGGAGTCACCATACACTTGGCCCTCTGTGCACCGGTTATGATGGTTTCTCGATACAAAGATTAAGTCTTTGGCCTTGGAGCTGACAGACAAGACCTTATAGGTATGACAGTCTATTTCCAAAGGAAGAGGTCCAGTCTCTCCAGGGCTTTGGTTCTTCAAAAAAAATCCTGTCCCAATGTCATGTTCTGTCCTAGAATATCAGCAAAACATCAGAGGTGGGCAGACCCATGAGACTTCTCTAATTCTGTTTTGTGCTCAGTGCATAGTTTAAAAAAGGACAAGTAGAGAAGTTTGTAAAGTGGCTCCTAGAATTCTGCATCTGGCCATGATGGAACCACTGGTATCAACTGGTTCTGCTATTACAAATGTTTATGATGCTAAACAAAATGTATGAAACAACTATTAATGCTTTCAGACATTGTCAACACACATCACAGGTTTGTGATGCTTGTGAAAATATAAACAATTGAGGTGAAACCCTGGATTTCTGCCTATAACCCAGAACACAGGAGGAACCCAATCAGATAGGAACCTTCCTGAGATGAAGAGACAAGGATCAAAGTTAAGGGAGGTTGAGGTGGCTGGAATTTGAGGGATACGGTACCAAAGAAGAAGTAGCTATAAGGAGAAAGAGCTCCAGACATCCTTGTTGGGTGCCCTAAGTATTTGTCTAAATATTAAGCTGCATATTTGTAGGATAGGGCTCCAAAAGATCACACAGAGAACAATTATCAGAAAAAGAACAATTCCCAGTAAGCTGTAAACTGAACAACTATGAGAATTTACACATGGTCCAGGGCGTGGTGGCCCACACCTGTAATCCCAGTGACTCCAGAGGCTGAGGTGGGAAGATCAATAACTTAACATTCACAATGTTCTGCATGAAAAGAACCAGGAAAATGTAAGCTCTAACAGAAAAATCAGTCTTTGCAAGCAGATCAGGAATGACAGAGATGTTGGAATTGGCAGACAAGGAATTGAAAACAGCTATAATACTCTCAAGGAGCTAAAGGAAAACATGAACCAAATGAGAAGAGAAATGGAAACTACTTTTAAAAATCCAAATAGAACTTCTAGAGCTCAAAATACAACATCTGCAATAAAAAATTAACTGGATAGGACTAAGATCAGATTAGATAGTGCAGAAGAAAAGATCAGTGAACTTGAAGACAGGGCAGTAAAAACTATTCAGTCTGATACACATGGGGGGAAAAGGCTGAATAAACGAAGAAAGACTAAGAGGACATGGCTGTATTAGTCATAGTTCTGCAGAGGAGAATATACATATACATATGAATGTATTAGGGAGAACTGACTCACATGATTACAAAGGCAAAGTCCCATGGTAGGCTGTCTGCAGGCTGGAGAATGAGAAAACCTAGCTGCGTGGCTCAGTCCAAGTCTGAAAGCCTCAAAATTAGGAAAGCTAACAGTGCAGTCTGCAGCATGAGGCCCTGGGCCTGAGAATCCTAGGGGAGCCACTGGTGCAAGTCCCAGAGTCCAAAGGCCAAAGATCCTGGAGTCTGATGCCCAAGGGCAGGAGAAGAAAAGGCATTCCACTCTGGAAGAGAGAGAATGGGCTAAGTTAGCTCTTCATCTAACTTACCTGTGCTTTCAGGGCCTGCTCAGCCCAATCATGTATATACCACTTCCATTCGATGATGGAATGCTGCTGTGCATGCCTGACTTTATGGCTAGATGGGTCAGATAACACCTACTCCATGATGGGCAGCTCAGGTCGCATGGAAACTTGGTGGCCCATGATTAAGCATTCAGTTTCTATTATACTAAGGCCCAGTAGCAGACCGAGATCTGTCTCTCAAAAAGAGAGCAGTGGGCTGGGCCCGGTGGCTCATGCTTGTAATCCCAGCACTTTGGGAGGCTGAGGTGGGCAGATCACCTGAGGTCGGGAGTTCAAGACCAGCCTGACCAGCCTGACCAGTCGGATACACACAGGGGTAAAAAGGCTGAATAAACGAAGAAAGACTAAGAGGGCATGGCTGTATTAGTCATGGTTAGTAAAGTCACCCATCTCTACTAAAAATACAAAATTAGCTGGGCATGGTGGCAAATGCCTATAATCCCAGCTACTCAGGAGGCTGAGGCAGGGGAATTGCTTGAACCCAGGAGGTGGAGGTTGCGGTGACTGGTGAGCTGACATCGCGTCATTGCACTTCTGGGCAACAAGAGCGAAACTCCGTCTCAAAAAAACCAAAAAATAAAAAACAGAACAAACAAACAAAAAAGGGTAGTTATCTGCAGATGCAAGCAAGACCTCACTCCAAACCCTCAAGGCCTCCTTTGTGATTCACCTACAGGGACCTGCCAAGGCTCCAGACAGCATCCCTATCTGCCACTGACACCTCAAGCACCATGGAATCTGCTGGATCATGTGGCCCAAGAAGCAGAGCAGCT
Organism: Homo sapiens; assembly: GCF_000001405.40. Lineage (NCBI taxonomy): Eukaryota > Metazoa > Chordata > Mammalia > Primates > Hominidae > Homo > Homo sapiens. Next base: position 56,094,373 of record NC_000016.10, read on the forward strand.
TGTGCAGCAGCCTGGATCTGTTGCAGAGCCTTCCCCTGTTCTGGGCCCCACGCAAAACTAGCAGCTTTTCAGTCATCTGATCAATGGGCCAGAGTAGCACATCCAAATAAGGAAGCACATCCAAATAAGGACTGTGTTGCCTCTACAATCCAAATAGGCCCACTAGGTGTTGTGCCTATTTCCTGGTTGTAGGTGGGGCCAGATACAACAACTTATCCTTCACCTTAGAAGGGATATCCTGACAGCCCCACATCACTATACCCCCAGAATTTCACTGAAGTAGAAGGCACCTGAGTTTTAGTTGGATTTATTTCCCACCCTCTGAGATGCAAATATTTTACCAGTAAGTCCACAGTGGTTGCTACTTCTCACTCACTAGGTCCAGTCAGCATAATGTCATCAATGTAATGGACCAGTGTGATAGCTTTGGAAGGTAAAAGCAACCAAGATCCCTGGGAGCTAGATTATGACATAAAGCTGGAGAGTTGATATACCCATGAGGTAGGACAGTGAAAGGTATATTACTAACCTTGCCAGCTGAGGGCAAACTGCTTCTGGTGGGCCTTATGGACATGTATGGAGAAAAAGGCATCTGCTAGATTAATAGTTGCATACCAGGTACCAGGAGACATGTTAATTTGCTTAAGCAAGGAAACTACATCTGGTACAGCAGCTGCAATTGGAATCACCACTTTATTAAGCTTACAATAATCCACCGTCATTCTCCAAGATCCATCAGTCTTTTGCACAGGCCAAATAGGAGAGTTGAATGGGGATGTGATGAGAATCACCACCCCTGCATCTTTCAGGTCCTTGATGGTGGCACTAATCTCTGTAATCCCTCCAAGGATGTGCTATTGTTTTTGATTCACTGCTTTCCTAGGTAGAGGCAGCTCTAATGGCTCCCATTTGGCTTTTCCCACCATAATATCCTTCACTCCCACAGGTTAGGGGACCAACATGGAAATTCTGCCAGCTATGTCTATTCCAATTGTGCCTATTCCAATTATGCATTCTGGAACTGGGGAAATAACTACAGGATAGGTCCAAGGACCTACTGGACCCACTGTAAATTGGAACAGAGCTAAAACTCCATTAATTAACCTAGCCCACATAATCCCCTACTCTAACTGGAGGGCCACAATGACATTTTGTGTCTCATTTTAAAAATTCCTTTAAGTGATCATTGTCTAAAGCAAAGATAATAACAATGTATTGTGGGATTTATAACACATGTAGAAATTAAATATGTAACAATAATAGCACACAGCATGGGAGGAGAAATGGAAGTATACTGTTTTAAGGGTCTTGTATGTAAAGTAGCATAGTTTTTGGAGATATACTTTGGTAGTTAAAGACACATATTGCAATCGCTAGAACAAACACACACAGAAAAAGAAGAAATGAAATAATAGTAATATAAACAATAAAATATATTAATAATAAAATGAAAAATAGTAAAATAAAATGGAATACAAAAAACATTCAATTATTATCATTCAAGAAAAGACAGGAAAAGTACAAAAAATAAATGAAACAAACAGCAAGTTAGTAGACTTAAAGCCAACCATTTCAATAATTGCATTACATGTAAATGGACTAAATGATGAAATTATAACGCAGAAATTGTCAAACTGGACAAAAAAGTAAGACCCAGCTATATTCCTCAAGAAATTAACATTATATATACAAACATAGTTTAAAAGTAAAACTATAGGGAAATGATACACCATGCACACACTATAGCTGGAAGAGCTACATTCGTATCAAAATAGACTTCAAGGCAAGGAATATTATCAGAGATAAAGGGAGACATCTTTTTTTTCTTTTTTCTTTTTTTTTTTTTTTTTGAGATGGAGTCTGACTCTGTCACCCAGGCTGGAGTGCAATGGTGCGATCTCGGCTCACTGCAACCTCCGCCTCCCGGGTTCAAGCGATTCTCCTGCCTCAGCCTCCTGAGTACCTGGGATTACAGGCGCGTGCCACCATGCCTGGCTAATTTTTGTATTTTTAGTAGAGATGGGGTTTCACCATGTTGGTCAGGCTGGTCTCGAACTCCTGAGCTCGTGATCCGCCTGCCTCAGCCTCCCACAGTGTTGGGATTACAGGCATGAGCCACCGCACCAGACCAACATTTCATAATGATAAATAAGTCAAGGCAAAAAGATAGAACAAACATAAATAGGTATTGGCCTAATAACAGAGCTTTAAAATACATGAAACACATATTGACATAAATGAAAGGGTAAATAGATAAATTTAAATTATAGTTGAAGTTTTTCAAAACTCTTTTTGCAATAATTCATAGGACAAGTAGACAGAAAATTAATAAAAATATAGAAGGCTTGAACATCACTGTCAACCAAACTGACTTAAACAACATTCACTCACCAGGTACAAAATACATGTTCTTTTTTTAAATTGATACATAATAGATCTACATATTTTCATGGTACATGTGGTAATGTGTTACATCCATATAATATATAAAGATCAACTCAGGATAATTGGGATATACACCAACTTCAATGTTTATTTTTCCTTATGCTAGGAATGTTCTAATTATTCTTTTAGCTATTTTGAAATGTACAATAGATTTATTATTCTTTTCAAGTGCACATGGGACATTCAGCAAATAGGCCATATCCTGAACTAAATGTAAAAAAAAAAAATTATAAAGTTTCTTAGGAGAAAAATTTCACAATCTTGGGGCAGATAAAGATTTCCTAGACAGGACAGAAAATATACTAAACGTAAAGAAAGAAAGCGATTAAAATTGATAAATTGGATTTCATCAAAATTTAAAACTTCTTGTCTTCAAAAGACAAGTGAAAAGACAATAAGAAAGTGAAAAGACAATCCACAGTCCAGAAGAAAATACTCATACATATATCTGGTAGGACTTGTATACAAATATAAAAAGAACTCATAATACAATAATTAAAAAGGCAAATTGAAAATTTTAAACAGATAAATTTTCCAGCAGACACTTTGAAAAGAAAATATACAAGTGGCCAATGAGCACATCATCAGGGAAATGCAAAGTAAAACCATAATGAGATGTGACTACATACCCACTAACATTTAAAACACTTACAGTATTGAGAGTTGGTGAGGATGTGAAACAACTGGAACTTTCATACACCGCTGATAGGGGTGTGAAATGGAAACATCACTTTGGAAAACAGTCTGGCAGTGTCAAAGTTGAACATATATTTACTATACGACCTAAAAGTTTCACTCTGAGGTATGCAAATAAAAGAAATGAAAACACATTCACAAAAGGCTTGTGTGTAAACATTCATAGCTACTTTATTCACAATAGCCAAAAATGTGAAACAGCCTCAAATTTAGTCAACATGGACAATCAAGTTGTAGTATAGTCTCTACCATAGAATACTACTCAGCAAGAAGAAAGTAATAAACAGTATGGAGGAATCTTTAAAATATCGTGCTAACCAAAATAGGCTGACACAAAAGACTACACCCTTTGTGACTGCATTTTTGTGGAGTTCAACGGCAGGCAAAACTAATCTATATTAATAGAAATCCAACAAGTGGCTTCCTGGGTCGGGGGTGGAGGAATTGACTACAAAGGGGCTCAGAGGTATTTCTGGGGTGATAGAAATGTTCTATATCTTGGTTGTGACGGTGGTTACCTGGGTGTATACATTTGTCAAACCTTATCAAACTCAACACTTAAAACAGGGTGTATGTATGTTATACCTCAATAAAGTTGACTTTTTTAACAAGAGGTTTTTGTCCTTCGGGGGTGTCAATCCAGATGGGAAAACCATATTAGAAACCCAGGGGACTCCCCTGTGGTTCCACACAAGCCAGAAGGGCATTCTACACTACTTTATGCCTTGCATACCTAGGTGCCATGAAGATCCAAGGAAAGGGAGATGGGTGGGGGACTAGTCAGTGTAAGTTTCATGAAGAATCTGATGCACGGAGAGAAGGCTTGGAAAAGAAATAGACCATAGGGTCTTGGAAGCAAGGCAAAGGATTTATAAGGCTGAAAATGGGCATTCTTGGGATCCTGAGTTGGGCGATGGCAGTGTGAGAGTGCTATGGGTGGGGAATCCGGGGGCAAGAGTCCAGGAAGGAGGCTCTGGAAGGTGGGTAAACACTGACTGATGGAGGTCTGCTCTAGTGAGGTGACCTGGGGATACAAAGGGAGGAGTGGACCCGAGAGCCATTCCAATGAGCACAAGCCCTTGGGGGATGTTGGCTGTCTCTTACAGAACTAGAGAACTTTCTGAACCATGGAGAGGATGGAGCTGAGACTCTGAAGTCTATTGCCCTAGCTCCAAGCTGGCTCCACCACAAAAAAAACTTGGGGAAAATTTCTTAAGCACCCAAACCTTAGCTTTCTCATTTGTAATACGGGATGAATAAAAACATGCAAGGTTATTGAGAGGATTAGAGGTGAGGCAGATAAAATACCTGGCATGAAGTTATAATAAATGAAAGAATTATAATTAGTCCTAAGGTTCATCAGAGATTCCTGAGACCCCCTATGAGGTGTCTCCTTCCTTTAGGTCTCAGGGGTGGGGTCACAACTATGCTGGATTAGTGAAAAGCAAAACACTAATAAATATATCAATGTACAAGTGTACTCATCATCAAGGACAAGCAACAATAGGTACACATGTCATTTACATGTGTGTGGCACATGGGCAGCAAAAAGAGAAGGAGGTGGGTCCCTTTGTCCCTTTCACTAAAAATAATGGGTCAGCGCGTCCAACTATGGAAATCTGGGCGAAGGGGTTCATAATTCAGTTTCTCCACTGGGAGAAAGATGCCTTTTTAATCTGCAAACTGACGGAAAGTAGCCTACTTACCCTAATATCTCTGTCATTAAGTGGCCTCCTTGATACTTTGATACAGGTAACTGTGGCTCTCAGGGAATCCTAGGAGACCACTGTTCCAGAATCTCTTCTCCAGGTAGGGACATGTGTTGCGGGTGTCGGGCGAGCACAAACTTATTACAGTTGCTCAGATCTAGGGAAGATTATTTTTCCTACATTGAAAAAGACAAGCATTTACTGAGCATCTACTGTTTACAAGGCAGGTAGTGTGTTAAAGGCTTTACCTGAAGTGCCTGGTGTAACCATTCATTTATTCAGCAATTATTTATTGAGTTGCAACAAGGCACTGTGTAAGATGTCAGGGATGCACTGGGGTCAGGGAGACAAGCAAACAGTTCACAACCACAGGATGGTAAATATCACAACACAGTAGGACCAGGGCAGAGAAGCAACACCTAACCTGGTCTTGGCAGAGGAGGGTGCAAGAAATCTTCCCGGAAGGAGTGAGACCTAAGCGGAACACTGAAGCCCAACTGAAAAGTAAGTTAATCGGGTGAAGGGGAGGTGTGGATGGGAGGCTGTGGGGGAGTGGAACATTCCAGGCAAAGGAAAGAGCAAGCCCTAAGGCCTGGCAGTAAGAGAGACAGAGAATAGTTCATTAGAGGAATTGTTAGCAGTTCACTATGGTTGGAGCAGAAAAATGGCAGCAGCAGTAAGCAAAGGTCTGGTCATGAAAGACTGACAGGCCTGGAATCGAGTTACAGATTTAGCAAATGAAAATACAGTTGCTAAACCTGATGAACACTACCTTAGCCAGGTGATCAAGGTCAACATCAACAGTGGTAAGTCATATGGACAGTACAGACCCTTAACGAGATGTGAAGAGAATGGCTCTTGACCTCTGTGGTCTTCCTCCCAAAAAAATAATACCCCAGCCTAATCATGAGAAAAACATCTGACAGGCTGAATTGAGGGGCATTCTACAAAACCCCAGACCAGTGCTCCTCAAAACGGTCAAGGTCATCAAAAACAAGGGAAGTCTAAAAAACTGTCACAGCCAAGAGGAACTAGGAAGACTTGACAACTAAATATGATATGGTGTCCTGGACAGGATCCTGGAATAGAAAAGGACACTGGGGAAAAACTAAGGAAATCTAATGAAGTATAGACTTTAGTTAATGATAATATATCAATCTTAGTTCATTAATTGTGACAAATGTATCATACTGGCATAAGATTTTTTTTTAAAAGATGGCATCTTACTCCGTCACTCAGGCTGGAGTGCAATGGTGCAATCATGGCTCACTGCAGCCTCGAGCTCCTGGGCTCAAACAATACTCCCACCTCAGCCTCCTGAGCAGCTAGGATTACAAATGTGCGCCACTGCACTGGCTCGACGTAAGATATTAGTTATAGGGGAAACTGGGTGCAGGGTGTGTGGTAACTCTGTACGATCTTTATATTTTTTTCTGTAAATCTAAAATGATTCTAAAATTAAAAGTTTATTTAAAAATGCAGGTTGCCCAGTTAAATCTGAATTTCAGACAAACAATGATTTTTTTTTTAGTGTTAAGTATATCCCATGCAATATTTGGAGCATCATTATACTAAAAAATTATTCAGTGTTTATCTGAAATTCAAATTTTACTGGGTGTCTTGGCAACTCTGCCTGGAAAGGGGTTTACCCTGAGAACAGTAAGAAGGGCAGTGATGAGCTACCAAAGGTCACAGCCAGGACAGCATATGATATGCCACTTCTACAGCAGATGTACAGGTGAGGAAACTGAGGCTCGGTGATATAGCCAGTCTCCCTGCTAGCTTAGTGAGGAAGCAAGGATCTGAACATGGGCCTGCCTCACCCTAAGCCTGTGTCTGTCCATTACACCTCCAGACTTCACAAAACTTTTTCTTTTTTTTTTTTCTTCAACTTTTATTTTAAGTTCCAGGATACATGTGCAGGATGTCCAGGTTTGTTACATAGGTAAACGTGTGCCATGGTGGTTTGCTGCACAGATCATCCCATCACCTAGATATTAAGCACAGCATACATTAGCCATTATTCCTGATTCTCTCCCTCTCCCCACAACCCCTCAGCTCTGACAGGCCCCAGTGTGTGTCATTTCCCCTTATGTGTCCATGTGTTCTCATCATTCAGTTCCCACTTATAAGTAAGAACATGCAGTGTTTGGTTTTCTGTTCCTGCATTAGTTTGCTGAGGATAAGGGCTTCCAACTCCATCCATGTCCCTGCAAAGGACATCACAAACCTCCTTCCAGAAACATCCACCTCCATGAAGAAGAGCATGAATTCACTCTTGCTGGCAAAAAAAAAAAAAAAAAAAATGAAGTGGGGGTCAAGAGCACATATTGAGCCCAGAGGACTCCAGCAAAAGCAGGCAAGTATTCCTGAGCACTAAAACACAGGGCCACACCTCCTGCTGGGCACCAGCTCTCCACGGAGGTCTCCCTCGCCCTCTTATCTGCCTTTACCATCACAATCAAACCAGGGACACTCAGAGCCATGAACTGAAATGTTGGAAGGGGACTTAGGAGCCATTCATCCAACATCCCCCTTTGGGCAGGATTTCCATCCACAGTTGTCGTCGTGAATGTCACCTCCTTGGTTTGGCTCTTAATTCTTGGCTCCTGTTTGTGGCAGTCTTTCCTCACCTTCGATTCCCTGCTTCCAACCTGTTCAGGTGTCAGAAAGCAGTTCACCAAGCTAACTAGACCTAGGTGTTAAGTAAAAGTCAGTGGTCTCAAGCAAGGGCCCAGAAGTCTCTTCTGTGTGGAAAGAGAAACTTTGTAATGTGTATTCCTGCTGCTCAGGGATGTTTGGGGCTTACCTCCTCCCCATCTTGTTCCAAATAGATGTTGCTGCTTTAGACCTGGGTTCCATAGAAATGAGGTTAAATAACTGCATTTAGCTTAGCACAGCCCAGGAGTTACATTAGCGTATTTTAGTAGCACAAGGGAGAATACAGAGGAGCAACAGAAGGGTGATGTGTGCTCGGCCAGCAGAGTCTCCTGCAGGAAATTACTGACGCCAGCCAGCTGCTCCAGGCCCCTGTCAGGCTGTTTCTCCTCCTCTCCTATCTCTCAGGGGATAGCCGTCCTGCTATGGCTTGTCAGCTCTGGAAGACAAAGAGGGTAAAACTCTCAGTTGGCTGAGTGCCTGTCTCTAGCACGTCCCCTCCAGAAGCCAGGGCTGAACACAGCCCTGCCAGGGGTGGGGGTGGGACGAAGTGTCCAGCAATCCTCTTTTCTCTAGAAATGGGATTGGAAATGGGGTAATCGTCTAAATGGGCAGTCCTGATGAGTCGATAAGCATAACTCCCATTTTATTACGGTGATGAGGCTGCCTGAGCGGGCATAATCCCTCTGCCGGGCTCCAGGCGATTGCTAGGCAGCCAGCCACTACCCCGCCTCTCCACCACGGCTGCATTAGTCTGATGGGAAGAGGCTGAGCTCTCCACTGAATTGCATTTCATAATGGCATTTAAAAGCACGGATCCCGGGTCACGCCAGAGTCCAGGACACTGCTGGCCAAACTGCCTCTCCCCCTTCATACTGCCCTCCTGCTCCCCCAACCAGTGATGGGGACCACATGGTCAAAATGCAGGGCCACGCTCAGCCAGGTAAGATGAAAAAGATGTCAGGGAAGACCCCAAATTAAAATGGATCAAGAAAATATGATATTAGGTTGGTGCAAGGGTAATTGCGGTTTTGCCATTAAAAATATTGGCAAAAACCACAATTACTTTTGCACTAACCTAATATAATGGAAAAACTGTGGATTCTGGCACCCAGCAATCCCACTAACTCTCTGGGAACTCTATTTCCTCATCTGCATTATGTGATTTATATGGTTCTTTCCTGCTCTCCCACATAAATTCATAGATTCATGACTCTCCAACCCAGCCACGAATTCCACCCTTATAGACTAATTCCTTTGTGTTGTAAAGGCTGTTTTATCTTTCATACTTCCCTATTGAAATTATAATTTACTACTTTACTAATGCACACTTTGTGGGAGAGGAAGACCTGTTAGTAGCTGGAAGCGAGGCCCTGAGGGAACAGGACAGGCAAAGGAGGAGTAACCAGGAAGATGCAAGGGGTTCAGGAAGGGAGGTGCAGAGACACTCAAGGCCATGTCATCTGAGAATGGGTGAGGTCCAGGTAAAGGGCTGCAGATTAGGACAGCTGGTTCTGCCGGTGGAGCTCAGGGGCCTGCAAAATAAATCACATCATGTGTGCATATCTGACTCCTGAAACGAGGCTTCATCTTTACCCTATTCACTCACATACTCACTCACCCATCATCCAGGAGGCAATGAGGTACAGAAAAATTAAGACTGCTTTTAGGGCCAAGTGTGGTGGCTCACACCTGAAAGCCCAGCATTATGGGAGGCCAAGGTGGGAGGATCCCTTGAGACCACGAGTTCAAGACCAGCTTGGGCAACATAGTAAGACCTCGTCTATACAAGAAATAAATCAATGAAAATTACCCGGGTATGGGGTGGGTACCCATAGTCCCAGCTACCCAGGTGGCTGTGAGGTTGGAAGATGGCTTGAGCCCAGGAGGTTGATGCTGCAGTGAGCTATGATCATGCCACTGTACTCCAGCTTGAGTGGCAGAGAAAGACCTTATCTCTAGAAACACAAACAAACAAACAAAAAACTAGACTTAGATCGTAAAGCTAGGCCCTAGCAGCAATGCCAGTATTTAATTGTCATATGACATTGAATGAGGCATTTACCATTCTAAGCCAGCAAAATAAGGCTAATGCCCACCTTGCACACTCCATGGGCAGGGTTGCCACCTTGCACAACTCCAGGGGGTGCCATGCCCACAGGAGTCTACATGAACTGAGCTCACCAGACCTAGGCAATGCGCAACTTGCACAGCCAAATGTAGCAGCCTGACTTGTAGTTAAAATGTCAAATGACATAAGCTACATTAGCCATAAACACTATTAACACAGCAGTATTATTATATCGGTCACATTCTAGAAGAGGGTGCTAGATATATAAAACATATATTCTTGAAAATTGAAATTTAGTAGCATCAAGTTTTGCATTCTATCAAATTCAACCATTATATCACCCTAGTGTTATCTTTGTCATTCAGACTATAGGAAGCATTAAAAAGAATAGCAAAATAGGGGTGGCTCCAAACCTAGGGTGAGGCAAATACTCGTCCTTATGCATGATGTGTCTTCCTGGTCCCAAGCCCACTTTGCCCTTGGTACTATCAGCCTTTTGAAATATTCTTTATTATAAGACACTCAAGGGATCTCAGTGAAGGCAAGCCACCATGATGGACATCTCAGATCAGGTTAGGAGGACCAGAAATGTCCAACCCAAGAGTAATTTCCCTGGATGTCACACCCTCTCACACACCAACTCACCATCAGCTCAGGGCAGCAGGTCCTGAAAACACCCTCTCCTACTGTTATGCACTGAATGTCTGTGTCCCCTCCAAATTTATATGCTGAAATCTAACCCCCAATGTGATGGTGTTTGGAGGCAGGGCCTCTTTGGGAGGTATTCAGGTCATGAGGGTGGAGCCTTCATGAATGAGATTAATGCCTTTAGAAGAAGAGGTCAGAGAGCTAGCTTGCTCTCTTTCTGCCAGGTGAGGATACAATGAGAGTCAGCTGCTTGCAACCCAGAGGAGTCCTCACCAGAACCTGACCATGCTGGCACCCTGCTCTCAGACTTCCCAGCCTCCAGAACTGTGAGAAATAAGTGTCTATCATTCATAAGCCACTTGGTCCAAGATACTTAGTTACAGCAACCCAAATGGACTCAGATACCTCCCAACCTTCCAACAGGCCACTTTTGCCTGAGAAAGGAGAAAAACCACAGATTTGTGACTCTGCCACTGCCCACTACTCCACTGACTCCAAATCCCCTCTGATTTTTCCCCTGACCATTGGTGAGGGTGGTTAGGCAGGTTAAAAATGTTGAAGTAATGTAAAGTTCCTTGATCCCTTGCTGCCCTTACAGGAGGGGGAAGATGGAAATAGAGAATACTAAATGCATTTGTTCCCATTTCTCCATTCTCATTCACTGTCCTGATTCCCATCATCTGCATCAGATGCCTCCTAATGTGTCTCCCTGGTCCCAAGACGAGTTACCCTCCACACCTCCACCCCACACTCCTCTCAGAGCTTCTGCTCTAAAACACAGCTCTTGACTAGTCATGTCCTTGGGTTGCAGGCTGCACAGTGCCCCTGTACATAGAGGGCACCATCTCAGCCATAGGCTTGTTCCCAACCTCACCTCTAGCCGCTTCCTCTCACATAACCAACATGGCAGCCCCAAGGGGTGGCTCTCTGTTCCTGAACAACCCTCATGTATCTATTCATTCAATGAATGTTTACTTGAGACTCTAAGGTGTATTGGGGCACTGCACTGGGCACTGGAAATGTAGTAAAGGCAAACCCAGCAGGATCCTGGAGCTCCCAACCTTCCAGGGAAAACAGACATCAATCAGATAACCACAAAAATAAATGTGTGATTACAAACCATGATATTTGATAAGGAAATGTGCTCTGAGATGTACTAGGCAGAAGGGCTGAAGCAGTCAGGGGGATCCAGGGAGGTTTCCCTGAAGAAGTGATATTTGAGCTGAAACCTGAAAAATGAGAAGGGATGAATTAGGTAACGGGGGTGGGAGGGGAGGATGGCAGCAACAGGAGAAAGTATTCCAGGTTGAGGGAGCTACCTGGGCTGGGGGCCTGTGAGCAGACTGGTGCCACTCGGGACAGGGCTGGGGGCACTGGTAAGGTCTCCAGGGGCCAGATCATGAGGGGCCTTAGAGGCCCTGCTGAGGATTTGAGTCTTTATCCTAAGAGAAAGTAGAAGGCATTAAGGGGTTTTAAGCATTGGGAGGGAGGTAGTTTGGGGACCGTGTGACGTGAGCAGATTTGCATTTCAGAATGGTCATTCCAGCTGCAGTGAGAAGGGGCTGGAGGGCTCAGGGTGGATGTGGGAGGTCCATCAAGGAGGTAGATATTGCCTCCATTCTGAGCAAGACACATGGATGCCAACTTGGACTGGGAGCTGAAAACGGAGCAAATGAACTGACCAAGCCAGTTTACCAAGGCAGATGGATGGGTGGTGCCATCTGGAAAGATGGAGCACTGGAAGATGATTGGATTTGGGTGAAAAGATCCTGAGATCTGTTTGGGACAGAATGGGTCTAGGGAGCCTTTGAAGCTTCCAAGTGGAAATAACAGTGATGGATGGGTCTGGGATGGAGACATGCATTTTGAGAGTCATCTGCACACAGACTGCAATGGAAGATATGGACATGAACCAGATTGCTTCATATCACCACTTAAAGCCACCTTCTCTCTCCAGTCACTCCACCTGTGCCTGCCCCCCATGCAGGGAGACAGGTCTCTGCTGCCTCACAGTGACCCCACAGGCCCCTGTACGAGCTCCTGCTGCTACAGTGCCTCTTGTATTGTTTTACGGCCACTCGCTTACATGTCCGTTTTCCCCACTTATGATCCAGGAACACCGTGAGGACAGAGACACATGGCTCTCCTTCTGATGTCCTCAGCACACAGAGCACATCCTGACCCTTTTGTGAGCAGTAAGTTACAGGCCCACTTTTCCGACCCACCACAAAGCCCCAGTGCAATGTTCCTCCAGAAAGAGGTGAAAATGCTGGCCCAGACCCAAGAGCCTCATCTAAAACCCAGTCTCAGAGTCCTCAGAGGGGAAAGTATCTCACTTGCACATAGAAACCAAGATGGGCACTGAAGAATTTTAAAAAGAGAATGGTACTGATGTTTTCCCACTGTTACTACAGATAAGCAAGCACTCAGGGAATTTATGGGAGATGGATTGACAGGTAGAGAAATGGGTAAGCTCGGTCCTCAAGGAGCTTCCAGTACCATCTCTTACTCAGAACTCGCTGTGCTCATTATAAGTCAAAACAAAGTTATGTGTATTTCATGTGCAATATCTACAAAAAGTCAAAGCCTCAGTCCTCAAGGAGCATATAATTTCAAGAAAATATAGAACAAACATAGATGAAAATTTAACTCTATCAATACACACAGAGCCACCCCTACCCTCTCCAGTGCCTTTTTCTAATTAGAAAAAGGTGCCTTTCCTCTAGGCAGACATGGCACCTCAGTCAGCAGGGTATGTGACTTGGCTGGATTCTGGATTTAAGCCCATGTCCCCCTACACTGACCTGACATCTTTGTGCAGTGCACAACCTGCACAACACATATATGACAGGAGTAGCAGGTGCTGATAACAAGGAGGGATTGATATAGGATGGATGAACAGAGACTAGCTAGAACTGATTGGGTAAGAACAGAAGAAACAACTACAAGGAATGCCAGAGGCATATCCAGTGACAAATCAGATTTGACCAAGGCAAAGGGTACACTTGATGGAGTAAGGAAATGAGATTGGGAAGCTTAGTTGGGAAGTAATTAGGGAAGGCCTCAAACACCAGGCTAAGGAGTTTGCACTTGACCTTGCAGGAACTGACCCCTGCCTAGGGTCATTATCCTCCTTTCACCAAAGTAGTGCCACAGAGCATTGGCTGCCAGTATCAATTCTCACCAAAGAAAGTGCCCACTTGCACCCTGAAGGTCATGAAAGATACCAGGTGACAAGAAAACAACTAAATATCTTTGTGCTGACACAGAACCCCTAATAAGGTCTAATCCCTTGCATTTGTAGCCTGCATAAAAATATATGTTTTATATCCAATATATTTATTGTTACAATAGTCTCCTTTGATTAACAGGATAAGAAAGCAGGGCAATTAAGGACCTTGGTGAAAGTCAAAGAAAAAATCCACAGGGGCAAAGCTGTGACTTGAACCCAGGTCTATCACTCAGAATCTGATGCTCAAGGGCACTCAGCCTCCCTGCACTTGCCTCAGCAGGGTCCCTCTCTCACCAGTCACCACACTGACTACTTGAGTTTGCCAGCCCTGGGTCCTTTCCAAGAAAAGACAAAGCTTCCAAACAAGCAGTAATGACATTGATTATTCCAAGCCAGAGGCAGGGGATTCTGGATCATTTCCTTAAAATACTTGCTCAGCAGCACCCGGGTCCTCACCCCCACCGCCCCTGGTCCCAAGAAAGATATGTACAGTACTTCATTAACATGAAGGGGAGAATAATTCCCTGTGGATTTTTGCAGTCTCATTTCCCTAGCTTGTCAAATGCCAGCAGCAAGCCAGTCTGGCTGCATTGTTAGCTTGGCTGCCTCTTATTTTTGTAGTGTTTTGCAGATTGCAGCAGCTTTTTTTTTCCAGCTAGGTGAAAACATATCACCTTTAAGCTTCCTGGTGTATCACTCAAAAGATTTTCCTATTCTCCTTGGACTTCATAATACAGAATTCTCTTCTGCTATCACAAGCCATTTTTTTTTCTCCAAGAAAGAACATAACATTTATTTTTAATACCATACTCCAAGATATGTGATCAAAATGTAATTTAAAAAAAAAAACAAATAAATAAAAGACTTTCCAATATGTCACGCAAAAAATAAAAGACATGCTGTTCAAAAGCTAAATTTCAGTCATCGTATTTACATTCCTTTTTTTTCTGCTTCACCCTTTTGTTACTAAGGAAGTTGGAATGAAAGGGGATTTGTCTCTTTTTCTCAAAAACCCATCTCTCGCTGCTAAGTTTCTCCACACCTGAATTCACACATCTCCCACATCATGATAATTACCTCCATGGTAACCACTCATGACATCACAAACACAATGTGATAGCAGAAGAAATAAGAGCTCCTGAGACCCTGCTGGATACAAATGCCCTGTACGACCTAAGGGCCTCCACAGCAGGAACAAAAGGAATTTTGTCTGAGATTTTAGCAGAAAAGTAATTTTTGAAATCTATTCTTGGATTTAGACGTTTATTGGATTTCAAAGCTTCTTGCTGCCCAGGAGCTTGTGAATACGGTCAAAGGTCCATGAAATTTCCAAAGTGGTACCACAGCAGATGAACCTGAATGCAAACTGGAGGGACCAACAGAGTCCAGCCTATAGACATAAATCCTTAACTACACCTAGATCTCACTGTCTTTTCCAATGGTCAAAAGAGGGGCTCTTGAAATGGCTCCATTGTTTTATAGAAACAAGGTCTTCCTAAGAAGTCTTTTTCTCCTATCTTTTTCTTACCCAAAATAAAGGAATGGCCCAAAACCTCAAGCCAAGCTTACCAGCTATAAACAACTTGGTGGTCAGCAGCCAAAAGAAGAGTGGACATGCCATGGTCATGTGGCACGTACCCTATACAAGCTTCACAGAGAAGAATGGAAGCACTTGATTGTAAGACAGAGGGTGAGATGTGAGAGGAATATTAACCTTCACTTTCCACAGGCATTTTTTTCTGCAAATGGCACCAGCTTTTGGACTTAAAATTTTATTCCAAATACTATTTAGATGCATCAGGGCCCTCAAAATATGGATTTCAAGTTGGAGACATCAAAGTGCATTATTTACTAAAACCACTGCAGCTTTTTTCCCCTCTCCTTTCACAAGATGCTATTGTAAATTCAGGCTGCTTTAATCTCTGTGATTAAAAAAAAAAAGGAAGAAAGAAAAAAAAAGTGCTGCTTGAAGAGGAACTGAACTCACAATCTGGGAGCTAGAAAGTAAATATTACCCAGAGAGTACCTCACTTTAATTACTGGCCTGAACATTGGTTTCAATTTACATGTATTTTAATTAGCCACAGAAGGGTTCACCTATTACTCTCTGAATACAAAACTTAAAAAGCAAACAGAAAATAGGGAAAGAAAGGCTTATTTAAGGGCCTCCAAGGATTAATCTTTGCATTCTTCTCATTTTTTCCCCGAATTTGGGGATAAAATTTGTCGCAGGGAATTTGATCTTAGGGAAACATTGAGTTTGGTTTGTGAACACAAGCTACTTCTGAACACTATTTTAGCAAACAGAATTTTAGAAGCATAAGGCTCTAGCAGAGGGCTATACAGAATTTTGCATAAACTAAATAACAACCGTTTCCTCCTGAAATGCAGGAAATCAAGCTGCACGGGTATGTTTGCTGATTGGGTGAGTGAATGAGTGAGTCAATCAGTGAAAACTCCAGGCTCCTTTACTCTTCCTACCTTTCTTTAACATCCTTAAACTTTTATTTGAATTTTTTAAAGTTTGTAAATTGTTTTGCTTGTCCATCTTGGACTGTCAGTTTCTGCCACCAAAAAAAAAAAGGAGTAAAATTAATTTTAATTGACTTTAATTTCAAAAATGTGTCACACCAGATTTCTAAAAAGTTGCATTCTCAAAACAACTAGGCATTAACAACTAGGCTTCAAGAAGCCTTAGAATATCTGTAACTAGAGAAAGATGTGTGGCTGACTGATTTACCAAGGACTAACAATGACACTTGGGGATAAAGTATTTCTGGATTATGAAGACATAACCTTTTATTAAGTCTTGAGCCCCTTACTCCAACTCCACCAACCAGCCAACAGTTATTCAAGCAGGTCCAACTGAGTTTCTGCACTGGGCGAGGAACTCTGTTAAATGCTTTGGGGGATAAAAAGAGGCCCAGTGGTGTGGTGGCTCACACCTGTAATCCCAGCACTTTGGGAGGCCAAGGCAGGTGGATCACTTGAGCCCAGGAGTTCAACACCAGCCTGGGCAACATGGCAGAACCCCATCTCCACAAAAAGTACAAAAATTAGCCAGGCATCGTGGTACATGCCTGAAGGAGCTACTAGGGAGGCTCAGGTGGGAGGATCACTTGAGCCCACGAGGTCAAGGTTGCAGTGAGCTGTGAACGTGCCATTGCACTCCAGCCTGGGTGACAGAGCAAGACCCTGTCTCCAAAAAAAAAAAAAAAAAAGAGGTTGAGTACATGGTTGTTAAGAAGTTAAGAAGTTTGTTAAGGGAGGTAGGACCTCTACGGACCTGTGGCAAGCACTTGTTCCAAGTTCTAAGGCACAGGAGACCACTTCTAAGTCGGGGGACAATTATGGGCTCTGCAGAAACGATAATAGTCAATCTGTGAGGACTGAGCAAGAATCAATGGAGAGGCATAATACATGCACTGTCCCCAAGCCAAAAGCCTGGTATATATTTAGAATAATCAGTACAGGACTAGTTTTGCCGAGTGTCTGCTGTGGCCAGAGTGTGGAACAGAAAGGGGATCTTGCAGGTCAAAGCCGTGTACCCAAGAATGGATAATATGGTCAGCCTGTGATCTCAGAATCTGTGTGGGAGTGAGAGGAGAAAAGGAAAGGAGTGACAATGGCCTGTAATGAGAGTTCAAAAGGAGACTTCTATAGCCTAAGATAGAGATAATGTCACTCTAAGTGTCTCTGGCAGGAGCCAAGAAAGAGAAAGAAGAAACATAGCCAATTATTAAGCTGTTGGGCTCTAGAGCTTACCCAGCCTTGCCCTATTGGCCTGGAATGAGTTTACTGGGTGCTCCGTAAACTGCTACTGCAGTGGCTCTCACCCAGTAGCATCTTAAAGGTGCTGCTCTGCTTCTGATAGTTATGCCAACAATGACATAGTAGAAGGCACTGGCTGCTGCTTCTCAGATGGCCACAACCCCAAGACAGCATGTTAGGAACCACTTACCTATCAATCCCAAAGTCCTTAGGTCTTCAGCAAAGCTTGGACCACTTGGCAAAGTCTTCTGTCTCCAGAGGAATGATGGGAAAACTATGGGACAAAAGTCAGGAGAGTGGTGCTGGCTGATCCTGGCCTGGACATTGACTCCCTGGGGACTTTGGGTGAGTCTCTTCCTTTCTCCAAGACCCAATTTCATTTGTTAAATGAGGAGGTTGGAACAAATACTTGCTTCCATGTCTTGCATTCTATGAGTTGGGATCAAGTGACTGTCCTAAGTTCATGAAGCTGCATGGAAGTCAGATCCTAGAACAGATCCTGTGTCTCCTGATCCCTCAATCTAATGTTCTTTCCACAATGCTGGGCTGCATGAGCAGATGTCAAGGGTAAGAGGTAACATTCATTGAGTGGCTACCACATGCCAAGTGCTCTCTCTTGTGTGTCTGTACTATATCTAGTTAGTTCTCCCATCGTCATCTGTGTTAGATAAGATTTTCAAATCATTTTACAGATAGGAAACAAACAGAAAGATTAAGTCATTTATCCACAATCACACCATTAGTAAATGCAGAGCTAGGATTTAAAGTCAGCCCAATTCCAGAACCCATTGTCTTCATCTCTACTCTCTACACTACATAGTAGAATAAGAAGGAGTAGTTCAGTGACATAAAGGACATGGAACCTTAAAACAGAAAATATGGCAGTCTTTCAGAGGTGAATTCACATTGGAAGTATGCGAGCTTTCTGAAGAAATATTTTGGTTAGTGTTGCTTGCCTGCACACCTCCCCACTAATGACCACATGAATAGTCCCTGAGGGATCATTTGAGATCCAGTGGCCTTAAATGTGGTCTGAATGGAGTATGGATAATGACCACATAGAAAATCAGAAGGCAGTGGCCTCCTGGCTGACTCCTCTAGCTTATAAGACAAGGAAAACCAAAACCACCACAGATTATTTTTACTACAGAATAAAACCCAAGAGGAGTCATCCCATTGAAATCTTTAGGGAGCCAAGCCGACATCACCCCGAGGCATGCACACAGGTTCACCCAGTAGAATACAACTTGGATTCACAACTATGCCAAGACAGACATTATTTTAAGCAAAATAAGGGGAGGGAGGACTTAAAACTTCTTTCAGAGGCCTATATGACATGATCTCTATACTTTCTTTTACCTATAATATCTGAGATCTTTCTTCTAGGAGAGTGAGTTATTTTTGAGCAGATTTTTCTATTGCTAATAAATATGTGTTAGTACGATGGAAAAAACCTTGGATGAAGACTAGTGACTGTTTCTAGCCCAGCACTTTCACCAAGTGGCCTCTTGACCTTGGCTGGTCACTAGACCCTCTGGAGCCCTAGTTCCTCATCTGTAGAGAAGGGACTGATCTCTGTGAGTCAGCCAAGGACCAGGAGTCCTTGAATTGTGAATTTTGATAGATAGATCCACCAAACAAAATTGTGATCCATGGAGATTAAATTCAAGTAAGAACAAGAGGCAGTTCTCTTCTGGAGAAGAAATTAGGTTCAGATAAAAAGCTATGCCTCTCTCTGGTTCTGGAAGCTTGGCTGGGCCTGACCTGCTGCCAAGCCTCGGAGACTCCTCAATCTATTCACACAGCAGGAGAGCAAAAGCTCTCTCCCTGGGAAGCTGTTTGCATGAAGCAAAGCAGTGCAATCCTCCTTGACCTCCCTGGAGGGAAGGTTTGCCTCCTTCTCAGGGAGAGTTTCCGCAGTAGAGATAGTAGAATACAGGAGGAAATGAGCTGGACTGGATAGATAAGGCTGAGAGGAAAGCCACATATGAGACCACTGGACCACTCTGGGATGGGGACACAAGCCCCCTTCATGATTCTGCCTCTTCAGAAAATGGGTTTTCCCATAGTTCTGCCAGAAAGCCTTTGTCATATTCTTGATGCTCACACACCCAGATGATGGCTGTTTCTCCCTATCCTTCCAGTTCATGGTTGCATTTACCAAAATTTATATTTTTTTCTGAGCCTCTAGGACCTTTCCCATGCTGTCCTATAGAAGCAGGTTAGCTTTATTCAGTATTATCTGCATTGTGTAGAGTTGAGTACTTTAAAAGGAACTTCACATTTCCAGCTACCCTGCTGTCTCTCAGGGTAATCAAAAGTATTCTGGATTCTTTTCTATGCATTTAAAATTTTCGCGTTAGGTGAAACTGCCAAACCCATTCTAAGGTGGGAAAAATGAAGCATGGAAGAATTGTGATTTATCCACAATTACACACATAGTACGTTTCATGCCAGGATTTGAAGCCAGTCACTGTGACTGCAGAACTCATTCTTAAGCTCAACTCTCCACACTACATAATACAATAAGAGAGGGAAGCTCAATGACATAGGGACACCACAAATTTACAAACAAATATATTCACATATATAGGTGTGGCTTTGTTTCCTTTCTGTGTGGGGTTTGCATTTTTTTTTTAGGATAAATGGGATCATACACTATGTACTGTTTAATGAATTGCTTTTTCATATAACATATGTCTTGAAGATATTTCCATGCAATTTTAGAATACATCAACCTTATTTGTTTATAATGGCAGTGTATTCCACTATATGGATATTTACTTAACTTTCTTCCTACTGATAGAAAATTAAGTTTCTATTTAATTAAGTTTCCAGGTTTTCAATTGCAATGCTTCAGTTAATATTTGGTACTGTATGCAGACATATGAATATTTCTGTAGTATAGATTTTTAGTAGTGAAATTGTTTGGTCAAGGAAAATGCACATTTTTGTAGATTTCTGATAGGGTTTTGCCACCTTGGATAAGGTCACAGTTAAAGCCACCAAGCTGATGTGGACTCCAGAGACAGACATTATGAATGAGTATCCCTATAGCTTACACATAGTACCTCACATATTCCAAGGAGCCTTTACATATATTAGCTCATTTACTCGATAATAAGTTATGAGAGAAGGCTATTGTCATCTTCAGATAAAGAAATGGAGACCAAGCAAAATTAGAGAGATTTGTCCAGGGTCAGTCTATGAATTAAAATCAGAGTTAGAACTAGAAAAAAAATTTCTCATTTGTATTAAAGCTATTTCATTAAAACCACATTGGTATAATAAATTGGATATAATAAAATGTTTGGTTTGTGCTTGGCTATTAACATATCTATGTATACGAGTTTTTAAAAGTAGGCAACATGAGCACAGTTGAACATTGCAAGTTGTGAGGATAGAAATGTACGAGAGAAGTTGGGAGGTGTTTTCCAGCTCAGAAGTACTATGATCTTATGATCCTAGAGAAGTAAATAAATAAAATGAAGAGAAGAACTCGGAAAGAAAAAGTAAAAGATACCAAAAAGGCTGGTTGGGATGGAAGAGTCTTACAAAAATCGATCCCAGGAATCCCCACAAAGAGTTGCAAAAAAGAAGCCCTCAGGATACACTAATGTCTTGTGAAAGCCAGAGTAACCCAGGCTCAGACTTCTTGCCTAAAAACAGTATATAACCTAGAAATTTCTTCTCCAAACCCAAAACAGGAAAAATGACAATTACTTAATCAACACAGAATCTTTAGTTGAATTCACCCCAAAGATAATTTACTCCAAGTAAAAGATTTTACAGTTAAATATTACTTATGATTGAACAATAAGTATCATTAGATAAAAGAATTTTGAAGAGGAATGAGTAAGCTTCTCTGCAGAAATGAATACAGAAATCTGTTCTTGATCATCTTGATCAGAATAATGACAGAAGGAGGAGGAAACTGTAATGATGTTTTGATAAACTTGCTCAGTCAGGTGCCCTAACATTTACATGTAAATTTCAAATAAGGATTCTACAAGGACTTAAGATACCTCCTCTCAATAGCTATAAAGACAGCCTGCCCAGTCTCGGCTCCTTTCACTTAGTTAGTAGGCAATTTATCTAGAAATTGTAACTCTCCTCTAGTTCTGACTATATAACTTGCAAATGAGATAAATTAGGACAGAATCAAAGACAAAGACTCATACTGAGTAGTGTCTTCAAAGATGATTGTCTATCAGTACCAACAAATGCTTTTGAAAACATAAGCTTTCTCTACCAACTGCTCGTTAAGAAAGAGAGAGAGAGAGAGACACACACACACACACACAGAGGAAATGAGTCCATTTAAGAAACATGTATTCTGAAATCTATGTGGTTCTTAAGGAGAAGGTCTTGGATTATGAGAAATAGTTGGCAAGAGATTGCACCTTATTACTGTATACCACTGGGAGTTTGGGCTAGAATTTACAATTTTGGCTTTACACAGGATACTCAGTGTCCTGGCCACCCTGCATAAAAGATTGGCTGTGAATTTTGCCAAGGACTTATTCATATTTCAGCTAATCAAGATCTTTAATAATCGTCTGACTTCTAAACCACTTATTCTGAGGCCTTCTGCAGCAACCCACGGGAAACAAAAGCCTTCATTTTCATTTAGATTTCTCATTTGACTGGCTCTAGCAAAGAATCTCTTCTCTCTGTCTCTCTAGGGATTCTTGATAAATATGTAGCTTACAAGGAAAGCAAGCAAGGGGTTCAATCTATGACAGGAAGGAGAGGAACTACGACACCTTTGTAGGATTCTCAACAGATGCTCACTGCACTGAGGGCTTGAAGGAACTATGAGATTGTTGTTGCTGTGGCAACCACGCATGCCTAAATGAACAACAAAATTAATAGTCCTAACAGCCTTCAGTGGCGTCAACAGGATGACAACACTTCCCTTTACTGGGAAATGTGTACCCTCCATAGTGACTCCACTTAGATATGGTTCTCATATAAAGAAAAATAGTGTTTCATAATAGCAAACAAATAGAACAACCATCATCTGCATGTGCCACACAAACTTCTCCAAGCCACAGACAGCAGCCAGGTTACTCTGTTTCCCTGCTAAAGTTAAGAGGCAACTTTCAAATTCCCAGGCCTTTTTGTGGCATTCTATTTAATTTTGTCATGCTGCTGCTAGTCTCCTGTTGAGCTTTTGTTGTGAGCCAATAAGGCTAACGGGGAGCTAAGGGAAAGCAGAATGAGATACAAAGAGAAAAAAAGGTAAAATTAGCTGAAGCCCATAATTGGACTCTGCTTGGCCTTGAGGAAGGCACAATACATATTAATTAAGCAGACTAATATGTTGCTAGCTGGAGGGGCTATTCCAGACAGCAGGAACAAAGTTTAAAACAGGTAAGAACTTTTTTTTTCTTTCTTGGGTTGAGGTTAGTTGAGACATTCCTCTGAATAATTAGACAAATTTTATCCTTGAGTAGAAATAGGGAATAGGAAAAGAAGCTTTCTTAGGATGTTAGATGTTATTAAAAATCTGTTGGGCTAAGAAACTTTTTTAGATCATGAGAACTTTTTGAGAAATTGCCCAGTTACTGCTTTATTAATTGAAATGTACAATGAACATATTTGTGCCTTTCAAACGAGTATAACATTCTGATCCAATTTTAGGCAGAAGTTTCACTCCCCAAATGTTTATTATTATTATGACAGAATTAGAATGAAGAAAATATTTCAGGTTAAATAATTTGTCCAAAGTTGTGGGCAATGCCAACATTGGGAATAGAAACCTTTGCTGGAAAATGTAGACTTGGACATTTAAAGCGTGTACTAATGAATGGGGTCAAATGCATGGGGTAGCTGGCTTAGAACAGAGACAGGGTAGCTCCAGGGTCAGACATCCTAATGCCAGTCAGTCCACTCAGAAATACACTCAAGTTTGCCAAAAGA
Source organism: Homo sapiens (assembly GCF_000001405.40). Lineage (NCBI taxonomy): Eukaryota > Metazoa > Chordata > Mammalia > Primates > Hominidae > Homo > Homo sapiens. The sequence continues at coordinate 56,117,528 of NC_000016.10, forward strand.
GTAAGCAAAAATATATAATAAGCTCCATGCAAACCCATCACAGCTCAGCATAGACACATGACTGATAACAGATTTGAGATTTCACCTTCCTTTAAAAAGAATAAAGTACACACCTATGCTTACAAATCCCATGTAGCGAATTATCAAAAAATGCCCTAAGTAGATTTTTGAGCACTATAGAATATGAGTTAGAGTCACACAAGTATTTCTGTTCATGAGTCTACAATATCAGCCTGATGACATGTTAATTTTGCAAACAAATAGCCAATAGTAAGCTGCATCTTTATTACACAAAATCTAAGGAATTTATGCCTTAAACACTGTCTTATGAAGTTGTGAGAGTTGGACATGGGAATGAAATTGTCATCTCAAAAGTTCCCTCTCCTCCTCACCCCCCAATAATGACCTCCTACTATTATAAAGCTATAATAAGTTTTGTAGAACAGATTTAGGTGAGAATACATTATTAAAAATAATTATATATTCAATACTAAACATCTCCCTTTGTCAATGCCCTATTTCTTAACTTGAGTGCTGGTTACATGGGTGCATTCACTTTATAAAAATTCATCAGGGCCAGGTACAGTGGCTCACACTTGTCCCAGAGCTTTGGGAGATTGAGGTGAAAGGATTGCTTGAGGCTAGGAGTTCGAGACCAGCGTGGGCAACATGGCGAGACCCCATCTCTAGAAAACAAAAGAAAAAATTAGCCAGGTGTGGCGGCACGTGCCTGTAGTCCCAGCTACTTGGGAGGCTGAGGCGGGAGGATCACTTGAGCTCAGGAGGTCAAGGCTGCTGTGAGCTACAATCGTGCCACTGTACTCCAGCCTGGCTGACAGAGTGAGACTCTGTCTCAAAAAAAAAAAAAAAAAAAGAAAGAAAGAAAGAAAAGAAAAAGTCATCACACAATTTTCTGAATGTTAGGCTTCAACAAAAAGTTTTTTAAAAAACCTTCTCTTGTTTCTGCACTGCTGATCTCAGATGAATTATACACAGTTATGTGTTGCTTTAGAAACAACACATTTATTCCTATCAATGTGAAGGTTAAAAAAAGTTTTGTAAAGTAATCACATTGTGAAAGTGCATCAAATAAGCTCATTATTTAAGTGAAAGATGTGAATTATATCTCCGACTTGGCCACTAACTAGTGGATGAATTTGAGCCTCTCTATAGGCCTCAATTTTCTCTCAATTAAAAAGGGCTGGGTGAGCTACAGTCCAGTGTCTCTTCCAGCTTCAATATATGGTATTAGATTGGTGCAAAAGTAATCAGAGTTTTGCAATTACTTTTCTTTGTTTGTTTGTTTTTGTTTTGTTTTGTTTTTGAGGAGTCTCACTCTATTGCCCAGGCTGGAGTGCAGTGGCAGGATCTCACCTCACTGCAACCTCCGCCTCCCAGGTTCAAGCGATTCTCCTGCCTCAGCCTCCTGAGTAGCTAGGATTACAGGCATCTGCCACCATGGCCAGCTAATTTTTGTATTTTTAGTAGAGACAGGGTTTCACCATGTTAGCCAGGCTGGTCTTGAACTCCTGACCTCAAATGATATGCCTGCCTTGGCCTCCCAAAGTGCTGGGATTACAAGCATGAGCCACCACAACTGGCCTTGCAATTACTTTTCATGGCAAAAACTGCAATTACTTTTGCACCAACCTAATATTAGGTAGTAAGACAAATGACAAATGAGAATCCTTTGGTGAATCTTTCTGTAAAGCAACAAGCCACTTCCCGGTTTATCTCAAGAATTTAAGGGGGAAGAGGGGTAGTTGGAGTGAGCAAAAGTCTGACTGAGTGATAACCTTGACTCATATGACTAGGCCTTGTTAACCACAAGAAAGTCTCAGTCTAGTCACAAAATTCTGTAGTCCCCGCAAAAAGGAGAAGCTGTCAATTATTTCCTCCATTAAAGTCTGGAATCAGTAAGACTAGAATTAACCTTTTCCTGCCAAAAGAATTGTGCAGGGTTTTCAGTGGATCTAAGTTTAGTCAAAGGATCACCTATTCCCCAAACATGTACTGAGCTCCTACTGGATGCCAAGCTTCCCAGTAGACATTGGGGATAAAATGGCAAGGGGGCGGACTAGGTCCTCCCCTAGGGGCCTCTGAAGCTTGTGGAGGATACAGACAAGTAAACAAGCAATTACAGGGGTGTTATATTGTACGTGCTGCAAAGAGAGAAATAAAAGTCACAGGAGGGGCACATAACCTGCCAGGAAAGTTTTCTGGAGCAAGTGATGTCTAAACAATGGGTAAGAGTTAGCCACATGACTATGTGTAGCTCAGTGCTAGGAGGCACCGCAGCCTAGAGCAAGCTCTGGAGTCAGGCTACTTAGCTTCAACTCCCTGTACTATACTTAATAACTGTGTGAGCCTGGGTAGGGCTCTTAAGCTTGCTAAGCCTCAGTTTCCTTATTTGTGAAATGGGAATAATTACAGTGCTCATGGGTTGTTGTAAAGATTCAATGAAAGGATCCATGCAAGCCCTCCTTAACACAGAACATAACTACTATTACTGTAATTACTGATAGTGAGACAGATGTGGGGAGAGGACAGGTAATATTCCAGGCAGAAAGCCTGTGCATAGACAAGCCCAAAGGGGACAAAGAATATGGCCTTTTGGCATCCTGAAAGGCATCCAGTCCAAATGGAGAGAAGAGTGGGAGGAAGTGGTGTGATAAGGTTGGAGTGGAAGGTGGAAGGCAGGCACTGGAGGGTGAAAGGCCCTCTATGCTGTGTGAAGGGGTTTGGACTTCATCCTGAAGAAATGAGGAGCACTGAAGTCTTCTCAAAGGAGAGGGTCATGATGTTCACTCTCACATTTATTAGTAGGGGAGAAGTGTGCTGCCCATGTAAAAAGTATTTTTATTTTACCCCAAAGCATTAAGACTCTACATCCACTAGCCAATTTCCTCTATAGAGGATAAGGTTCTGTTGGTCACTAATATCCAGGGATTCCCTTCTTTTGGTGCATTCAAGATGTTGGATGCTCAAATAACTGCAGGAAAGACATCACAAAAATAATCTAATTCAGCCTCAGAGACCCAGTTCAGAAAATTAACATACTATATCTTTTCATGAGCCATGAGCTGCAATATACAGCAGGCCTCTCTTGAGTCATTAAACTTGTTCTATTAGATTACAGAAAATCCCAGACAACTCGCCCTGCCCTGGCTGGATTTTTGTAGAATGCAGATCTCTTTTTTTCTAACAGAGGAAAAGCAAGCACGAACCATAGGAACAGAGCTTTGTCTAATATGGGATGCAAGATACACACTTCTTCTGCACTATTTCTTTAAACCTGACCTCTAAGGGAAACTTGAATAAGAACAAATCAAGGCTTCTTGAGATGAATAAGTATTAGAGTGAAGTCCATATGGGATGGATGTGAGCACTGACATGATTCAACACTTATAAATGATCTGGAAGAACAAGCAAGCAATAAATCTCTGATGCAGTCAACCCTAAGCACTTCTGGGTAGTTTAATGCCAAGTCAGCATGAACCAACTTAGAGCAGGAGCGGAGAGGAGAATGACAGGTGTGATGTAAGTGTATTTGGAAGAGAACAGTCCACATCTCACTTGTAAATGAACTACCAGTTACAACCCCAAAGCAACACCTGGAATTATGGTGTGGTCCCTATTAGTCTATTAAGGTCAGAAAAATTAGAGTATCATCATGACAGTCACTAAAAGCAAAAGAGGAAGCAAACCACCATTCTTCACCCCTCTTAACCAAAATGGAGGCACACCCACTCCTGAAATGCCATGTGGCTTTATGGCCATGCACAAAGAAACAGAAAGCAGAACCTGTTGGCACTTTCGCACATCTCCTGTTTGTCCGCCAGACTAGCTACAGTATTTTGTACTCAATGATGTGACTTAAGTATCAGTAATGATTACTAGTTTGCTCATGCATTTAATATTTATTGCAAACCAGCTAAATGCAAGGCACCATCCTAATGCCTGGGAGCAATATAAAGAAGGGTGAAATATGCACACTCACCCTGAGTGGCTTACTCTGGTAGATGTGATGAGACTTGGACATTATAACACAGGACACAAAGTAATAAAAAGCCACAATAGAGGAGCAGATGAAGTGTTATAGGACCATGCTAAACATATTTAAAGAATATTATTATGCCAATAAATCATATATATATATATATATATATATATATATATATGGTCTATTTTTATTAAGCACGTTTATTTTAAAGCTTGACCTGGACAGCGATGATCATTGTGATTTTACTAACTGACAATTCCATTAATGCCCAGAGCCAGCAGCTGATATTGACTAGCAGGTCACAGTGGCAACAGGAAGATGAGAAGTTTCTGAATGGAGCTGCACTCCGAGGCTGCTAACAATAGTGGATATTAAGACAACTGACTTTTTTCTAATGGAGGAAGGTGGAAGGGAGAGTTCATGCAACTTCCCAGTGAGATCCACCATCGTTTCTCCTGCCTATGCCCACAGGGCACTTGGTTTATCCTGCAACTGCTGCAAGGTGCAAAAGCCCTGCCCTAAAATACTCTTTAAAGGAGGGGAATAAAAATTAGTCTCAGGATGAAGTAGCTGACATCCTGTCTCTTCCCAAGTCAGCTTAGAGAAGGCATTTACTATATTAATACCAACAACACTGTCTTCCCCTTCCCCATACCACTCCAGAAGGTACACATTGGATTTATTTAGGAGATTAATTTTGTCTGTAGAAATACTAGTTCTCCCTAACCCTCATAATCAGAGTTCAAGGGAGAAATCAATAATACTGTAGTAAGGCTTGAGAGATAAATGTCTTTGGGAGCAGGAAATTTCCATACCTTCTAAATTTTCATATCTCTAAGCCAAGAAAACTAGAAAAAGGAGTTTTAATTTTGCTGCTTAAAATACAAGCCCTCTTACCCTTTATTTATTTATTTATTTATTTATTTATTTATTTATTTATTTATTTTTGAGACAGCGTCTCGCTCTGTCACCCTGGCTGGAGTGCAGTGGCTCAGTCACAGCTCACTGCAGCTTCAAACTCATGGGCTCAAGTGATCCTGTCACCTCAGCTTCCCATGTAGCTGGGACCACAGGCACTCACCACCACACCCAGCTGATTTTTTATTTTTTCTGTAGAGATAGGGTCTCTCTGTGTTGCCCAGGCTCGTCTTAAACTCCTGGGATCAAGCGATTCTCCCACCTCAGCCTCCCGAGTAACTGCGACTACAGGCATGTGCCACCACACCCAGCTGATTTTTGTATTTTTGGTAGAGACTGGGTCTTGCTATGTTGCCCAGGCTAGCCTTGAACTCCTGGGCTCAATCCATCTGCCCACTTTAGCCTCCCAAAATGCTAAGATTATAGGCATAAGCCTCTGCACCCAGCCAGCTCTCTTACTCTTCTATGTATGCTCTGACACGGAAAACAAGCTTATGTTGCTAGCTACCTGTGCAGTTACCAATGTCCACCTCTTCATGAAACCTCTTTAATTCATGCAAATAAGAGATAGGCTTGCCCCATTCTCCATCATTTCCACTATTACATTTGCTTTTGCCTCTGCATGTGTTAGTGGTGGGAAGAGCATATTTATACAGCTGTCTCTCAGTTAATAGAACACATTTACCCAGGAAAAGAGTTCCTAAACATAATGCAATCACATTTCAGAATAGTGCAAACTTCTTAAGATCATACAGTTAAATAATATAAAATTTTTCAAGTATATGACATTATTTTAAACGTTAGCAATGAAATTGATGAAGAAGTATTTATCTGCTAGGCTTCTAATGTACTAAGGTATATTGTTAGATGCTGTATAAGTTTTTTTTAAGTTGAACACACAGATCCTATTTTTAAGAAGCTTATAATCTAGTTGGGAAGATAAGTTTTAAAATATACTCAAATTAAGTGTAAGAATTAAATATTAGAACAGTACCAAGATGTCTACTAAGTCCAGAGAGTTTAAGGGATGGAAAATAATGAGTGTGAATGTTAGACTTTATTTCAAAAGAGCTTGGGGTTGTTAGAAAATCACCAAGGCTTTAGGAATTTCTACCTTTCAGCTAGAATCATTGTGATAAATGGTAAAGTTGATGGCACTACTGTAAAGAGTTTCAGTTACTGTGTTATGTTTGTGGTATTTTTAATTTTGTGCTTTATTCTAAACATAATATGACATTTTAAAATATTATAAATATTCTTCCTTATCCAAGCCGCAAAAGGGTTTCCATTAATTAATTAATGTAAAGAGTTTCAACTAATTAAGGAATATCTGTATTGTTCAATTGTATTTCATCTGGTCTCTTTTATTTTAAGGATAGTTGACATGATTATTACCTTCTCTGGGTTCTCTAAAACCTATAGTAGGAGCTAAAGAATCACAAACACATTCTGTACCTAATAAATGAATAAAGATGTTGTTTGGGAGAAGTAGAGATTCCATTTTGTGGGTGCTTTAATTAACAATCAAACTTGTAACTTCTGTTCTAACAAAATAGAAATCTTAATTGCTAACCAAATTAACTCTTAAACTTGAGTTTTAAAATGTCATAGTTTGGGATTCTTCATTCTCTCTTTCCCTTCATCTCTAGTATACAAAGAGCCCAGAAAGGTACAACACTTAGAAAAGACAAAAATCAAAGTTGAACATTTGGATTCAAATTGCAGAAGAAGAAAGGGAATATTTTAGAAAATCGCAAGGGATATGCCTGCTGTTATTGTTTTAAATCAGTTTGAGCACACACTGCATCTTAAGTAGTTGTTTGCCTAGTTTGTGTTTTTTTAAATAAATAAACATAAAACTATAATCTTAAATGCACGGTGAGAACCCAGATAATTGCTTTTAGTTTTATAATTGGGAGTCAGCTGTGACTCAAAACAGAGAATCTGAAAGCTACTTCCGGAGATGACACTATATGCATTCAAAATGATGCAGGTGAAGGACTCCCTGAGTGAAGCAACAGAGCACCTGTGGTCACTGCAGCCATCTTTCTAAGCTTTTGTTTCATCCTTTGAGAGCTTCTAGAAACAGGGACTCAGATGTTTATATGTTTAGAAAATGCAGGATCAATTCTTTTGTTGCTAAATATAAAACTAAATTGTCCCCAAACTATCCAACTTCACACTTACATACATAAATTATAACATCATAGTTGAAACCCTCTAAGCCTAATTACTGTGCCCATATGAAGATTATAATGCACCCCATTCTTGATTATTCAAAGACTAATTATCTAGGCCAGGCACTTAAGCTTGTCCTTATTCCCTTGGTTTTCTGCCATTTGGTTATTTTAAGGTTCACTGGCCTCTTCACATGCAGGGAAGAGGAAATTAAAAAAAGATGAAACTCAAATCAGTAAAATTTAACTTCCCACATGATCTACTAAAACTTATGGGATAGAGAAGGCAGATGAAATGAATGGTTAACATGAAGATGGAAGTTCTCAATGTATTTGATTTATTCACAGTGCTCTCTCGTGCTCTCTCTGTCTCCAGTGATAAGCTGACCAGATGCCTTGAATTAAGTACAGGTAAAATAGAACTTAATGTTGACTTTTTGACCTTCCTATTTTTTCACTTGGTTGATGGATTGTGTCTCTCAGCTCTTCCTCCCTTTGTCCTTCCTTCTCCCTTTACTTTCTCACTGTTAGCAGGAGTTACATTCATTCACTAAATGAGAGTCCTTTTATTTTTGCCTTTGAAGGGGGAATCCCTGGGATTTCCAGGCATTTTCTATCATACTTTAGTAGCTTTGCTAAGCTAAACCCCAGCTCTGTATGCTTCTATGCTACCCCTAGTAGAGAATTGGCTACAGCCCTGTGACCCCTCCTGGGCTGCAAGTTTTATCATTTCTTTAATCCCCTATCTGAAATCTTGTCACATTAGCTATTTATGTAGATATTAAGATGACCCAATATCCAGCCATCCAGCTGTCTCTAACCCCACTCCCACCATGTTCCTCTGTACATGACAAAATTCTTAGCCAATAGGATATAAATCAAAGCATTACTTTTTTCAGTTCTGCCTCCTACACCATGGGTTGTTCATCAGCCAAAGCTACAATAATTTCCTGCAGCTTAAATTGTTAAAAATTCTATCAAAAGCTCAGACCACAGAAAGGAAGGATCCCCAGGGAACAGTATGCCTATGAATAAGATACCCCAAACTCATAGGATTCATCTTCCATTAGCTCTGTGGGGGCACCAAAACCCCTGTTAAGCCTGTAATTTTGTGCCCAATATTAGAAACCACAGGATCCTAGACACAGCCCTAAACCTGTAGGGTAGTGACCAGCTGTTCTCCCCACCTCCCACCAAAGCCTGAAAGGTTCATCATGGTTCCAGGACAATGAAGGGAGAGTAGAAGAATCCCAGTTACAGGTCACAGGCTTATGTTCAATTACAGTCTTTTCTAGTCTGATCTATGTGATGTGATTTTTATGTTATATTGTGACTCACATATCTATAGGTCTATATTGTTATCTATATCAAACAGACTCTAAGTGTTTCATGTGCACCATCTCTAATCACCACAGCAACCCTGAGTTAGGTACTATTAATATCTATCAGACATTAGAAACTGAGGATAGCCTTGCCAGGAAATAGCAGAGTTGGATTCAAACCCAGACTGACTCCAAAGTCCATACTCATTCTACTACATTATTTCACCACCCTAGCCCTGGCCTATTTATCTAGTCTTATTCTCCCACTTTCTCAAATCTCAAGCTGCCACCAATTGAATCTTGTTATGAGCTAGTCTACAAAGAAGCCCGATCTGTGTTCTTAGCAAGGCCTCATTCCTGTGTAGCTGACCAGGTCTTTCACTTAAGACTACTGTAACTTCATCCCAGCCCTGCCAGGGAGGTTATAGCTCCTGCCCAGGATTCCCCAACCAAGGCCAGTGTCCCCATTAAGACTCTTTTCCAGGTGGCCTTTTTACAAAATCTACAATGAGGAGCAAGGACGATGAAAATGAAATTGTATTAACTATAGAACTGTACATGGCATATGGGAGCATAGATTACTAAGAAATGGAAATAAGGATTAAGATAATCTGGAAAATTGACACCAATAATAAGAGGTCAATAAATAATAAAATATAGCAACAATTGACACAGAAATTAAAATCAGTAAAATAAAATAGCATACATTCCTGAAAGACACAAGGAAGACTTGAACACAAGCAAAAATATCCTCTATTCTTGGATAGGATGATTCAGCATCGCATATTTGTTGGCTCTTCCTAAGTTAATTTATAATTGAACTCAGTTCCAATAAAAATAACAACAAGGCTTTCTAAGGAGTTAGACAAATTGAAACTACAGTCCATATGGAAAACAAATCTTTAAGAATAGCCAGAAAAATGGTGAAAAAGAGAAACAATGAGGGTGGAATGGGGAGGGAGAAAGAGCCCCATCAGACAGTCAAACATACCATAAAGCCTCTAAGTTCCCATTTAATCTACAGGTTAAAGAAAGGCTCTTAACTATGATTCAAAACTCAGCAGCAATAAAAGATTAATAATTGTGACTACATAAAACTTTTTGTATGGCAAAAGAAAAAAATAAAAACACCGTAAGCAAATCAAAAGACTTTGACAAACTAGGAGAAAATATTTGCAGCATATACCACAGACAAGGGGTTAATATCCCTAATAAATAAATAACTATTAAAAATCAGGAGACAAAGGACCAAAAGTAGAGCAGAAAAATGGAAGAACAACATGAGCAACCACACACACACACACACACATGCACACACACACACACGCACACACACACACACACACACACAATCTAAAGTGGCTCTTAAATGTTTGAAAAATAAACTCATAGAGAAATGCAAATTAAAACAACACTGAAATACCATTTCTCATTTATTAGATTGGTAAAAAAAATTTTAAAAGCATGGCAACACATTCTTTTGGCAAGGCTGTGGGGAAACAAGCACTCCCATACACTGGTGGTAGGAAGGCAAGCAGATGCCACCCTTCTGGAAGAGAATTTGGACATTATCTAAAAAAACCACACATGCACAAAACTTTTGATTGAGTAATGCCACTTCTAGGAATCTAATCTGAACATATACCTCCAACAACACAAAAATACATATTCTCAAGATTATTCATTGCAATATTGTAATTACAAAATATTGAAGACACTCTAACTGCCCATCCACAGGACAGTAGTTGAAAAGCTATCATGAAATACTGTAGCTGCAAAAAAAAAAAGAAAAAGAATAAGGAAGATCTCTACAAATTGATACGGAGTAATTTCAAACAACAACAAAAGTGCAAAAAAGAGTATCTATAGTATGCTTCACGTAGGAAAGAAAGGGATTTAAGAAAATATCTGTTATTTTGTGCAGAAGAAATACAGGAAGGATAAACTGGTAGCTAATGACATGGTTACTTTACAGTTGTAGGTGGGAATAAGGAGAAAAAAGGCATGAGAAATAGTAGTAAGACTGGGGGAGCAATATTCCTCTGAATAAACCTTTTTTTTTTTTTGGAGATGGAGTTTTGCTCTTGTCACCGAGGCTGGAGTGCAGTGGCGCGATCTCGGCTCACTGCAACCTCCACCTCCTCGGTTCAAGAGATTCTCCTGCCTCAGCCTCCCAAAAATCTGGGATTACAGGCGCCCACCACCATGCCTGGCTAATTTTTGTATTTTTAGTAGAGATGGGGTTTCACTATGTTGGCCAGGCTGGTTTCCAACTCCTGACCTCAGGTGATCCGCCTGCCTCAGCCTCCCAAAGTGCTGGGATTACAGGCATGAGCCACCATACCCGGCCTGAATACACCTTTTGTACACCTCTGACTCTTAGAACCATGGTAAAGCTTCATGGTAATATACAGCTTGTAGATCACAAGAACCAAGAAAGAAGTTACAAATGAGGAAAGGAAGCTGGGTGTGCTGGCACATGCCTGTAACCCTTAACACTTTGAGAGGCCAAGGCGTGAGGATTTCCTGAGGCCAGGAGTTTGAGATCAGCCCGGGCAACATAGCTTGACTGAGTCTGCCTCTCTACAAAAAATTTAAAAAGTAGCTGGGTGTGATGGCTCATGCTTGTAGTCTCAGCTACTTGGAAGACTAAAGCAAGAGGATCGCTTGAGCCCAATAGTTCGAGGCTGCAGTGAGCTGTGATTGCACCACCGCCCTCTAGCCAAGGTGACAGAGTGAGAGACTGTCTCTGAAAATAGAGATAAAATAAAAAAACAAATTAGGAAAGGAGAGTGGCTAGAACAAACCCTGTGGTGTTAGAATTAGAGGCATCATAAAAACTCATGGATTGTAAGATATATATATATATATAATATATATACACACACACAGATGGATACATATATCTGTGTGTATGTATGTATATGCATGCATTTGAATGCATACATATGTTTCCTTGTTCTGTCCACTTTGAGAGAGCCTAGAAAAAGGGACACCAGTAGCAATAAGAATACCTGGTGCCCAAATCTTGGTCTCTAAATAACATTTTCCAGTGAAAAGTACAAGGGCTCCTTGGAGAAGTGGCTGGTTCTAGAGCTGGGACAGGAAAAGTACAAATGAGCCTGGAATATCTTGGGATGACAGAGCGCAAAGAAGTGCTCAGAAAAATGATGGGCCTGTTGAAAGGACACAGAAGCTAACCTGAAGGAGCTCCCCATAGCTAAAGCTCTCAATGGCCAAAGCTGACAATTTGAGTAACAATAAAGATGATAATAATAGTATTGGATTATAATCCATAGAATAAAATAGTCATGAGTCCATGTTGATCTAAATAATTAATTAAATAAATAGGGTATAACCCCATCACAAAAAGATAAACATTAAATGATTCCTCTTATATGCAGTATCTGGAGTAGTCCAATTCATAGAAACAAAAAGTAGAATGGTGGTTTCCAGGGATTAGGGGATGAAGAAATAGCGAGTTAGTGTTTAATGGGTGTGGATTCCCAGCTGGGGAAGATGAAAAAGTTCTGGAGATGGACGGTGGTGATAGTCGCACAACAATGTGAATGTACTTAATGCCACTGATCCATGCACTTAAAAATGGTTAGAATGACAAATGTTATGTTATACATATTTTACCATAATAAATTTTAACAATATTTAGAAATAAATAATAAACAGGGGGAGGAAATAGCTCTTATAGTAGAATTCTAACTAATAAATACAGAGAAAATAAGGCAAAAATATGAAAATCTCCAGTAGGCAAACATCAGAATACTAATTGCTGCAGCAAGAACTATTGATGGATGCTAAAATTATTGGGCTTATGATAAGAAACAGGATATTTGCATAGAGTCAAAGTCTCTCCCCCAAAGGTACTTACTAATTACAAAGGGGAAGATAATAATTTTTAAGTAGAGAAACTTTGCAGACACCATCTTAGCTATGTGATGAAATTTAACACCACCTCTGGTAAGACATTTTGACATGATTGACACAGCATCAATTCTGTGATTCTCCTGCGAAAAGGCATCACCGAAACCCAATCATGACGAAACATCAGACAAACCCAAACTGAGAAACATTCTACAAAATAACTGGTCTACAAATCTTCAGACACATCAAGATCATTAAAGTTAAAAAAAATCTTTCATACTGAAGGGGATTAAAAGAGATCTGACAACTAAACACAACACATGTTTCTGAACTGGACCTATTTTCTGTAATGGACATTATTGGGACAATCAGTGAAGCTGTAACAAGATCAGAGGATTAGGTGGTAGTAATATATCAGTGTTAATTTCTTTATTTTGATGATTGTATTGCAATCGTGTAGGAGAAATGTGTACATTGGAAATATACACTAAAGTATTCTGTGGTAGCAGGGCATCAGATCAGCAACTTACTCTCAAATTGTTTGGGAAAGGGAAGTTACTTGTACATAACTTGCACACATAAATTTCAGAATGTTTCAAAATTAAAACATAATAATTACTATAAAAAGATAGAGGGCCAGAAAATATAAAAGAATGGGAGAAGCTCCAACATGTGTCTTATGTAATTCCAGAAGCAGAGAATAGAGGAAGGGGCAGAGAGGCACCATCAGGAGAAATAATGGCTGAGAATGGCCAAAAATATTTCAGGCTGAGGAGTAAAGAAAGACATGAGCCCTCAGACTGAGTGTTTATATCAATTGCTGAGACAGAAAAACAAAAATAAATCCACCTCTAAGCATTTCATATTGAAAATTCAGAACAGCAGGGATAAAGAGAAAATCCTAAATACTACCAGGAGGGAAGACAGATTACCTACAAAGAGCCAGTCATTAGACTGAAAGCTTACTTCTCATTGGTAAATTGACGCCAGCGGACAGTGGGGAAATAGCTTCCAAGTAATAAGGGAAATAACAAGAATTATATATGGAGCAAAACCAGTGTTTTTTTTTTCACTGCAGTAAGTCATGAAAGGATATACTTCAGCAAGAAGAAAAATGAACCCAGAAGGAAGGAGTGGGATATAAGGAGCATAATTAGCAAATAAATTAACAAAATGTATCGGCATATCTCTTTATGTATTGGTTGTTAATAATAATAACAACTGATTTTGTGCCTTCTAAAACAGGTAAAACTAAATTCTATATAACAATAAAATGGCAGATGAAAGAAGGGACTCTGGATAACTTAAGTTTGGTACCTGGTAAATTCCTTGTTTTATTCAAAAGAAGAATAGAGAAACTGAAAAAACTATAGACAAAGTAGAAAGCTTACAGTGCATGTTAAACATGTGAAGAAATAAAAAAATAGAATCTAAAGTTTTCAAACCACTGGGGTAGAGGCAAGGGAAAGGATAATAAAAATGTATAAATCCAAAATAAAGGAAGAAAGAGTGAAAAAAGAAGTAAAAAGCTTGAAAAATAGAAAATAACATAAGATGGTAGAAATAAGCCAAACTATGTCATTAATCATAATCAATGGACACATATTAAACTCAGTTAATCCAGAAAGTTCCCATAACTATGGATAAAAAAGCAAACACCAGTGATGGGCTACTTTCAAGAGACACACCTAAAACAAATACGGAAAGATTGAAAATAAAAAGATGAAAAAATATAGACCAGGCAAATACCAACCCAAAGAATTCTAGTGAGCAATGCTAATAGCAGATTAAATGGAATTTAAGGCTAAAAGCATTACCAGAGATAAAGAGCTTCACTTTAAAACAATATTTTAAAGTCTACAAGAAATATAACTATCATTAACTTGTATGCATCTGCTAATACAGCTTAAGCATACCTAAATGAAAAACTGATAGAATTACAAGGAAAATTGGATAAATTCACATTCACAGTGAAAGATTTTAAGACAACTTTCTCAGACAATGATAGATAAATCAGATGAAGAATCAGAAACACAATTAACAAACATGATCTATTGGACATATACATCAAAAGAATACTACCCCCCCAAAATAGAGAATATACATTCTCATATGTATGTGGCATAATTACAAAAATTAATTGCTAAGTAGCAAAGTAAGTCTCAACAAAATTCAAAAAATCAATAGCATGCAGTTTGCATACTCTGCTTATCACAATCCAATTAAACTAAGACCAACAAGAAAAGAGGGTAAAAATGAAAACACCCCTGTGTTTGGAAATAAAAATTGCATTTTTATACAATCAAGAATTAAAGAGGAAATGATAATGGAATTATAAAAGATTTAGAACTGAATTAACAGTGAAAATGCTCATTTCTGAAAGTGTTCTTTTAAAACTTGTAGTATGCAGCAATGCCAGCCCTGGACTTTTCCCCAACCTATCACCCAACCCACTTACCTGGAGCCAAGGTAATTTCCTTTCTGCCTATCTTCAGAATACAAGAGGGGTAGATATTTTTTCCAATTTAATCACTGCATGGGTCATTTTTCAAGGTCCTGTATTTATCCTGGAGGTCTTTAATCCAATTTTCCACTTTGCTGGGGACCTCAGGTTTGTCTCCTGCTCCCCATTTAAGGTCTATGAAAATTGAAGCTCAAAGGATGAAAACAAGGGGATCTGAGGCTTTCCTCAACTTTCTCTCCAGGTTCACAACTTATTTTAAGATTAAAAAATTATTTTTTATCCAGCATTTTAGAAGTTTCAAATTGGGGGGCTTTCTTGGGATAACTAGTCTACCATTTTGTTCAAAATGGAGTGCCACCCTTAGGCACATTACCTATCCCCTCCGTGTCTTAGTTTCTTCCTCTATAAAATGAGGATAAGAATAAAATCTATTTTATAAGTTTGGTGGGGGTAGTCAATGAGGGACTGCATGAAAGCCCCTGGCACTACTAAGTACTCAATAAATGCTGATTATTAGAGGCAGCAGTTGTAGTGAACTTAATGCCAATAAGGAGAGTACAAAAAAAATCAATATTATAGAACAATCTCATCTACGAATATAAATGGGAAATTCCCAAGAAAAGTTAAGCCAATGAAACCCAGCAGGGTATAAAAAGTACAAAATGGCTAGGTAAGTTTATCCCAGGATGCCAAGATAGTTCCTCATTGACATATATATATATGTATATATATATATGTGTGTGTGTGTGTATATATATTTGACCATACTAAAAATTATATATGTATATATATATTTGACCATACTAAATACTAAAATACATATATATTTGACCATACTAAAAATTAAAGGAAAATACTACATGACATGATCATCCTAATACATAGTTGACGCATAGAATTTAATCTTCATTCATTATCATTACTCTCATCAAAGTAGGAGTAGCAGAGACCTCCTCAATCTAATAGAGTAACTACAAAACACCAAAAGTAAACCTCAGAAATACAGATGAATCTGTAGAAGGATTTCCACTGTAGTCACAAAACACAGAAGTCTACTTTCACCATGATTATTCAACATTATACTGGAATTTCTAACCCAGTGCTATCCAATAGAAGTGTACTAAGAGTTAAGAGCTGCATAGGCATTTTTAAATTTTCTAGTAGGCACATTTTAAAAAGTAAAAAGTACCAGGAGAAATTAATCATAATAATTTATTTTATTTAACCTGATGTATCCAAATTATTATCATTTCAACATACAATCAATATCAAAATTATTAATTAGATATTTTACATTATTTTTTCATGTTAAATTTTAAAAATCTGGTGTGTATTTTATACTTCCAGCACAACTCAAAGCAGCTACATTTCAGATGCTCAGTAGGCACATGGGAAAATGTACTGAACTTCATGTGTAGTCAGGGAAAAGCATCAGGTTGGCAAACATTAAAAAGTCTGAGAATGTCAAGTATTGGTAAGAAGGAAGATTCTTATACACTGTTGGTAGAAGCACCCTACCATTTGGAGAACAATATCTAATAAATTTGATGTAGATAATATTCAGTCCAATAATTCCACATCTAGATATATACTTTAGGAAAATTCTTCCCCAAGTGTGTAAATAAATATTTTTCATGGATGTCCTCATAAGCTTTGTTTGTAATAGGAAAAACTACTGGAAACTCTAAATGTCTGTAGGTAGAAGAAGGAAAGAGAAATTGAGGTAAACACACACAAGGGAATAATACACCATAGTTAAAATGAACTAAATGTATATGCACTAAAATGGATCAAGCTCAAAAAAAAGGACAATTTGTGTATTATGATAGAATTTATGTCAAATTTTTAAAATGTATAAAAGCAATCTCTATATATTTTAGGCATATTCTATATCTAGTAAAAATATAAAAGATATAGTGGATGGCTACACAGCATAATAATCATAGTGGTGCTTCTTAGAAAGAACAGAGGGAAGGAAATGAGAATGAGAAAGGATGAGATCAAAGATTTATCAGTAAAATATTACTTTCTTGATTAAAAAAATGAAGTAAATATAACATGTCATCTGGAAATTCTATTTGATGGCTACATAAGTATTGTACAGTATTGTCCCTAGCACTTTTCTGTATTTTTTAACATTTTCACAATTATAATTATATAATGCTTCTTGCTGTGTATCATGGATGAAAAATTCTTACTTGCTACACAGACTGAGTCTCTTCCATTAAAAGGAAATTTAGAGGAAATGAAGTCCTACACATGAATGATCTGTGTGTATACCAACACATGCGTGAGTGACAGGTCCAGTCTAGTATCTAGATATTTGACCTGTGTCTAGAAGAGTGTCTGGAACATAGCAGTCCCTTAATCAGCACTGAGTCCATGAATGCATGAAGTGTGTTGCACTGGTGGATGGGACCTTCAAGAGTCAATTTGCACCAAAGGAGGTTTGCCACACTTGTGCTGTGATTAATTAAAAATATACACTTGGTTTTCCAGATAATTCAAAGGATGAAACTGGCCATGGGAAGCAGAATACGATACCTGACCCATATATTGATCTTTGGTCCAACTGAGGTCTTAGCTTTATGGGAGGAGAAAGGGTATCCAGGCTACAGGGGAAGTGACTTTTCCCCATGTTACTGTGAACACAGCAATTCCACTTTGGTAGCCAAGTAACAAACCATGTCACAAGCTGTCATGAGTAGGAGAGAGTTGGAGGAAGGATTTTTCCCTAAGTCCTCAGACACAGCATGGCTTTAGCTCAGCAAGGACTCCAGGAGACTCTGAATTATGGATTTGCCACAGAATGCTGTTATGTATCTCTACTAATGAAGCTCCATGGTAACTTGACCTACCATTATATAGGTTTCCATGTCTCCAGATCAAACCACTTTCCCACATAAAACATGTATGTACCATTAAAGCTGATCTAACAGCAACTTATAGGAAGACAGATGAATAAATGAAAGATAGATTAGATTAAGATAGATAGATGATAGATAGATAGATAGATAGATAGATAGATAGATAGATAGATAGATAGAAAGATAGGCAGATCTCCTTTTCCCTGTTTAAGAGTTTCACTCTATTAGATAAATTTAGCTGCTAAAGGATTGAACAAATATGCCAAAACTCATGAGAATTCTCTGGTTAAAAAAAGTAAGATCTTCAGGAATGTTTTTGCAATTAACTATGCTCCATGTATAACAAACCTAAATATGAGAATTGGCAACTGGACCTACAGATACTGTAAAGAAGGGGGTGCTGAGCACTTCACATTTTTTTTTTTGGCACCAAGTTAAAAGGATCAGAATGTGGTTTCAATTTTGGATGTGCTAATTATGTTTGTCAATTGTGAGCTTTGCTTAATTAATTAGTCATGCAAATTTAACTTGAGTATTTTTTTGCACATCTAAATCATTACTATAGCAATTAAAAAGCTGCTTTGATTAGCTCCTTTCACAGTATGTAGCACAGCATACTCTTGTCAACTTCCTTTTGACAATCTGGCATTTGGGTACTGTTTGGAGAAAATATATTCTATATGTTTGGGGAAAAATAAAAACCAAGGCAGGTAACAAGAGAAGTGGCCCAGCAAAAGATAAGTCAACAACTATTGCCACTATAAAATCAGTGAATACAGACTGGAAATTGTAATAACACATGTTCAGGAGGAATACCCAGGGGTGGAGTGAGAGAGTGCTGAATAAACTAGGGACATGTTTCTTTTGCAAAATTAAGGTGGGGAGACGGTAACAGTCAGAGATAAGTCTTTGACTCACAATCAATGTCAAAACCATAGGAACCAAGCTTGTCTTTGACTGGGAGACCTAGCCTGACTCTCATAATCATGAATAAAAGCTATGGGCAGGGGCCTTCTGCCAAATGAATCTCTCCCCATGGCCATTTCATACACTAATAAGCCCAACTGTCAGGGCCATTGTATGATATTAGGTTGAGTTTCCTCGTAATTCATACATAGGCGTTACCTTCCCTATGAACCACCCGTAGATGCTGTATCACTCTCCTTTCTGCAGAGTGAGAACTTGACACATAGTGGGATTTAATATATTTCCCCCATGCCACACTGAAAATTAGAAGCAGATTCAAGAACAAATACAGGATTTTAATTTCCCATTCAGAACTATCTGTCAACCAAATCTTCCCATGCTTGCCCCTCACCATTGGCCCTGCAGGCAGGATGATAGCAAGCAACAGCTAATAGGTTATTACATACCCATGATGTTTATAAAACACAGAACCAACAGCAATTATTTAGAGAATATAATGCCATTTCTCATTTTAAAGTCATCCCTAAGGCTAATAACTTTACATATCTGGTTTGTCTCAAAGGGTCACCAACATCTCTAATAGAATCCAACTGTGGAATAGAAAAACTATTTCGTCTAAGAAGTGGATCCTAGCTGTCAAATAAAAAATCGCTGTTGAATGCTGTAAAGTACATTTTTACACCCATGTACAATTTAGAGCTTAGGAACTCATGGAAAAAAATAGAGTTAACACGGATAAAGGGATTTTAAAAGGCGAGAGAGGGAAGAGTTTCTTAAGGAGTCTCCAATGACAAAAATGTGTTCATTTTCTGAGACCTCCAGAATGAATTACTAAGGTATCCTCAAACAAAAGTGGTTTTGCTATTCAGAAATTCATATGTTCTAAATAGAGAAAATTAAAAATTAAAAAGACATGATTTAGATTTTGCAGTTTCTTTGATATCCAAAATCCTACAGTACTCTAAAAAAATTGAAATTAATTTTCAAACTTTTATCAATAAATTTGTCCCCCCAAAATATCCCAAATATGTGTATATGTGGATACATGTACACGTATATATGCTGAATATATTAAATTCTCATATATTTAGGGTTTCTCAATAAGACTGATGCTGGATATGAGTCCTGAGATCCGTCCCACATCTTCAGGGATCTCCTTTAGCAATTACACACACACACACACACACACACACACACACACACAAATTTTCTGTCCTTCTGGATCCCTCTCCTGTGCATATTGATAAACTCATGCCTCCCACTTCAGCATTTTCTCAAGCAATCATGCTCTCCCTCCTTCTGCCTTCACAGCCATTCTCCTAAAGGAGATATCTATTCTCACCATCTCCACTTCCTCGCCACTTACTCACTTCTCAGCCCACTGCAATCTGGCTTCCACTGAAACTGATCCTGCTGAAGTCACCCAAGCTTCTCCATTTGCCGAATCAAGTGAAGCCTTCCTGGTCTATCTTACAAAGTCTCCCTGAATCAGACACTACTGATCTCTGCCTTCTTGAAACTCTGCCATCGAGATAACGCTCTTCTCTGCTCTCTCTCACTGTCTCTCACTGTCACCCCCGCTCCCTCTTCTCAGTTTCCATCACTGCCTCTTCCTCTTCCAATATCTCCCTAATTGTTGAATGCCCCAGAGGTTCTTCCTTATCCCCCTCTCTTCCTCCTAGATTCCTTATGGCAGATGCATTCATCTAAGCCATAAGCCTGGGACTTATCCTAACACAATGTCATCTTCATCTCCATATTCACCTCAAGTCCTATTGATTTTGTACTTTCATTTTCTGCCCAGCCTCTCTGCTCTTGAGCCTACTGTCCACACTGCAAACAGAGAGAGATTAAGAAGCAAATCTGGTCATATCACTCTCCTGCTTACCACCTTCTAGAGGTTCTCCCTCACCTATTATTGTTGATTTATAAGTTTTTAAAAAAGAAATCTTTAGGCCCGGCACGGTAGCTCACACCTTTAAATCACAGCACTTTGGGAGGTCAAGGCAGGAGGATTGCTGGAGCCCAGGAATGGGAGACCAGCCTGGGCAACACAGTGAGACCTCATTTCTACAAAAAAAATTTAAAAATTAGCCCGGCATGGTGGCGCATGCCTGTAGTCCCAGCTACTTCAGAGGCTGAGGCAGGAGGATTGCCTGAGTCTAGGAGGTCGAAGCTTCCGTGAGCCGTGATTGTGCCACTGCACTCCAGTCTGGGTGGCAGAGCAAGCCCCTGTCTTAAAAAAAAAAAAAGGAATATTTTTTCTGCACTGGGAGGTAAGCTCTGTGCAGGCTATGCCAGCAAAATGCTTGGCACCAAGTATGTGCTCAATAGACCACTGTTGAGTAAAATGAAATCTTACAATGAAGTCCAACTTGAAGCATGCACACAGTAAAGCTGAGAAGTTCTTATTGAGACAAGGGTAGGAGCAGAATCCTCCCTGCTTGCCCTGAACATACCCCACCAGTACCCCCAGGTACCTCTGTGAACCCCCTACTGATTTACAGCATATCTGGAAAACCAGAAACCTATGTGATAAATTGTAAGCTTCCTAGCATGGGATACAGACCTTTGACAAACTAATTTCACCTACCCTCCAACATCATTTCTGACTGATCTCCGTCTTCACCCTTCACTCCAGCCTTGACAGGCTGAATTACTGCCATGCCTGGACATGCAGAGCTTTGCACATGTAGTTATTTTCTGCCTAGAATACTCTAACCCTCCTTGACAGCCTAGAAAACTCCAACTTACTCCTCAAGAGCAGCTCAAAGGTGAAGACGTTCTGATTCCACAAGCAAAATGTATTGCTCCCTTAGTGCCATAAATATACCTCATACATATCTTTATTATAAGTCTTATCACACTTTATATCAATTTTTGTTTACAGGTTTACTGCCTCTACTGGGCTATGAAGGCACAAACTCTTTCTTATTTATCTCTGAAACCCAGGGATTAGCTAAGTGCCTGTTACCCAGGAGATACTCAATATGTGTTTGTGTAATAAATGCAATTCTACTGGACTGAATCATTTTTTATCTCATACCCTTTTGATAATGTCATTTTGCATGTCACAGTGTCCCATGTTAAAAACTGGCCAGTTAATCTTCTACTATCTATGTTTTAGCAGAAATGAATAGGGATGAAGACTTGTGGATTCAAATACATATTTAGAGATAATGCCTTTTTTTATTTTACTTTAAGTTCTGGGATACACGTGCTGAACATACAGGTTTGTTACATAGGTATACCTGGGCCATGGTGGTTTGCTGCACCTATCAACCCATCATCTAGGTTTTAAACTCCACATGCATTAGGTATTTGTCCTAATGCTCTCCCTCCCCTTCCCCCACCCCTGACAAGCCCCAGTGTGTAATGTTCCCTTCACTGTGTCCATGTGTTCTCATTGTTCAATTCTTACTTATGAGTGAGAACAATGCTGTTTGGTTTTCTGTTTCTGTGTTAGTTTGCTGAGGATGATGGTTTCCAGCTTCATCCATGTCCCTGCAAAGGACATGAATTCATTCTTTTGTATGGCTGCATAGTATTCCATGGTGTATATGTGCCACATTTTCTTTATCCAGTCTATCATTGATGGGCATTTGGGTTGGTTCCAAGTCTTTGCTATTGTAAATAGTTCTTGTGAGTCTTTTTAATTGAAATTGAGATGTCTGAGATCTAATGAGTTATTACAACTGTTCTTCTCCTGAGCACTGCTGAAATAATGTCTTGCATCTTAGGTTTTATATAATAAGATAAATAAGATAGGAAAAATATGTGGGTCATATTTGTTCAATGTGAAAGAGATCAAAGAGTACAAGATGTGATCCCTTAACAGATTCAGAAGGGGGCCATCTCTTTAATGATATAAAATTGAAAATGAGAAATATCAGATGCAGAAAAGAAAATTTTAGTTAAAGAAAATTTGATAGCAAAATTTAACTCAAGCTATGTAAATGAGACTTCCCAGGGAATGAAAAAAATATCTTCTCATTCTCTCCAGCTGGTCTCCAGAGTCGATGTTTCTACATTAGTTGCATCAGTTTCCTCATGATTCTGAAACATTTGGGTGCTAAATGCAAACCAGAAAATAAAACTCGGTGTGTTGGTCTCCTGGTAGATGATTTTTGTTTTCCACTTCCAGGGCAGTTTTGCAATTATGTAGTGGAGAATCATATTCACCTTTGATATATATGTCTTAATCAGATTATGGTAACAAGTAATTTACTTACCATCTTATTAACCAAAAATATCTGGTATTACTCAAGACTTCTTTCTGTATGTACCAACGTAATATTCCTGATGTTCACAAAGATGGTATTGCAGGATCCTGAAGTACCCTTTAAATCATGGAAGAGAAATGAAATCCCCTGAGTTTCAAATCCAAGTGTACCTTATTGTATGTATTCTAATTCCCTGAAAAACTGGGATTCATGTAGAGCATATATGGTTGTTTGTGTGTGTGTATGTACCTGTGTGTGTACGTGTGTAGAATATTTGTTTGTAACACACCCAGTCCACCACCCATAACCCATAATAAAAAACTTACACAAAATCAGTGGTCCTAGCTGGTCACAGTGTCTCACACCTATAATCCCAGATACTCAGTAGGCTGAGGAAGGAGGATCACTTGAGGCTGGGAGTTTGAGACCAGCTTGGACAGCATAGTGAGACCCTACCTCTAAAAAATTTTAAAAATTAGCTGGGCATGGTGGTGTGCCCCTATTGTCCCAGCTACTTGGAAAGCTGACATAGGAGGATTGCTTCAGCCCAAGAGTTCAAGGGTGCAGTGAGCTATGATTGCACCACTGCACTCCAGCCTGGGAAACAAAGCAAGACCTAATCTCTAAAGAAAATTTTTTTAAATAAATACATAAATCAGTGTTCCTCCAAGTATGTTCTAAAGACCCTTGAAGAACCTGGAGAATTTTTCAGGAGTTACACAAGGCCAAAAGTATATTTATAATAATGCTAAGACATAATTTGTCTTTTTCATTCTCATTCTCTTGCAGATTTGTTTTCCAAAGGCTATATGACATGTGATATTGGAACAGGTTGAATCCAAAAGCACATATGAGAATCCAACAGTATTCTACTAAACTAGACATTAAAGAGATTAGCAAAAATGTAAAACAACGCCACTCTTCTCATTAACAGTTTGTTTTGGGAAATATAGTTATATTTCATTAAAATGTGTGATGTATGCTGAAATGCAGTAGGAGAATTTGAGATTTATTGTGCTTCCTGAATCTAACGATTCATGTCTTCTACCTGTTCTGGAAAATTCTCACCAATTATCTCTTTAAATATTTCTCATATCCCCTCATTCTCTTTCATCCATGTAGAATATCATCAGTACAACATATATGTGTCCTTCAAATGCTCACATATTCAATGTTTTTTATATTTTTCCATTCTTGCAACTCTGTGCTGCACTTTAGGTACTTCCCTCAGATTTTTCCAGTTTGCTAATTCTTTTTACAACTGAATCTAATTTGGTTATTTAAGTATTCCATTGTATTCTAAAATTTGATTATCACTTTTTTATTTTTTAGAAGTTCTACTTTATTTTATAAAACCTGTCAGGCCTTGTTTATGTGTGTGTTCTTAGTTACATCTTATTCCTGATACTGTTTCCTTAAACCTTTTAAAAATATAAAACTCATTTTATACTCTCTATCTGATTGCTCGTTATCTGAAGTTCCTGGAAGTCTAATAAAGCTGTTTTTACTGCTTGCATTCATGCATGGGAATCTTTCTTTTGGTATGAAATTTTGGATTGTGAATTTATGTTCAATCAAACCTTTTATCCATGGGAATTGTCTTAGTCTGTTTTCTACTGCTTATCACAGAATAACGAACCTAGATAATTTATAAAGAATAGGATTTATTTATTACAATAATGGAGGCTGGGAAGTTTTAGGTCAGGGGGCCACATCTGCTGAGGGCCTTCTTGCTGGTGGGGACTCTGAAGCGTCCAAAGGTGGTGCAGGGCATCACATGGTAAGAGGACTGAGTATGCTAGCTCAGGTCTCTTTTCTCCTCATAAAGCCACCAGTCCCTCTCCTGTGATAACCCATTAATCCATTAATCCATGAATGGATTCGTCCATTAATGAGGGCAGATCCCTTATGACCCAATCACCTCTTAAAGACCCCACCTCTCAATATGGCCACAATGGGGATTAAATTTCAACAGGAGTTTTGGAGGGAAAAATATTCAAACCATAGCAGAATCTTAGGTAGCCTAGGTTGAAGACATGAGTCTTTGGAGAGGATTTGCATTTGCCTCTGTTAGGCACCCAAGGTGTCCCAAGGTAGTATGTATTAGAACTCCTATCCCACTTGAGGGCAGGCCTGTGGTTATAAATTCTCAGTACATACTTTTCGTTTTTACTCTGTATGCCTAAGCCAAGCCAGACAATTTGCCTTATTATCTCCTTTCGCTCGTTATTTTTTTCTATCCATCTTTTAGTGCTTGAGGGTTCCAGATTCTTGTGAGGGTCTTGGCTCCTCTCTACACCTTGCTGGGTCCAAGGTCTTATCTTCATGTGGCTGTTAAACACCAAGCATCTTGGTTACCTGCAACTATAAATGCCCCAGGGCATCAGTGGCTTCAATGTCTGCTTCCTCCCTTGGTTTTCAGCTTCTTCATTTTTTGATCCCTGGGGATTTGCCTTACTTTTTTGCAAGCCTAGTTCTATACATGAGATATTTGTTACATATTTTTTAATATTTTAGGTGTCTTTCTAGGGGGATTTTCAGGTTATCTTGTTTGCCCATATTGCCCAGGAATATAAACTGATACAACATTTCTGAAAGATGAAATGCATACACCATGCAACCAAGCAATTCTACACAAAGAAATTTATCCTTTGCATGGAAATTTGGCAATATCTATCAAAATTTAAAATGTACATAACTTTTAATCCAGCAAGTCTACTTTCTAGAAATTTATCCTACATATATACTCACACTTAAACAAAATGCCATATGAATAATGTTATTTGTTGCAGCAGGCTTTGTGAAAGAATGGAAATTGTAAACAAGCCAAATGTCCATCATTAGAAGACTAGCTGAGTAAATTAAACTACTTCCCACAATATTCTGCAATTGTTAAAAAGAATGAAAAAGTTCCATATGACCTGATATGGAAAGATGTTCATGGTGTAAGTTGCATGACTTCTTTATGTAAAAAATATAAAATATGATAAGATGTGCTTGTATAGTCATTAAAAGCTGAAAAAATACACAATGGTTAAGGTAGTTTCCTACAAGGATCAGGATTGAGCCATTGTTATATGAAACACTGCATATAAATGAGAAATTTGCTAACTTGAAATTACTTTTACCCATTTATTAATGGGTAAAAAGTACTTTACTGCTATATTAGTAGTAGTAGTGTTACTAAAGGCATTTAAAAATAAAGTCCTTCTCCCCAAACTGTTCTGCAACTCTTATCATCTACTACCTGCCTGTCATTCCTTACTTGTCATTTAACCTACCTGTCCTCTGCCGACTTTACTAGGACATTCATTACCTAACGCTCTAAATATAATTTTATAGACTGAAATAGATAGATTTCATACTTCCATCTGCCCTGAGAAGGAATGGTTTACAGTGTACATAAAGGAGTTATATTATAAATGCCACACCAACCACTACAGAGGGAAAGGAAGGGCTCGCTGAGAATTAACTGAAAAGCCAGGCCTATTGCTTTGGCTATGTCACAGTTTGATCAGCAGGAGAGACTGATTTCAACATCTGAGCCTAGCTGTAGCTTCTGGCTGGAACTCTTGAATTTTCAATGAGCTGCTTAATTTCCAAGGACTAGAAGCTGAGTTAGGCATTTATACAGCTGGGAACATCTTCTGGCATGAGGTTGAAGGTTTTCTTTTGAACATCTTCATTCCTTCATATGATGAATTCCTGGAGATGAGAGTGCACAGCTTGAGTTATTTAATTTCCCATTAGATTTAGATGTGCAAATATGACAAAGCCCATGTAATTTCACCTAGCCTTTCACATACTAAATTGCAACTCTCTTTACTTCATTCTCTTTGAAATAGGCTTCATATTAGTGCTGTGATGAAAGCCAGCCCAGATATTATTCTACATTTTGGATTATAATTTTCACCATATTATAATGTTAGGGCATAAGTTATTTCCGATATCTTTGTAGTAATTGGTTGCTTTGTAGATATGGACTTTTTTTGTGTTTGTTTGAAAAAATGAAGGAAAAGATCAGAAGAAGAGAGAAATTTTCCTTTTAGAAAAATAATTATTTCCTTTTTGAGTTTGTATTCCCATCAAAGTCCGTAATAGTTGACATTGAGCTCTTTGGGAAATGTAGATACACATAAATAGAAATAGCAAAGATGGCAGTTTCTGAAATAATGTAATCTAGAGGCACCAGAAGGGAATATTTCTTGACTGTTGGTACCCCAAAGTATCTTTCATAACAGCCCTCTTCAATGCCATGAGTCTCCTCATTCTTTGTATTTCTCAATCCTCTAATAAAACGCAAACATTTTAGAAAAGGCGATCTTTAGAGGCCATGTTCAGTCACTAAATTCTATATCCATCATATCACTTGCCAGCGTGAGAAGCTAAGAAGAACTTAAACACAAGATAGGTAACAAGAAGATAGTAGACAGGTATGACAGGGAGGTCTGTTGGGGAGGCGAAGGAGGAAGGACATTTAGCAATAATGGACTGATACCTATGCATTGAAAAGGTGTTTCACTGGAAAAACAGTGAAAATAGAGGTACAAAATAATAGTATCCATCTATTTAATTTCCTAAATATGGCCAAAGGTATAGTGCAACTGGAAATCACATTGGGAATAAAAACAAATGTGTTTAGTAAAGAAGGTTAGGATTCCAATTCTGCACATACGATGCTCTAAATAAATATGAAACTGTTTCTTAACACCACACGCATATGACTTCTGGGTAAAATATTTACCCTCCCAAAATTTAACAAATAGCTAAGCTTAAAAGAAAGTGAGAATTCCCCAGGTGATGGGAATACAATGGGAACATAAAGCCAGGGCAGTAGGGGAGTGCATGGGGAGGCGATTTCAAACCTAGGAACAGGTCCTAGAGCCTGGGAGCTGGGATTCCACCACCCACACAAGCCAAGAAATGCTGCTTCAGGATAGAACAGGCTTGTCCAACCCGTGGCTTGCAGGCCACATGCGGCCCAGGAAGGCTATGAATGCAGCCCAGCACAAATTTGTAAACTTTCTTAAAACATTATGAGACATTTTTGTGATTTTTTTTTCAGCTCTTCAGCTATCGTTAGTGTTAGTATATTTTATGTGTGACCCAAGACAATTCTTCTTCTTCTAATGTGGCCCAGGGAAGCCAAAAGATTGGACACCTATGGGGTAGAAGGAGGAGAGGAGCTGGAACTGAGGCTTCCATATAAAACAAAGGCCCTTGAAGGGCTGCTCAGACTGGCAATTATCTGCTGTCAACTATGAAAACTCCACCCACCAGCTCAGCAAAGCAGTAAAGCAGTTTTTACCTGCCTGAAATGTTGATTAGAGAGAATGCCGCTGTGAGACAGCAAGCCATTCAGATACCCTGGCTAAAAGAACTACCTAAGGATGTACTTCAGGAAAAAACAGAATTGAACCCAGAGCAAAGATGAAGTGTGAGAAACAATGAGGAGGTAAGAAACTGGTAAAACACCAACAACAAAATCATTAAGATATGTCTCATTTCACGGATAGTAAAACAAGAAAGAACTTCAATACTAGACACTTAAGACTCGGGTTGGATTTCCAAATAAAATCCAGCTATATGCTAATTCTAAGAGCTACAGTTAAACCAGAATGACACAGAAAGTTTAAGAATAAATGATGGGGAAATTTGCATCAGAAAAAATGCTAACCAAAGTACATTTATATTAATATCAATCAGAAAAAAACCCTAAAGAAAAAACAGTACAGTATCATTAGGAATACATAATGGTAAAAGAGTAATTTACTGAAAGTCATAATAATTCTGAACTTATATAAATTTAGCAACATAGCCCCAAAATATATGCAAGGAAAACAGAATTAAAAAGATAAAGGGAAAGATCCACAACCATATTAGATTTTCTTAACATGCCATTCTTCATGACAGATAGATCAAAAGACCAGAAATAAGTGAGACTATAAATGATTTGATAACCCAATTAAGAGACTTGATGCAATGACAATAATTATATAGAATACTACATCCAGCATTTTGAGAACTAATGTTTTTTTCAAGCAAAAATGGAACACATATTAGAACAAAGAAAAATTTCAAAAACTACCAAATAAAATATCCCACAAACCAAGATGTCTACTCAAAATATAGTAAATTTAGGAATCAATAACAAAGCGTTATCTAAGAATTTTTCATTTGGAAAATTTTAATGCATTTCTAAATAATCTATGAGTCAAAGAAGAAATCTCAATAAAAATTATAAAATATTTGGTACTGATCCGCAAAGCAAACCCTATATTTCAAAATGTGTGCAGCTAAATGAACTAATCCTAAAATTGAAAATTAATGATGTAGGCAACTCAAGATATTAGGAGAAAGTTGATGAAATGAAAAAATAAACATCAGAGCAGAAGTTAATGAAATGAGAAACAACAGAAACAAATCTTAAAGTTGCTTTTTAAAAGAAATTAACTATTTTGTAATCAGGGCTAATCATGGGGGAAAAACACAAAGCATAAACAAAACAGATCTGAAAGTAAAGGGTGACATAATTACAGATAGAATAGACATTTTTTTTAAATCACAAGAGAACAGGCTGAGTAACTTGATACCCATAACTGGAAACATAAAAATTGAACCATTCTCTAGAAAAATATAACTTACCAAAACAGACTCATGACAAATTGAAAAGTTGAACAGATCTATATCCATTAAAGAATTGGAATTGATCATTAAAAATCTATATCATCCTCTATAAATAAAAATCACACCATGCTGGATGGTTTTATTGGAGAACATGTCAAACTTCCAACAATCATCATTTTAAAGTTTTTCAGAGAATATGTAAACACGGCAACTTCACTAACTGATTTTAATAAGACTGACATAACTTGGCACCACAACTGAAAAAGTACAGTATTAGAAAGGAAATTTGGCCAGGTGCAGTGGCTCACACCTGTAATCCCAGCACTTTGGGAGGCCGAGGCAGGGGGATTGTTTGAGCCGAGGAGTTCAAGAGAAGCCTGGGCAACATGGAAAAACCCTGACTCTACAAAAAATACAAAAGTTAGCTGGGTGTGGTGGCAGGTGCCTGTAATCCCACCTACTCAGGAGGCTGAGTTGGGAGGATTGCTTGAGCCCAGGAGTTTGAGGCTGCAGTGAGCTGTGATTGTGCCACTGCACTCCAGTCTGGGCGACAGAGTAAGACACTGTCTCAAAAAAAAAAAAAGGAAATTTGTAGCTCATTTATGAACATATTTGCAAAAATGCTAAATAAGATATTACCAGACCAAAGCCAAAAATTTATACTTAAAAAAAAAAAAAGTATCATTACCAAGTAGAATTTATCCCAAGGATTCAAGGCTGCTCTAACATTAGAAAATATTTTAATGTAATTTAACACATTTATAAAGGAAAAAAACATTATCTTATTGCATGTACAAAAGGTATTATTAAATGTATACATATTTATAATTTTTTTAAACACTCAGAAAATTAAGAATAAAAGGAAATTTCCTAAACCTGACAAAAGCATATTTTAAAACCCTATAGAAAATATCATCATAATGAAACTTTATTAGCACTTCCTTCAAGACAAGAAAGAAGAGAAAAAAATGTTTGCCATCAGCACAACTATTCAACAATGTGCTGATAGTCTTAGCCAGTGGAATAAGACAGAAAAATAAATAAATAAAACTTAAAATAATAACAAAGTAATCATTGCTTTGTAGGTAGTTCCAAACTATTTTTAAGGCCTTTAGCTAATTTTGACATTTCTGCACAAAGTCTACCTTTCTAAACTAGAATCCCAAAAACTACAATTTCCAGACTCAGGTTCCTTGGCTGTTAGGTGTAGATTTGTAATTTTGATTTTCCCACCAGAGGCACCTACTGGAGGCTTTGATCCAGAACTGGGTTGTAAGTCAGATGTTGTTACAATTATTAAAAACACTCCCTTTCAGACTCAAAAGAGTTCAGAGATGAACAATAAATTGTGCATTTGCTCCATTACATAGGCAAAAAGGCAACATGTAGAGATATATTTGACTGATAGAAATCATGACAGAAGCAGCATGGATCTGGAACTCTTAGCAGTGGAAGCCTGGATTTAGCAGCTTCTATATTATGGCAAAGGATGTGTAGTCCTGGAGCCAGCAACCTGAGCAACCTGTGTTTTAATAAGCATTGAAGGTGATTCTGATGCACGCCTAAGTTTGAGAACTACTGCTCTAGAGAAATTCTTGCCCATGTGTACAAGAATAAATATATAAGGATGTTTACTACAGCACTATTTGTAATACAAAAATAAGTGGAAACAACTTTAGCATCATCAGTAAGGGAACGGAATTAAGTAAAGTGGCTTAGTTTTACAATAGATTCTATATAGTTCTAGTTCAAATGAATGAACTAGATCTCCACAGATAAATTTCAAAAACCTAATGCTGAATGGTAAAAGCAAATTGCAAAAGGATATATATGGCATGATAACACTTATTTAAAATTTTGAAACACATAACACCAGAGGTCATATATTTACAATATTTACATGTGCTTTTTTAAAACACAAAAACATTGAGGGGATCACACATACCAATTTCAAGACAGTAGCTACTTCTCAGAAGGAAGGGGAAAAATGGCTTGGGGGCATCCTTTAATAATTCATAGGGAAAATATGGTAGCATTTTGGATAACAGATTCATGAGTTTTTGTCATATTCTCTATACTTTTCTTCATATTTGAAAAATCATAAGTTAAATGGTAAGATACATGTTTGTTCTTTACGTTCACTTTCACTTGGTAAATTTGGCAGATAAAATGGTTTTAGAAAACATCCAGTAATGTTGCAGTGTTTCATTTCCAGAGGCCTATTGCCAGATAGAAACTCAGTCTACAATCAAAGGTGAATACTGTAAACACCTCAGTAAATATATATTTTTCAGTTCAGTTTATATTCAACTAAATCCCTGGAATTTCTGGCAGTCATCAACATAGGGAGGACAAAATATATCAATCCCAAATGAAAACTACAGGAGTAACACATCTTCAGGACTGTCTATATATGAAATACTGAGATCTAATGTTCCTTAAATGAGGAGTCTGGGTAAATCTCTTTGTAAAATAAATAATTGTTTTTGAAGATATTTGTAAGTTCCCAGTTTCAAATGTTTTATTTTCCTGATATGTTACATACCTATAAAAGTTCAAAAGTAGAGAACTCAGTTTTCCAGCATTGTTAACCTTCCACAATACTGAAAGAGTAACTCAAGCATGCTTTGGAGGAACAGAGTTGAAACCTGAGACTGATCTATCTACCCATCTATTTGCTCATATATCTACTATTTTTTTCCATCCATCTGATGCTCAGGTAATCCTCTGAGATGGCTTTCACATGTCCATTCCAGACTGTTCCAGCATTTTGCATTCAAGTGAAAATCCATGACTGTTAATTTATAAATACTGCATTGACAAATGACAGGTAAGAAATAATGATTTGTAAGAATTGCATTATGTCTAGGATTTTATTAATCTTAAAAAAATCAACTTAGAATTTCTACTAGGTAACATTAAAATGTATCTGTATACTTACTAAGAACCAGGTTAAAAACAAAAATAAATAAAGTATCACCCATGTGAACTTAATAGCACAAAAGTATTTTTACTAATTTTATGTGTATTAAAATTTTATGTATTGCTAATATTTAGCTATTAATACCTACTCAAATATATCAACATTTTGAAGAAATGCAAAAGCTGCTAAAGTGTTAAGAACTCTGAGAAATTGTAGGAAAAATGCAAATGAGACATCAGAGAAGAGCTCACAAAGACTAGGAGATTGAAATGGAGCCTTAGGAAAAAAGAAGTCAGAGAAGGAAGAAGAAAGGGAGCTTCTGAAAATGAGAAGAGTAATGTGCTGAAGGGCTTATCAAAGAAAAGTCCCAGATACAAATGCTTCACTAGCTGTAAACGATGAGGACCAGTTTATCATGTAAAATGAGAATACTAACCTGCAGACTACATTTCATGGTACTGGGAACCAAAGGTAAGTGCATCAAATAAATATATTAAATGTCACAGTGGGATATTTCACTGAAACCTCCACTCAGTTATGAGAGCTATTTTTATTACACACACGAGAAGCAAAAAAATGTGAAACAATTTATATACAAGAGGGCACAAAGATGGAATCACTGTCTGTATTTAACAATAAACCATGTGACTATTTTGAGTTTAACAATCATACCAGTTAAGTGTTGTATCAAAGATAGCTGATTGTTTATCATGAAATATAAATAAATATGAATAAAATGTGTTGCTATTTTATGAATAACAAAAACTGCTAGAACTACATATGTTCAGTAGTTTATGTCACTAATCTCTGGAGATATCAAAAATCATAATGCAAACTTCCACAAAGTATCACAGATTTGAGGCATAAACAGAGCTTCCCAAAACTTAAAGTAGAAAGAAGATGGTATCATCACAAGCTTAAAATCAATGTCTATTAGTAGTTGCTTTTCAGCCCTAAACAGATTCATGTCAGCTTCACTGAGGATATTGACTATGGCGTAACCTCATAGGTTTGACTACGTAAAAACCTCATCTCCCTGAGTTTCTTCCAAAAGTAGATGAGAAGCAAATGTGAGAAGCCTTGAACCAAGTGAAATATTAATTAGGTTCATGTACAGTTTGAAGTGTTTTGGGTTTGCTTGCTTTTGTTTTTTGCTAGTGTAAGCCTTTAAATACATACACATTTGTTTCTAAACAAACTGATTTATTAGGTGAATTTTAGGTTTTATTTTTGTTGGAGAGATAATGTTATTAGAAAAAAAAACACAAAAAAGTTGAGGTTACATTCCACTCCCCAGAGGCAAACATTTTCAAATATTTTAGCTGTTTCTCTTTGTGGTTATCTTCATATTTCTAAATAATATGTTTAAACTTCTGTATCTTGATTCATCAATTCTGGGTGTTCAACTATTGACTTACCATATCATTTTTCACTTACATCCATTTCCTATCCCCAATTTTTCCAACACAAATATATCTATTTTCTTTTTTAGTTAAAGCAATATTCAATTTGTATTTACTGGATATTTAAATATCACTCAGTGCTGAGTTAAGTTGTTAACTATGATTACCTCTCCTTTTTGTGCAACTGGTTTTTTTTTTTTGAGTCAATAATTGTTCCTCCTTAAAATTTGCTGAGACTTCTAGACCCTACCATACCCATTAATAGCAATTCAATTCAACTTTCCACACGGTAAAACCAATCAGAAGATTATTTTGCCCTAGAGCCCTCCATCCCCCACTTCCAGTTGGGACTGGTTGCTCTCTAGGCCTAATGTATAGCTGTCATCCTGGGGTTTTCCTTCAGCATCATCCTGAGAATTCTCTACACACCTTTTTTGCTTCCTGAATCTCATGCCTCCTTTTTGTTGTTTAGTCCCTCATTGTGGTGGAGCGCATCATTCTTTAGCTTCCTGAGAAAAGACAAATGGATAAGGAAGGGAGCTGAGGGGTGTCACCATTCAAAATGCACATTTTAACTGAACCCTCCTATTTCCAGTCCAACATGTCACTCCCTTTCCTTCTTCCTCCGTTTTTAACCTCTTCATGATAGGCTCTGAAATAAAAATTATTTCAGGGAAAGTAATTGTCAAAACTAAAATATATTTCATTTGCAACAGACAGGATTTGTTCTAGGAAAAATGAATTTATAGGTCCAAAGCTTGGAGTAGTCAGAGTAAAGGGTCTTTACCATAAGTCATAAAGTAGGTAGGTTATAAGTTATGAAGTAAGGGCATTTCCCAATACAAAGGGTGAAAGTAAAAGCCCTTTCTGAGCTCCAGGAGGGCATCTTGGGGCGGGGGGACCAAAAAAAAAAAAAAAAAGAGAAGAGAAAACAAACAAACAAACAAAAAAACAAGAGAGTAAAAGAATGGAGACGCAACAAGAGCCTACTTTCTCCCCTGCCATCTTGGAATCAAAATCTCAGGGAATGATAGAGACTCACAGACAGGCATTACAAAACAAGTGGGCATGCTCGTGCTCCACTTCTCAGAGCATAGCCCAGGAAGCCGCAATACAGCAGAGTGGCAAGGTAAAACGTGCTGAGAGGAAGACAGTGTCATGGCAGGATGTCACTACATGATACTTATGACTATGGATCCCAGTTACACCCAGAAGATGCCAACACACAATGCTCAAGGTAGAAGGGAAGCCAGCTGGACTGCTTTACTGCAATTGCGGGTCAGAACACAAAAACCAGATACTCTTCCCCAGGAAGTATCAGAAACCACCTAGGAACTCAGATCATCCTGTAGGTACTCAGGAAGACACAACAGGGAAGTGTGCCTGAGTTGTTGGTCAGTGTTGTGAAGGCGTGGTGAGCTCTTCCAGGCTGACGACACATAGCTGACGTGGCTGAGGATGTAGAAGCTGAGTATGATACAAGACTGTCCATGAAGGGCCATTTTCCTGTTCAGATGATCCCTTTTTATTCTACCTCACTGAAGTGAAACTGAGTTATTCTAGAACACAGTGGACCAAGAGAAAACTGTCAGCAGGACTCAGGCAAACAAACTCCTGGCATCCTCCTCAATAAGTCAGATACACATTCTCTTTTTCCAGAGCCCATATGAAAGGTCTGAGACTCTGAGGGTGGCACCTATTAATTATCTGGTAGCAGAAAAAACAGTTGGACTGAAGCTTGCAAGAGTGGGTATTAATCCCATTCTCTCAATAACTATCTCTACGACCTTGAACCAGTCACATCTCTTCTCTCAGCTTCAGTTAGCTCATCTGTAATTGAAGGAGTTGAACTGTGCCTTTGTCCTATGGGTCATCTGAGCATTTAAGCAGGAAAAGCAGCTAAACATTTTTAGGAGGGTGACAGGGATAAAAATTAGATTTCAACCACACTGTAGTTAATATTAAATGGCTACCTAATCAGACCTCTCTTCCAAATTAATCTGTAATGATTTCGATTGTAACTTACAGTTTGTGAAGTGCTTGCTTCTATATTTTTCTCCCATCAACCAATGTGAGGTAAGTAGGGCAGGCATTTTTATCTCCATTATTTTCCTCCTCAGGGTAATGTACAATTCTCACTCTAGGATTCCCATAGTCTACAGCAGCAATTCTCCAAGCATGGTCATAGGCCACTTGCATAAAGTCTCTGAAGGACACCTATTACAAATTCCTCTTCCTGGACTCTATTCCAGACCCACTAAATCAGAATCTCTAAGGCTGAGGCCCTGAGATTTGTTTGCATTTTTGACATAACATCTCCATGTGGTTTTTATATAAACAAAATTTGAAAATCACTAGTTTAAAAAAATATATTTGGGGGTACAAGTGCAGGTTCCTTGCATGCATATATTGTATGGTGATGAAGTCTGGGCTTTTAGTGCACCCATCACCTGATTAGTGAACCCAATAGGTAGTCTTTCAATCCTCATACCCCTCCCACCTGCCCACTGTTTAGAGCCTCCAGTGTGTAAAGGGAGCTAACATTTGAGGCCCTATTATGTGTCAGGCACTATCCTGGCTGCTTCATATGTGCTCTTTCATTCAATATGCATAACAACTCAATAAAGTGCATATATATAAATATAATACTATATATGCATAGATAGTTTGTCAATAAACTATTTTGGAGTACTTTTATATTTATGAAAAAGTTGCAAAGACAGCAGTGATAACATACCCCTCACCCAGTTTCATTGCTCCTATTGTTATTACCTTATGTTACCTTGCTTAGTTTGTCAAAATTAAAAAATCAGCACAACATTGGTACATTACTGTCAATTAAACTCTCAATTTTATTCAAATTTCACCAGCTTTTTCATTAATGTATTTTTGTATGTTCTATAATCTAGTCCAGGATACCACATTACTTTAGGTGTCCTGTCTCCTTTGTCTCCTCTGATCTGTGACAGTTTCTCATTCTTTTCTTGTTTTTCATCACCTTGACAGTTTTTAGGAGTCCTGGTCAAAGTAGCACAAAATAGTAGAATGTTCCTTATGTTTGGTTTGTCTGATGGTTTTCTCATGATTAGGCTGGGGTTGTGGGTTTTTAGAGAGAATACAACAACGGGAAAGTGTCTTTCTCATCACCTAATTATCAAGGGGTACATAATATCTATATGATATCACTTGGTGATATTAATAAAGTCTATGCTTGTAATCCCAATTCAACCAAATAGGAAACAAGTTTATCGGTCGGAGCCAAGATGGCCAAATAGGAACAGCTCCAGTCTACAGCTCCCAGCGTGAGTGAAGCAGAAGACGAGTGATTTCTGCATTTCCATCTGAGGTACCAGGTTCATCTCACTGGGGAGTGCCAGACAGTGGGCGCAGGTCAGTGGGTGCGTGCACCGTGCGCGAGCCTAAGCAGGGCAAGGCATTGCCTCACTCGGGAAGCGCAAGGGGTCAGGGAGTTCCCTTTCTAGTCAAAGAAAGGGGTGACGGACTGCACCTGGAAAATCGGGTCACTCCCACCCTAATACTGCACTTTTCTGACAGGCTTGGGAAACAGCACACCAGGAGATTATATCCCGCACATGGCTCAGAGGGTCCTATGCCCACGGACTCTTGCTGATTGTTAGCACAGCAGTCTGAGATCAAACTGCAAGGTGGCAGCGAGGCTGGGGGAGGGGCGCCCACCATTGCCCAGGCTTGCTTAGGTAAACAAAGCAGCTGGGAAGCTCGAACTGGGTGGAGCCCACCACAGCTCAAGGAGGCCTGCCTGACTCTGTAGGCTCCACCTCTGGGGGCAGGGCACAGACAAACAAAAAGACAGCAGTAACCTCTGCAGACTTAAATGTCCCTCTCTGACAGCTTTGAAGAGAGCAGTGATTTTCCCAGCACGCAGCTGGAGATCTGAGAACGGGCAGACTGCC
The DNA here is from genome assembly GCF_000001405.40 of Homo sapiens. Lineage (NCBI taxonomy): Eukaryota > Metazoa > Chordata > Mammalia > Primates > Hominidae > Homo > Homo sapiens. The sequence goes on from NC_000016.10 coordinate 56,155,193, forward strand.
TCCTCAAGTGGGTCCCTGACCCCTGACCCCCGAGCAGCCTAACTGGGAGGCACCCCCGAGTAGGGGCAGACTGACACTTCACACGGCCGGGTACTCCTCTGAGATAAAACTTCCAGAGGAACGATCAGACAGCAGCATTTGCAGTTCATGAAAATCTGCTGTTCTGCAGCCACCGCTGCTGGTACCCAGGCAAACAGGGTCTGGAGTGGACCTCTACCAAACTCCAACAGACCTGCAGCTGAGGGTCCTGTCTGTTAGAAGGAAAACTAACAAACAGAAAGGACATCCACACCAAAAACTCATCTGTACATCACCATCATCAAAGACCAAAAGTAGATAAAACCACAAAGATGGGGAAAAAACAGAACAGAAAAACTGGAAACTCTAAAAAGCAGAGCGCCTCTCCTCCTCCAAAGGAACGCAGTTCCTCACCAGCAATGGAACAAAGCTGGACGGAGAATGACTTTAACGAGTTGAGAGAAGAAGGCTTCAGACGATCAAACTACTCCAAGCTACCGGAGGAAATTCAAACCAAAGGCAAAGAAGTTAAAAACTTTGAAAAACATTTAGACGAATGTATAACTAGAATAACCAATACAGAGAAGTGCTTAAAGGAACTGATGGAGCTGAAAGCCAAGGCTCGAGAACTACGTGAAGAATGCAGAAGCCTCAGGAGCCGATGCGATCAACTGGAAGAAAGGGTATCAGTGATGGAAGATGAGACGAATGAAATTAAGCGAGAAGGGAAGTTTAGAGAAAAAAAATAAAAAGAAATGAACAAAGCCTCCAAGAAATATGGGACTATGTGAAAAGACCAAATCTACGTCTGATTGGTGTACCTGAAAGTGACGGGGAGAATGGAACCAAGTTGGAAAACACTCTGCAGGATATTATCTAGGAGAACTTCCCCAATCTAGCAAGGCAGGCCAACATTCAGATTCAGGAAATACAGAGAATGCCACAAAGATACTCCTCAAGAAGAGCAACTCCAAGACGCATAATTGTCAGATTCACCAAACTTGAAATGAAGGAAAAAATCTTAAGGGCAGCCAGAGAGAAAGGTTGGGTTACCCATAAAGGGAAGCCCATCAGACTAACAGCTGATCTCTCGGCAGAAACTCTACAAGCCAGAAGACAGTGGGGGCCAATATTCAACATTCTTAAAGAAAAGAATTTTCAAGCCAGAATTTCATATCCAGCCAAACTAAGTTTCATAAGTGAAGAAGAAATAAAATACTTTACAGACAAGCAAATGCTGAGAGATTTTGTCACCACCAGGCCTGCCCTAGAAGAGCTCCTGAAGGAAGCACTAAACATGGAAAGGAACAACCGGTACCAGCCACTGCAAAATCATGCCAAATTGTAAAGACCATTGAGGCTAGGAAGAAACTGCATCAACTAACAAGCAAAATAACCAGCTAACATCATAATGACAGGATCAAATTCACACATAACAATATTAACTTTAAGTGTAAATGGGCTAAATGCTCCAATTAAAAGACACAGACTGCCAAATTGGATAAAGAGTCAAGACCCATCAGTGTGCTGTATTCAGGAAACTCATCTCACGTGCAGAGACACACATAGGCTCAAAATAAAGGGATGGAGGAACATCTACCAAGCAAATGGAAAACAAAAAAAGGCAGGGGTTGCAATCCTAGTCTCTGATAAAACAGACTTTAAACCAACAAAGATCAAAAGAGACAAAGAAGGCCATTACATAATGGTAAAGGGATCAATTCAACAAGAAGAGCTAACTATCCTAAATATATATGCACCCAATACAGGAGCACCCAGATTCATAAAGCAAGTCCTGAATGACCTACAAAGAGACTTAGACTCCCACACAATAATAATGGGAGACTTTAACACCCCACTGTCAACATTAGACAGATCAACGAGACAGAAAGTTAACAAGGATACCCAGGAACTGAACTCAGCTCTGCACCAAGCAGACCTAATAGACATCTAAAGAACTCTCCACCCCAAATCAACAGAATATACATTTTTTTCAGAACCACACCACACCTATTCCAAAATTGACCACATACTTGGAAGTAAAGCTCTCCTCAGCAAATGTAAAAGAACAGAAATTATAACAAACTGTCTCTCAGACCACAGTGCAATCAAACTAGAACTCGGGATTAAGAAACTCACTCAAAACCGCTCAACTACATGGAAACTGAACAACTTGCTCCTGAATGACTACTGGGTACATAATGAAATGAAGGCACAAATAAAGATGTTCTTTGAAACCAACGAGAACAAAGACACAACATACCAGAATCTCTGGGACACATTCAAAGCAGTGTGTAGAGGGAAATTTATAGCACTAAATGCCCACAAGAGAAAGCAGGAAAGATCCAAAATTGACACCCTAACATCACAATTAAAAGAACTAGAAAAGCAAGAGCAAACACATTCAAAAGCTAGCAGAAGGCAAGAAATAACTAAAATCAGAGCAGAACTGAAGGAAATAGAGACACAAAAAACCCTTCAAAAAATTAATGAATCCAGGAGCTGGTTTTTTGAAAGGATCAGCAAAATTGATAGACCGCTAGCAAGACTAATAAAGAAGAAAAGAGAGAAGAATCAAATAGATGCAATAAAAAATGATAAAGGGGATATCACCACCGATCCCACAGAAATACAAACTACCATCAGAGAATACTACAAACACCTCTATGCAAATAAACTAGAAAATCTAGAAGAAATGGATAAATTCCTCGACACATACACCCTCCCAAGACTAAACCAGGAAGAAGTTGAATCTCTGAATAAACCAATAACAGGCTCTGAAATTGTGGCAATAATCAATAGCTTACCAACCAAAAAGAGTCCAGGACCAGATGGATTCAGAGCCGAATTCTACCAGAGGTACAAGGAGGAACTGGTACCATTCCTTCTGAAACTATTCCAATCAAAAGAAAAAGAGGGAATCCTCCCTAACTCATTTTATGAGGCCAGCATCATCCTGATACCAAAGTCGGGCAGAGACACAACCAAAAAAGAGAATTTTAGACCAATATCCTTGATAAACATTGATGCAAAAATCCTCAATAAAATACTGGCAAACCAAATCCAGCAGCACATCAAAAAGCTTATCCACCATGATCAAGTGGGCTTCATCCCTGGGATGCAAGGCTGGTTCAATATACGCAAATCAATAAATGTAATCCAGCATATAAACAGAACCAAAGACAAAACCACATGATTATCTCAATAGATGCGGAAAAGGCCTTTGACAAAATTCATGCTAAAAACTCTCAATAAATTAGGTATTGATGGGAAGTATCTCAAAATAATAAGAGCTATCTATGACAAACCCACAGCCAATATCATACTGAATGGGCAAAAACTGGAAGCATTCCCTTTGAAAACTGGCACAAGACAGGGATGCCCTCTCTCACCACTCCTATTCAACATAGTGTTGGAAGTTCTGGCCAGGGCAATTAGGCAGGAGAAGGAAATAAAGGGTATTCAATTAGGAAAAAAGGAAGTCAAATTGTCCCTGTTTGCAGATGACATGATTGTATATCTAGAAAACCCCATTGTCTCAGCCCAAAATCTCCTTAAGCTCATAAGCAACTTCAGCAAAGTCTCAGGATACAAAATCAATGTACAAAAATCACAAACATTCTTATACACCAATTACAGACAAACAGACAGCCAAATCATGAGTGAACTCCCATTCACAATTGCTTCAAAGAGAATAAAATACCTAGGAATCCAACTTACAAGGGATGTGAAGGACCTCTTCAAGGAGAACTACAAACCACTGCTCAAGGAAATAAAAGAGGATACAAACAAATGGAAGAACATTCCATGCTCATGGGTAGGAAGAATCAATATCATGAAAATGGCCATACTGCCCAAGGTAATTTATAGATTCAATGCCATCCCCATCAAGCTACCAATGACTTTCTTCAAAGAATTGGAAAAAACTACTTTAAAGTTCACATGGAATCAAAAAAGAACCCGCATCACCAAGTCAATCCTAAGCCAAAAGAACAAAGCTGGAGGCATCATGCAACCTGACTTCAAACTATACTACAAGGCTACAGTAACCAAAACAGCATGGTACTGGTACCAAAACAGAGATATAGATCAATGGAACAGAACAGAGCCCTCAGAAATAACACCGCATATCTACAACTATCTGATCTTTGACAAACCTGAGAAAAACAAGCAATGGGGAAAGGATTCCCTATTTAATAAATGGTGCTGGGAAAACTGGCTAGCCATATGTAGAAAGCTGAAACTGGATCCCTTCCTTACACCTTATATGAAAATTAATTCAAGACGGATTAAAGACTTAAACTTTAGACCTAAAACCATAAAAACCCTAGAAGAAAACCTAGGCATTACCATTCAGGACATAGGCATGGGCAAGGACTTCACGTCTAAAACACCAAAAGCAATGGCAACAAAAGCCAAAATTGACAAATGGGATCTAATTAAACTAAAGAGCTTCTGCACAGCAAAAGAAACTACCATCAGAGTGAACAGGCAACCCACAAAATGGGAGAACACTTTTGCAACCTACTCATCTGACAAAGGGCTAATATCCAGAATCTACAATGAACTCAAACAAATTTACAAGGAAAAAACAAACAACCCCATCAAAAAGTGGGTGAAGGACATGAACAGACACTTCTCAAAAGAAGACATTTATGCAGCCAAAAAACACATGAAAAAATGCTCATCATCACTGGCCATCAGAGAAATGCAAATCAAAACCACAATGAGATACCATCTCACACCAGTTAGAATGGCAATCATTAAAAAGTCAGGAAACAACAAGTGCTGGAGAGGATGTGCAGAAATAGGAACACTTTTACACTGTTGGTGGGACTGTAAACTAGTTCAACCATTGTGGAAGACAGTGTGGCGATTCCTCAGGGATCTAGAACTAGAAATACCATTTGACCCAGCCATCCCATTATTGGGTATATACCCAAAGGACTATAAATCATGCTGCTATAAAGACACATGCACACGTATGTTTATTGCGGCACTATTCACAATAGCAAAGACTTGGAACCAACCCAAATGTCCAACAATGATAGACTGGATTAAGAAAATGTGGCACATATACACCATGGAATACTATGCAGCCATAAAAAATGATGAGTTCATGTCCTTTGTAGGGACATGGATGAAACTGGAAATCATCATTCTCAGTAAACAGTCAACTATCACAAGAACAAAAAACCAAACACCGCATATTCTCACTCATAGGTGGGAACTGAACAATGAGAACACATGGACACAGGAAGGGGAACATCACACTCTGGGGACTGTTGTGGGGTGGGGGGAGTAGGGAGGGATAGCATTAGGAGATATACCTAACGCTAAATGACGAGTTAATGGGTGCAGCACACCAGCATGGCACATGTATACATATGTAACTAACCTGCACATTGTGCACATGTACTCTAAAACTTAAAGTATAATAATAATAAAAAAAAGAAAGAAAAATATATATATATATATTTAAAAAAAGGAAACAAGTTTATCAAGCCTAATGTTTCATAACTGCTAAGTGGCAGAACCAGGATAAAGTTTAATTTCTTTTCTCTGCCATTTTGGTTGCAAGTGACCACTCTAGTTTTATTCTCTTCCCATAAAACCCTCCATTTCAGCTCAACTTGCCATTCTTCCCTGTTGTTTCTTGCTGCACTCCACTCCCCCATGTTTTCCAAGTCTTTTTCAGTGTTCAGCTCAAATCCAATCTGCTCATTGAAATCCTCCATGATCCCCAACACACTCTTCTTCCATGAAATTCTAGATGCTCCTCTAATTTTCCACTTAGCACATATTGTCATAACTGCTGTCTTTCCAAGCCAAAATGGAACAATAATGGGGAGAGACCAGCCTGTATGTGAATCCATTTGCTCCTGAGCTGAATGACATTGGTGTCTTACCTTCTGTAGTCCTTCACACTGTATTCAGAGGAATGCTTCTGTTAAAACAAACTAAATATGGCCTGAGAAGGACTCTGTACTTCTATATTTGAGTCCTTGTGGATGAACTGCAAGCTAACTTAATAGGTAGACAAGACTGAAAACCTAACTTCGGAGTATGTGCCCCTAACAATCACTGAGTCTTGGCCAATCCCAGCAGCCATACTTCAACCAGTCATAGACTGCTGAGTGTTCAAACTGTGTTCAAATAAGGCAGACGTCAAGCTGTAACCAATCCATCTGTTTCTGTACCTCACTTCCGATTTCTGTATGTCACTTTACTTTTTTTGTCTATAAATTTGTTCTGACCACAAGGCACCCCTGGAGTGTCTTTGAATCTGCTGTGATTCTGGGGGCTGGCCAACTCACGAATCGTTCATTGCTCAATTAAACTCCTTTAAATTTAATTCGGCTGAAGTTTTTCTTTTAACACTTCTAAATTGCAAATCTAATTATACGATTACCATGCTTAAGACTTTTCAATGACTCCCTATTATTTACAAAATCCAAATGTCTACCCTTAACATATAAGGCTCTTATGATCTAAGCCTTGCCCATTATTTCATTTTCGCTCTAGCCATCACATCACACTCCACTCCACAATATCCTGCATTCCAGTCATGATGAACTATTGGCGATTTCTAAGTGCCCTGTGACCCTTCTGAGCCCTATGCCTCTACACATGCTCTATTATCAGTGAGGAGACCATTATAGAAGACTCCAGCTCACCCTGGCTGATACAACAAGGACGATGATAACATTGTGTCATAGGAACGTGAAAAGTAGGGAAGCTGTCCAGCAACTCCACAATGCCATCAAAGACCCAGGATCTTTGCATCTGTTTGCTTTGCCATCCTCAGAAAATGTGATTTGTCCTCAGGTTGGCTCCCTTCATAATCACAACATGGCTGTGGCAGGTTTAAGCATTCCTTCCCAGCACAGCAATGCCTAGAGACAAAAATAAAAAATAAAAATAAAAGAGCTACCTCTTCCAACGTTTCCCTCTTAAGGTCAAGAGACATTTCCAAAGCCCTCCCAGCAGACTTTTTCTTATATCTCACTGGCCAGAACTGGTTCATATGCCCACTTCCCTAAGCTAATCAAACAAGAGGAATGGGCCTATCATAATTATCTTAGACCAATCAGTGCTTATTCCTTATTCCTAAAGGCAGGGATAGAGTCACTCTCCCTTGGGTCAAGTAGAGGAGGGGACACTTGAGCAAAATCTCAACTCTGCCAAAAGGAAGGTAATTGGTATTGGGTGGGCAGGCAGAGGTATCTGCCACACTGCTGTTACTGCCTTATCCTTCTTGTCTACTAGGCAAACTCCTTCTTATCCTTTAAGACTCAGCTCAAATATTACCTCTTTCAGGAAGCCTTCTCTGATATAACCAAGCAGAATTGAATTCTTCTTCTTCTGATCCCCCATATTACTGGGTTCATACCTCTATGATAGCACTTATTACATAGCTATAATTCTGCTACCTTTAGAAAAGGTGAAACCTTGGAAGAAAGCACTATTTTCTATTAATATTTGAGTCTAACTTTGTTGAAGGAAAGAGAAGGGAAAAGAGGAAGAAAGGAAGGAAAGAAAAAAGGAAAAGAACCTCTCTCTCAGACTGTTCATCTGCAAAATAGGGATAATTTTACTTTCTAATTGTTGCAAAGATTAAATAGAATAATATACAGAAAGCACTCAATAGAGTTCTAACACACAGAATCCTACATATTTTTTTAACAACACGGACCTTATTTTGTATTTTTTCATACTATCCTGCCATCCTTTACACACATTTCCTAGAACAACACTTTGTACAAGTATAGTTGCTCAATAAATATGTTAGTAGTTTACCTCAATCTAAAAATAAATTGCAGATTACTGAACAAATTAAGCAACCAGCTCAGTTTGCCATATCTTGCTTTCCTTTATTAGATTCCCTTAAAAAATTTTAATAACATTTCCTAAATTTTCTATTAACAGAACTCTTAATAGAAGCTTTCCTGCAATCATCCAAAACCTTAGATCTGCACTCTCCCCTTCGGCAACCTTTCACTAGACACTCTTGTTCTACACTCTACTCTCATCAGTATTCTGGGCTTCATTTCAGATCTGTCCTTCTGAGGTATGCCTCCCTCCCCTTCCTAACACTTCTTTGTTGCTAAAAATAAGTGATGTCCCTTCAGAGCAAAAACACTTGGCAAATCAGTTAGCTTTTATAGGTACAGCTTTATACTGGTCTCTGTGAGATTGGGGAATGGATGAATTAAATAAAGGAAGAAGCTCACCACCATCTTCTTCTCTCCATGTACTCCTGCATTCCTCAAAGGAGTTTACAAAACCCGTGTAAAAATAGTAATGCCACACTCATCAAAAATGCACAGCTAAAGGATGCTAACTGAGACTTTGCAGAATGCTAAACAGTAAATAAAACAGCCAGCTCAGAAGATCACCAGAAAACATTTTGAGGAAGCATTTAATTAAAGGGCCCCAGGCCTAACTCAACAAAGTAGAGCTGTTGGTGATGATGATTTAACAACCACGCTTTTCCAAGGAAAACCGGAGCATATAACATAGCCAATTTCCTTTAGATTACAATGAATATCTTTTGGACTTCTCTTACCTAAATTATCTCTTGGTATGACACTGTCAGCTTGGGTTCTACCTGTACTCAGTTCCTTATATATCCTGTGTTGCTGTTTGATATTAACCCTGAAAGTAGCATTGATATATTACCTAAAATATCCTTTTCACCTATTATTCAACTACTTTGACATACTCTATTTCCCTACAAGTGAAAATTTTCTATTAACTATGTTTAATAATCCTTACAACTGGTATATGTATAAATAAATATATTCATGTGGATGGATCCATATGTTCATGAGTATCAAGGCATGAACATATTGCATACATGTATATACTCATGCACAAATTTGTATATGTACATAACCGAAAGTGAATGTACCTGAAAACGAAATGTGGTTTGACCACTTTGCACTTCTGAAACTCATCTCTGGAGTTGCACTGTCCTAATTTCTTTGAATGAAAGTAGTGAAATTGCAGCACAAACTAAAATTGCTTAGAGGCCTAAATTTAAAGGTAACTAGCTCAATTTAGTACTCAATTAATGCTACTCTGTTTAATCTGTTGGCAATTGTGTCAACCTGCTTGTCAACTACTATCTTCTGATTTTTTTTTAACCTCACCTCAAAAACCATTCTACATTCTCTTTATTTTCTTGAGTTCATACCAAGCTCCCTACCTGCTATTCAGTATTTCATACATATCCTTAGGGCCATGGTTCTCAAAACCTGATTTCTAGGCCTCTGGTTATTAGTCGTGGTGGCGGGTGCCTGTAGTCCCAGCTACTTGGGAGGCTGAGGCAGGAGAATGGCGTGAACCCGGTAGGCGGAGCTTGTAGTGAGCCGAGATCACGCCACTGCACTCCAGCCTGGGTGACAGAACGAGACTCCGTCTCAAAAAACAAACAAAAAGCTTCTTTAGATGTATAAATAGTTCAAAGAATGAGTCATACAAAAATGGAGATGGGGAATGGTGAAGAATTAGAAGTATTCTCTAATGTAGATTGATATTATCATAGAATCACAGAACAGAAAGAGTAGGTCAAAATCCCAACAATGTTATAATTGATGGGGTATCCAGCTATTAACTTACTATCTTCAGTGCTGGGAAACTGATAGCCATCCAAAAGCATGCCTTCCAATCATAACAATGCTGTCTCATACATCAAGATAATAACTGTCTTCCTGTAGTTTCTACCATTCAAATATTTATCATAAGCCTAGTAGAGTGACTAATCTATAGTAGCTAACCATTGAGCCACTGACCCCTTTGAGAATCTAATAAAAATGATGGGCCCTGTTCATAGAAAACTACACATGAAAAACAATTTTTCTCACAATTTCAGAAAGCTTGCAAGTTATGTGAAGCCCCTTCATCCACGGACCCCCAGGTAAAGACTCCCTCACTCCTGTTTTTTACTGAGTAGAGAAATGGAGAGATAAGCCATGGTTTCCTCCCTCAAGGACCTTACTTTCTAATAGCAAATGCATGTGAAACAGTTAATAGTAATAAGGCAGGATATGGTTAAGTACTAATCATACACTGAGAGACAGAAAATTCTACTTCTGACAACACAGCAAGATAAAATTCTTGCAAATGGCCACTGTACACTCACATTCCATAATGGAGATAAAGTCTTTGTTGAGTTCTCAGAAGCATCATCTGACAGCACAGCACCAGGGAGCAGAAGAAGGTTCTGGTCATGGCCTGGTACATGGTACTTAACAAATTTTTAATGAATAAATAAACAACCATTTACTTATCAGTTGTTTAAAATGCTCCCTGACCTTCCTGAGAAGAAAGTTGAAAAAAACAATAAAATAATTTAACTACCTCCAAGCTTCTTTAGGAACAGCATTTCCATTTATCCCACCACTTAATCCAAAAATGTCAGTCTTTCTAAACTCAAAATAAAACTCTATGAGACATGTTTTAGATGAGTGGGAAAGGTTAAAAGAAATGTGTCCAAAGTTACAAAAACAACACTGCAGAATAGAATCCAGAAGGTTCTCATTCCAATGGGATCTCAAGAAGGAACCACTGGTACTTCCATTTTAATGTCTTAATAATGACATCTTCTAACAGAATAATTGGACAGCTTTAAGAAAGTGGTTAATTTTCTCTGAAATCCAGATGTTACCCTGCTTTCTTTATATGGGGAGACCTTGAAGATTGGGTAAGGAAATACCATCAAATAAGGTAACAGGAAAAATGGCCAGTTCATAATCTTTTTTTTTTTTTTTTTTTTTTTTTTTGAGATGGAGTCTCGCTCTGTCACCCAGGCTGGAGTGCAGTGGCGTGATCTCGGTTCACTGCAAGCTCCGCCTCCCGGGTTCACACCATTCTCCTGCCTCAGCCTCCCGAGTAGCTGGGACTACAGGTGCCCACCACCACGCCCAGCTAATTTTTTTGTATTTTTAGTAGAGACGGGGTTTCACCATGTTAGCCAGGATGGTCTCAATCTCCTGACCTTGTGATCTGCCCGCCTCGGCCTCCCAAAGTGCTGGGATTACAGGTGTGAGCCACCACGCCCGGCCCATAATCATTTCTATTTGCTCTCAAAATTGCTCTGTAATGAAACACAAAATATTTTATTCTAACCAGGATTGTTGTTCTTTTGTTCTTCACATGCATATTATGTATTATAAAGATGGTTTTGTTTGGTGTCATTTTGCTTAAGTAAAAGGATTTTAACTGAAGGCAAAATCTTGCAAGAGAGTCAAAGGAGTTAACACTCTACCAACTATAAGTGAAATATATAGCTTCATTTAACTCCTTATAATGTCTTTTCCCAGATAAATCAAAGAATTAATGTAATATAAAGAGGGATCAGAATGTATGAGTTCAGGTCCCAGCTCTACCATCTAATCATTACATGGCCTCAAATCAAATCAAATCAGACTGAGGTCAGTCTGAGCCTCAGTTTTGCCACCAGTAAAATAAAACTGATAGGATAATAAGACTTGCTTCATTGCCCTCCATGGTTGAATTGAGGTTTTTGTGAGATTATTCACACGAAGATAGTCCTTTAAAACTCTGTATCAGTGTTGAGACAATATAGTTTCACCCAGAAGAGATGCTTAGTTGGTTAAGTTAGATCTACTGGGATAGTTGGATCTACCTCCACCCGTGTAGTATCAGAGCCTTAGGGGTCAAATTGGAGTAGTGGGTATAGGAGTTAAGATCACTGCCACACATACTTCTCCTTCACCTTCTACTGTACCTCAGCCCAGCACTACTAGGATCCTAACTAGCTAAACAGCATCTGAGTTGCCCCTAATTTCATGAACATTCAAAGCTATTTTGGGGAAAGGTAAGACACATTTAATTACTTTTCCAAAGTCTGACGGCAGACTAAAAACAGCAACTGAATTCAGCAACTCCAGGGTTCCAGTTTGTTACTCAATAGCCAATTAATTGTTATTAATGTATACTACGATATAAGTATATCCTTATGACACAGTTGATAAACGAACTTGATACAAGGGGAAAACAATCTATATTTTTTAAATTAACATTTACAGAGTCAGGAGAGTTCAGAAAAACAGCAATTCAAAAGTGTCATCCTGAACAGATGGTTGCACTCTACATGCTATCTCTGAAGGAGATTTTTTTCAAAGTAAATAGAAACAAATGTTTTGGTGCATTGTGTACCAAAATACATATCTTACGAGAACCATTTTCCAGGATGAGATGAGTTTCTTATTAATCACGTTTTTATGACAAAGACAAAAACTGATTTTGGAGCTAGTTTAAGACATTCACTGTTACTTTATGATTAAATTACTATTAATAGATAATATGTTTAGTTACTTCTAAGATATTTAACACATTTCATTTTAAATCTGCCCATTCTGTCCTCTTGTCCCCTCCTCCACCCCTATTTAGTTTCCAACAACCTTAAGCCAAAAAGGGAGTTTGTCTCTCTTTAAAATATTCCTTTAACATCCAATAAAATATGAATGTCTTTAAGGAACAATACACATTGTTCTTTCATTAACTCATTTCTTCAATAAACATATTTCAAGGATCAACACTGTGAAAGGGAAAAGTACTTATGAGCCCCAATTCTGTCACTGATAATATGACATTAAAGACATCTCATAACTATTCCTTGCCTAAGTCAGCCATTATAATATTTGACCTGCCCACCTGACAAACCCTTGTATGAATGCTCATTCATTCATTCATTCAGCAAATATTCACTGAGCCCCTACTCTGTGCTGCTCACTGGCATGGTGCTGCAGATCTGGTAGTAAACAAAACAGACATGAGCCTGACTTCATGATTTCAGTCTATGAGAATTAACAAAAGGGAACAAAAACAAAAGGTTCTATTTGAACAGGAAGAGTCAGAGAAAGACATTCTAACTTGGAGACTTGAGGATGTAGCCTCCTTTTACCCAAGCTACTGGTAAGTAGAGAAATGGTATAGATTACAAGAGAAAAACGTAATTAAATGTGCAAAAACACCTCATCACTGCTTCATATCTATGTTGGCTCAAAATATGAGCTAAAAATACAATCCAGAAGTTTCTTCCTTCCTCTAGGTGTGCTTTTTCCCCCTACAATAGCTCATAGTGACTTTTTTTTTTGAAGGGAGGTATTATGCTATAAATGTAAAGACATTACTTTAAACACAAATGCACAAACAAAAGCAGCACTCTAAACAACACAGGAAAATGTGACATCTTCTCTAGTCCAGTATTTCCCCAAATATGGTATGTAGACCACTGAAAGACATGAAATCATTTTAGGTGGTACATAAAGCTTTCTTAATAGTTATGTGTTTATTTTAATGTGTATCAGAAATAAAATATACTCTGAATATAAAAAACATTATTTCACTGATATTTGGGCTTAGTATGAGGCTGAAGTAGGTAGCACTGTAATCGTTTCCTTTACGTAGCCCACATGAATTACAGGGGCAGGGCTCAGGCGTGCCTATGAATGTTTTCAGCCTTCTGCCATAATTTTAGAGCATAAGTGCTATTAGTACAAGTATACTAGCAATTGAATCTCACATCCTGTTCCATGTGTATTGCTGCAATCTTGTCTAGGATAAGCCATTTGTTACTGTAAATAACAATAGTTCCAGAAACGGACTTGGGAAAGGACTCACTGGCTCAGTTTAGGTCATGTGTCCATTAAAGCAACATTGTGGCCAGTGGGATGAGGTTCTTAAATAGGCCAGGCCTCAGCTTTGTTGCCCCTTCTGCAATCTGGGGTTGGGGGTAACCCTACCTGAACCATACGGATAAACAATAGAGGAGATGTGGTTCCACAAAAGAAAACAGAGGGACTGCTCCACATTTGTATAATGAGGATAGTATCTCTTAAATCATAGTACTGAGGTGAGGACTAAATGAAATAAAGTATATATTGCCTGATGGATACAATGAGTGGCCCAAAATAAGTGCTCAACAAATGGTGGTACTAGGAGTAATAATAATTTTTATTATAGTTTGTAAATAGGATGATTTTTGTTGTTGTTATAGTAGTAATTTTCTAAAACAGTTTTAGGGTCATATTTGTTATCTTAATTATTTTTTCAGCCTACAAATGAAGGATAATTATTTGAATATAATCTTTGCAGAGCCATTATGTAAAGGTGGCACTTCCTCCAATTATATCCTTAATTTGTTTATTATCTCCATGCCTAATCAAGGTACTCTGAATTACCACAATAAAATTTTCTATATCTCACCAAACAGCTTTTTGCTTCGCTCTTAAGTGACACATAGTTTAATCATGACATAATCTTATTTAAATAATTACTGAACCAATAGTGTTAATAATACATTTGCAACAATAAGTTGCAATATATTTTTCATAGAATCCATATGATTTTGTGAGTTAATTTAGTATAAAACTTACATGAGTTTCAAAATTAAAAGTGGTGATATTAAAAAAACAATAATATTAGCAGGAACTTAGTAATGTTGCTAGAATCTTTATTTTTTAAAAGTACATAATGTGGTCAGAAAGAAGAGTTAAAACAAACATAAAGACTAAAACATAACAAAATAAAATCATTTCTCCCCCTTTGGATCAAGAATATTACTGTGTGTATCCTTTAAATAACACAGTTAGTTGAAGATTTATGATAGACTAGCATAAATTCAAAAGTTAACCAAAATATTTATAGTAAAACGATATATGAATAACATATATTTGCTTCATAATATTATGAGTAAAGATTATCATCAGCCAGGCGTCGTGGCTCACGCCTGCCCAGCACTTTGAAAGGCTGAGGCGGGTGGATCACCTGAGGTCAGGAGTTCAAGACCAGCCTGGCCAACATGGTGAAACTCCGCCTCTAGTAAACATAACAAAAAACGAAAAACAAAAATTAGCCGGGCGTGGTGGTGGGCACCTGTAATCCCAGCTACTCGGGAGGCTGAGGCAGTTGAATCACTTGAACCTGGGAAGTGGAGATTGCAGTGAGGCAAGATCGCGCCATTGTACTCCAGCCTGGGTGACAAGAGTGAAACTCTGTCTCAAAAAATAAATAAATAAAATTTCATCTATTAAGATTATTGCCGAGTGTTGTGGCTCACGCCTGTAATCCCAGCACTCTGGGAGGCTGAGGCGGGCAGATTGCCTGAGGTTAGGAGTTCGAGACCAGCCTGGACAACATGGTGAAACCCCATCTCTACTAAAAATACAAAAATTAGCCGGGCACAGTGGTGCATGCCTGTAATCCTAGCTACTTGGGAAGCTGAGGCAGGAGAATTGCTTGAACCCAGAAGGCAGAGGTTGCAGTGAGCCGAGATCACGCCATTGCACTCCAGCCTGGGTAACAAGATGAAACGCCATCTTAAAAAAATATATATATATATTATGAAAAATACATAGGCAAATATAAAGCATTGAATAAGTTTCTTTAATATATTGGGTCCTCAGCAAAATATAAAATATAAATCCTACCAATTTTAAAATGTAGACATGGTATACTTATTTTACCTTCATTTGTGTAAAACTTAACAGAACTCAAGAGAAATAAGACAAAGGTAAGTGAAATATTGTCTAAATATCATAAATTAAAAATATTCTAGAATAGTCATAGAGGAATTAAAATCCTAGGACTAAGTGAGGTAATAACTTCTGATATTAAAAAATATAAAAGTGATTGCCAAAAGAAACAAAGAATTGAGTTTACCTTAAAGTTAAATCCTATTCAGACTGTCAAATAAATTAAATGATATATTAGCAGAAATGACCAAATTCCTATCTACACATAGCGAAGGCAGCTGAAAAAGCTCCCTGGGGACAAAGCCATTTCTGTTTGTGGCTTTTTTATGTTCCAGTGCTTCCTTACACTGAATCAGTTTCTTACAAAAACATCAAACACCAAAATGCATGTCTATAGTATATACTTTAGTAGAAATATAAATGCATGTGGCTTTCTACCAAAAACCTCAAATGAATTAAGACAGGCATTAGAGTTTTGCTTTTAGTAAAGAGAACTATGAGTTCCTTTTTCTTAGAATTTTTGCATCTATATTCATGAGGAATATTAGTTTGTAATTTTCTTTTATTGTAATGTCTTTGTCTGGTTCTGGTATCAGGCTAATGCTGGCCTCATAGAATGAAGTCAGAAGTATTTCCTTCTCTTCAATTTTCCAGACAAGAAATGTTATTTTTTCTTCCTTAAAAGTTTAGTAAAATTCTCAGTGAAGCCACCTGGGCTTCACTGTCATTCTCTTCATGGAAAGTTTTTAACTATAAATTCAATTTCTTTAATAAATATAGGATTATTCAGGCTATCTATTTCTTCTTGAGTAAGCTTTGTTAGTTTGAGTCTTTTAGAATGAATTTGTCCATTTAATCTAAATTGTTGAATTTATTGGCATAAAGTTGTTCAAAATATTCCCTCATCCCTATTAATATCAGTGTAATCTGTAGTGGCGTAACTTCTCTCATTATTGATATTGGTAATTTGTGTCCTATATATTTTCCTTTTCATTCTGGCTAGAGATTTAGCAGTTTTACTTATCTTCTTAAAAAGCAGTTTTTTATTTCATTGATTTCCCTCTACTGTTTTGTTTAATATTTCACTGATATCTGTTCTGAAACATTCTGGTATGTTATTATTTCCTCCCTTTTTCATACTTTGAGAGTTTAACTTACTCCTCCAGTCCTCCTCCTCCTTTTTTCTCCTTCCTTCTCTTTTCCTTTTTTTAAGTGATAGGGTCTCACTGTATTGCCCAGGCTGGACTGCAGTAGCTATTCACAGGCATGATCACACAGTGGCCTCAAACTACTGGGCTCAAGCGATCCTCCTTCCTGAGCCTCCTGAGTAGCTGAGATTATAGGCATGCAAGACTGCACCTAGCTTCTTCCAGTTTCTTAAAATGGAAAGTTAGGTTATTAATTTGAGACCTTTCTTTAATGCTATAAATTTTCCTGTAAGTACTGCTCTATCAGCATCCTGCAAATTTTAGTATATGTTCACTTTCATTTAGTTCAAATATTCTCTACATTATCTTTTGATTTCTTCTTTGATTATGGTGACTAAGAAGTATGCTATTTAGTTTTTTAAAATTTGGAGATCTTCCGTACATCTTTCTGTTGCTTATTTCTCATTTAATACCATTGTGGTTAGAAAACATACTTTGTATGGTTTTAATTTTTAAATGTGTAAAAATGTGTTTTATGGTCTAGAATATATGCTTGAAAAGAACATGTATTCTGTCCCTCGTGAGTAAGGTGTTTTATAAATGTCATTGAGGGAAGTCTAGTTGATAGTGGTTTTCAAGTCATTTATATTTTTACTAATTTTCCATTTATTTATTTTATGAATCACTGGGAAAGCAGTGTTGATCATTCCAACTATAAATGTGTATTTCTCCTTTAATTTCTGTCCGTTTTTGTTGTATACATTTTGAGTCTGTGTAATTAGGTGCATAAATGTTTTGAATTATTATTTCTTCTTGATGAATTTCTCCTTCCATCATTATGAAATTACATTCTTCATCCTTGGTGATAGTCTTTGCTGTGAAATTTACTTTCTCTGATATTAGCCACTCCAGCTTTCTTTTGATAAGTGTTAGCATGGTATATCTTTTTTTGTCTTTCTACTTTTAAACTCAACTCTGTTTCTTGTAGACAGCATATATTTTTTATTGTTTTTTATTCAATCTGATAATATCTGCCTTTTAATCAGAGTGTTTATCCCATGTACATTTAAGGTTAACCATTGATATGGTTAAATAAGTCTAACATCATGCTATTCATTTTCTATTTGTTCTATTATTTTATCTCTTCTCTTTTTCAGCATACTTTTGGATTATTTTTATTATTCCACTTTATCTCCTTTGTTTATTATCTATAACTTTTGTTTTGCTATTTTAGTAGTTGCTTTAGGGTTTATAGTATACATCTTTAACCTATCACAGTGTAACTTCAAGTGATACTGGTTTATATAGAAGATCCCTAAATTATATACTTCCATTTCTCCCCCCTACTTTTTTTGTCATATATTTACTTATGCTGTAAACTCCATTTTGTCATATATTTTACTTATAATATTCACTCCACGGCACATTATATGGTTGGTGCAAAAGTAATTGCAGCTTTTACTATTAAAAGTAATGGCAAAACCTAAAAATCGAAATTGCTTTTGCACAACCTAATATTATTTGTTGTCTTTTAAAGAGGTTTAAATAAGAAACGTAGTTGTCATTTCTGGTGTTCTTTATTTCTTTCTGTAGGTACCTATTTCCACTGGTGCTATTTTACTTCTGCCTGAAAGACTTTCTTTAGAATTTCTAGGAGTACAGGTCTACTGCTGATAAATAATTCTGTCTTCTATGTGTGAAAAAGTGATTATTTTGTCTAGATTTTTGAGAGAGATTTTCTCTGGGTATATAATTCTAGGTTGAAAGTATTTTTCTTTTGGTATTTTTCAGATATTGATCCAGTCTTATCATTTGTAGCATTTCCAAAGAGAAATTGGTTTTAATCCTTATCTTTTTTCTCTGTACATAATGCATCCTTATTCCATAGCTGTTTGTAAGATTTACTCTTTATCATTGGTTTTGAGCAGTTTCATTATAATGAGACTTAGTGTAGTTTTCTTCAAATTTCTTGTGATTGGGGTTCACCATTGATATGGTTTGGCTCTGTGTCCCCACCCAAATATCACCTTGAATTATAATAATCCCCACATGTCATGGGAGGGACCTGGTGAGAAGTAATTGAATCATGGGGGTGGGTCTTTCCCACGCTGTTCTCATGATAGTAAGTTTCATGAGATCTGATAGTTTTATAAAGGGGAGTTCCCCTGCACAAGTTGTCTCTTGCCTGCTGCCATGTAAGATGTGACTTTGCTCCTCATTTACCTTCTGCCATGATTGTGAGGCCTCCACAGCCATGTGGAACTGTGAGTCAATTAAACCTCTTTCCTTTATAAATTAACTAGTCTCAGGTATGTCTTTATTAGCAGCATGAGAACAGACTAATGCAACCATGATCCTTGGATCTATGGATTTGTAGTTTTCATCAAAATTCAAAATTTTTATTATTTCTTTATTGACTCTTATTTTTTTCCTGATTTCCCTTTGGGAACTCTAATTATACATACATTAGCTGGCTTAAAGTTGTCCCTCACTGCTCTTTATTTTTAAACAGCTTTATTGAGATGTAATTCACATACCATGAAATTCATTCACTTAAAGTGTACATGTTAATGGTTTTTAGCATATTCAGAAAATTATGCAACCATCACTACTACATAATTTTAGAATGTTTTTATCACTGAGAAATCCCATACTCATATTTCATTAGTTTTCCATGGATACCACAACAAATTACTGCAAACTTAGTGGCTAAAGCAATACAAATGTATTATCTTGGACTTCTAGAGTCAGGAGTCTGAAATGGTCCCACTGGGCAAATACCAAAGTGTCTGCAAGGCTGCATTCCTTTCTGGAGGCTATAGAGAAAGACTCATTTCCTTGCCTTTCCTAGTTTCTAGAAGGCACCCACATTTCTGGGCTGATGACCCCCACTTCCTCCATCTGCAAAGCCAGGAACACTGTATCTAATTATTAACATTTTTCTCTCTGACAAATCCTGGGAGAAGTTCTCTAGTTTTTAACAATTCATGTGATTAAATATTCAAGTGGATAATTCAAGATAATCTTTTCATCTCAAGGCCTGTACACCTGATCACATCTGTAAAGTTCTTTTTGTCATGTAAGGTAACATATTCACAGGTTCTAGAAATAAAATGTGGACATCTTCTGCCTACCACACCCACTAGCAGAAACTCCCTCATCCTCCCCCTTTCCCACTCTAGGCAACCACTAATCCACTTTGTTTTTATAGATTTGCCTATTCTGGACATTTTATATAAATGGAATTATATAATACCTAGTCTTTTGTGCCTGGTTTCTTTCACTTAGCATAATGTTCTCAAGGTTTATCTATGTTGTAGTATGTATCAGCACTTCATTTCTTTTGGATAATATTTCATTGTATGGATATGCCACATTTTATTCATCAATTCATCAACTGATGGACATTTGGGTTGTTTCTACTTTTTGGCTTATGAATAATGCTGCTAAGAAGATTAAGTTTTTATGTGGACATATGTTTTCATTTTTATTGGGTATACAATTAGAAGTGGAATTGTTGTACTGTAAGGTATATTTAATTTTTTGAGGAACTATCAAACTGTTTTCCAGTTTGCTGGTAGGCAGTATCATTTTACATTCCTAGCAGCAATTGATGAGGGTTCCAGTTTCTCCACATCCTCAATAGAACTTAAAATTGTCTTCTTTTTTATTATAGCCATTCCAGTAAGTGTAAATTGGTATTTCACTGTGGTCTTGGTTTGCATTTCCTTACTAAGAATGTTGAGCATCTTTATATGTCATTACTAGCTATATGTATATCTTCTTTGGGGAAATGTCTGTCTATTCAGACCCTTTGTCCATTTTTAAATTGAGCTATTTATCTTTTTATTATTGAGTTATAAGAGTTATTTATATATTCTGGATACAGGTCCCTTAACAGGCATATAATTTAAAAATATTTTCTCCCAATAGGAACACTTTTACACTGTTGGTGGGAGTGTAAATTAGTTCAACCATTGTGGAAGACAGTGTGGCGATTCCTCAAGGATCTAGAACTAGAAATACCATTTGACCCAGCAATCCCATTACTGGGTATATACCCAAAGGATTATAAATCATGCTACTATGAAGACACATTCACACATATGTTTATTGTGGCACTATTCACAATAGCAAAGACTTGGAACCAACCCAAATGTCCATCAATGATAGACTGGATTAAGAAAATGTGGCACATATACACCACAGAATACTATGCAGCCATAAAAAAGATGAGTTCATGTCCTTTGCGGGGACATGGATGAAGCTGGAAACCATCATTCTGAGCAAACTATCACAAGGACAGAAAACCAAACACCACGTGTTCTCACTCATAGGTGGGAATTGAATGAGTACCCTTGGACACAGGGCGGGGAACATCACACACTGGGGCCTGTCAGGGGGTGGGGAGCTGGGGGAGGGATAGCATTAGGAGAAATACCTAATGTAAGTGATGAGTTGATGGGTGCAGTAAACCAACATGGTTTACATGTATACCTATGTAACAAACCTGCACGTTGTGCACATGTACCCTAGAACTTATAGTATAGTAAAAAAAATTTCTCCCATCTGTGGGTTGTCTTTTTACTTTCTTGATGGTGTCCTCTAAAGCATGAAGATTTTAACTTTGATGAAGTCCAACTTACCTATTTTTCTTTTGTCACTTGTACTTATTGCGTTGTATCTAAGAAACCAATTGCCCCAATAACAGGAAGATTTATTCCTATGGTTTCTTATGAGATTTTTTTTTTTTTTTTAGTTTTAGCTCTTAAATTTAGGTCTATGATCAATTTCGAGATATAATAATTTCAGCATTTGGTGTGAGGTAGAGGTTCGATTGATTCCTTAAAATGTAGGAATCTAGACTATTTTTTTCTCTGTCTGATTGTCTTGATATCCTTGTCAAAAATCAATTGACCATAAAAGTAAGGATTTCTTTCTGGACTCTTAATTCCATGCCATTGATCTATACATGTCTCTAAATAGCTTTCCTTGTGCCAGTATTACACTGGCTTCATTACTTTAGCTTCACAGTACATTTTAAAATCAGGAAGTGTGAGTCCTTAACTTTGTTCTTCTTTTTCAGTATTGTTTTGTCCATTCTGAGTCCCTTACAGTTTCACATGAATTTTAAGATCAGCCTGATAATTTTTTTAAAGCCAGCTGAGATTTGATAGAAATTGCACTGAATCTGTAGATCAACTTGTGGAGTATTGCTTTCTTAACATTATTAGTTAAGTCTTCTAACCCATTAACATGAGATGTCTTTCCAATTATTTGGATCCTCTTTAATTTATGTCAACAATATTTTGTAGTTTTTTTTTTTTGTTTTTGAGGCAGGGTCTTCTCTGTTACACAGGCTGGAGTGCAGTGACATGATCAGGAGTCACTTAGCCTTGACCTCCCTGGCTCATGTAGTCCTCCTACCTCAATCTTCCCAAGTAGCTGGTACTATAGGCATGTGCTACCACTCCTGGCTAATTTTTTAATTTTTTTGTAGAGACAGGGTCTCAACATGTTGCTCAGGCTGGTCTCAACTCTTAGGCTCAAGCAATCCTCCCACCTCAGCCTCCCAAAGTGCTGGGATTCAGGTGTGAGCCACTGCAGCTGGCCAAATTTTATAGTTTTGAATGTATTAGTCTTGCATTTCTTTTTCTAACTACTTTTTAAATTGATGAAAATTATATAAATTTATGGTGTACAACATGATGTTTTAAAACACATATATATCGTGGAATGGCGAAATCAAGCTAATTAACATGCATTACCTCACATACTTCCCATTTTTAGTGTGATGAGCACACTTAAAATCTACTATCTTAGCCATTTTCAAGTATACAATACATTGTTACCAACTATAGTCATCATGTTGGACACTAGCTCTCTTATATAAAAAGGATACACTAAGATCAAGTGAGATTTATCCCAGGAATACAAAGTTGGTTTAATATCTGAAAATCAATGTAATATGCTATCTTAATAGAAAAAAGAACAAAAACCACATGATCATTTCAACTGATGCAGAAAAAGAACTGTTGGATTTTGTGAAATGCCTTTTCTGCATCATTTGACCAAATCCCACTTGATCATTGTGTATCCCTTTTATACATGGCTGGATTTGGTTTTCTAATATTTTGTTCAAAAATTTGCATCTATATTCATGAGGAATACGGGCTTTAAGTTTTCTTATGATGTCATTGTCTGATTTTGGTTTTCTGGTGACATAGATTAAGTTGGGAAGTGTTTCTTCCTGTTCTATATTTTGAGAGTTTGAGAAAGATTAAAATTGATTTTTCCCAATTTTTTATTGTGGTAAAATACATATAGCATAAAATTTATTATCTTTTTTTTTTTTTTTTTTGAGACGGAGTCTCACTCTGTCGCCCAGGCTGGAGTGCAGTGACGCAATCTCGGCTCACTGCAAGCTCCACCTCCTGGATTCACGCCATTCTCCTGCCTCAGCTCTGGAGTAGCTGGGACTATAGGCGCCCGCCACCACGCCCAGCTAATTTTTTTTTCGTATTTTTAGTAGAGACGGGGTTTCACCATGCTAGCCAGGATGGTCTTGATCTCCTGACCTCGTGATCCACCCGTCTCGGCCTCCCAAAGTGCTGGGATTACAGGCGTGAGTCACCGCACCTGGCCAACAATTTTTAAGTGTATAGTTCAGTGTATTAAATGCATTCATAATGTTGAGCAATCATCATCACCATCAGATCATCTCTTTCCATCTTGTAACACTGAAACTCTATACCCATTAAACAATAACTGCCCACTGCCCATTCCCCCCTCTCCCTGGCTCCTGGCAACCACCATTCTCCTCTCTGTCCCTGTGATTTTGCTCTGTGATTCTGACTACTCTATTTACCTCATATAGTGTAATCAGATAATTTGTCCTTTTGTGACTAGCTTATTTAATTTACCATAATGTCCTCAAGGTTCATCCATATTGTAGCATATGTAAGAATTTCATTCCTGTTTAAGGCTAAATAATATTCCATTCAATGTATATACCACATTGTGCTTATCCATTCATCCATCAATGGATACTTGAGTTGCTTCCACGTTTTAGCTATTGTGAACAATGCTACTATGATCATGGGTGTATAAACATCTCTTTAAGGCCCTTTCCATTCTTTTAGGTCTATGTTGAGAAACTGAATTGCTGGATCATATGTTAATCCTATTTTTAATTGTTTATGAAACTGTCATACTGTTTTCCACAGTAGCTGTACCATTTTACATTCCCATCAAGAGTATATAAGGTTCCAATTATTTCCCAACCTCAGCAATACTCGTTATTTTGTTTTTCTTTTAATAGTAGCCATCTTTATGAATGTGAAGGTGGTATTTCACTGCAGTTCTTATTTGCATATCCCCAGTGAGTAGTGATGTCGAGCATCTTTTCATGTGTTTATTGGCCATTTGTATATCTTCTTTGAAGAAATACCTATTTAAGTCTTTTGTCCATTTTTAATCAGGTTGCCTTCTTGTTGAGTTTTAGGAGTTCTCTACATATTCTGGATATTAATGCCTTATGAGATATATGATTTGAAAATATTTTCTCCCATTTTATGGGGTGCCTTTTTACTCTGTTGATATTCTTTTGATGAACAATTTTCTTAAAAAAATTGGGTTTTTTAAAATTGTTTTTTAAAAAATTAAGAGATCCCATTTGTCTATTTTTTGTTTTGTAGCCTGAGACTTTGGTGTCATATCCAAGAAAACATAGTTACATCCAACATCATGAAGGTTTGCCCTGCTTTCTTGTAAGAGTTTTACATTTTTAGATCTTAAATTTAGGCCTTTGATTCGTTTTGAGTTAATTTTTGTATGGTGTTAGATAAAGGTCCAACTTCATTCTTTTTCATGTAAATATCCAGTTTTCCCAGCACCATTTGCTGAAAAGAATTTTTTTTCCCTATTAAATAGTCTTGGCATTCTTGTCAAAAATCATTTGACCATATATATGAGGACTTATTCTTGGGCTCCCTTTTCTCTTCCATTGTCTATATGGCTGTCCTGATACCAGTACCACACTGTTTTGGTCACTGTAACTTTGGCGTAAGTTTTGAAATCAGGAAGTGTGAATTCTTCAGCTTTGTTCTTTTTCAAGATTGTTTTGGCTAATCAGGGTTCCTTGAGATTCCATATGAATTTTAGGATGAGTTTTTCTATTTCTGTAAAAATTGTCATTAGGATTTTGATAGGGATTCCATCAAATCTGTAGATCTTTTAAGCAGCATTGACATCTTAACAATATTAAATCTGCAACTGATTCTCTGAATGTTTGGAGGAATTCACCAGTGAAGCCTTTTGGGTTTGAGCTTCTCTCTGTGGAAAATTTTTTATTACTAATTCAATCTCTTTATTTGTTATAAGTCTATTCAGATCTTTTATTTCTTGAGTCAGTTTTAGTTGTTTATTCATTTCATCTAAGCTAATTTTTGGCATTCAATTATTCATTTATAATCTTTTTATTTTGCTAAGGTTAGTTTTACAGTTTTACTAATGTTAAGTTCATAATAATGTTATGACATTTAATGTTTTAATTATGTAATGTCATGACATTTAATGACAATTAATGTTTTACTAATATTAAGGTTAGTAGTAATGTTTCCTCTTTCATTTTAGGTTTAGTAATTTAAATTTTCTCTTTTATTTCCCCCTGGTCAGAAAAGCTAAAAGTTTATCTATTTTGTTGACCGTTTTGAAGAACCAACTTTTAGTTTCATTAATTTTATCTACTGTTTTTCCATTCTGTATTTCACTTATTTCCTCTCTAATCTTATTATTTCCATCATCTGCTTACTTTGGGCTTAGTTTGCTCTTCACTTTAAGTTTTCTATGATGAAGATTAGAATATGGACTATTTTTTTCTTATTTAATATAGGCATTTACAGCTATATATAATATAATATTAATATAGGTATTTATAGCCACTGCTTTAGCTGAATTCTACTGGTTTTGGCATGTTGTATTTATATTTTCACTTATTTCATTGTATTTTCTAATTTCTCCTGTCATATCTTCCTCAGTCCATTGATTATTTAGGAGTGTGTTATTTTTTATATATTTGTGAATTTCCCAAATTTCCTTCTGTTATTAGTTTTTAATTTAATCTCATTGTGGTAAGAGATACACTTTGTTGATTTCAATCCTTTTAAATTTATTGAGGCTTATTTTGTGCCCTAGCATTGGTCTAGCCTGGAGAGTATTTCATGTCAGTTTGAGAAGAATGTATATTCCACTGCTGTCAGGTGGAGAGTTCTATAGATGTCCGCTAGGCCTAGTTGACTTATATATTGTTCAAGTTTTCTATTTCCTTTTTAATCTCCTATATAGTTATGCTATCCATGATTGAGAGTGGGATACAGAAGTCTATTATTATTGAATTATTTTTCCCTTCAATTCTGTCAGTTTTTGCTTCATATATCTTGGGACTCTGTTGTTATGTGCATATACGTTTACAATTATTATATGTCCAACTGTTATATCTTCCTTTTATCATTATAAAATGTCCCTCTTTGTCTTTAGTAACAATTTGTGTCTCAAAACACAAAACAATTTGTGTTTTGTCTGATATTAGTATAGCTCCCTTACCTCTTTTGGTTACTGTTTGCATGGTTCTTTTTTCCTCATCCTTCTAGTTTCAACAGATTTGTATCTCTGAATCTAAAGTGTGCTCTTGTAGACAGCTTATAGTTGTATTATTTTTTAATACATTCTGCAAATCTCTGCCTTTTACTTTGCATATTTAATCCATTTACATTTAATGTAATTACTGGTATAATTTATGTCTGCCTAATTTAAAATTTTCTTTTTTCTCTGTGTATTCATTCTGGATAGTTTGTATTTCTATGCCATCAGGGTCATTAATCTTTTTTTCTTTAATATCTAATGTGCTATTGACCCCAGCTAGTTTATTTTTTATCTCAGATATTACAGTTTTTATCTCTAGATATTTAATTTGGGCCTCTTTTAAAAAATATATTTGAAGTCTCTACTCACAGATATAATGCAGTTATAACTTCTAATATCTTTGTCTTCTAATTCCAACATCTGCATCAGTTTTTAGATGGATGGATTACCTTTCTTAATGTGGGTCAGATTTTCTTGGTTTTCTGCATGCCCAGAAATATTTATTTGGATCCAGTCACTATGAATGTTGCCTTTTTGGCTGCTGGATATTTTCATATTTTTAAAAAATATTCTTGGGTTTTGTTTCAGGACATGGTTAAATTCCTTGGAAATAATTTGATCATTTTGAATCTTGCTTGTGAGGCAAGACCAATGTATAATAACATTTAGTCTAGAACTAATTATTCCCCACTACTGTAGCAAGACCCTTTTGAGCACTCTCTCCAATACTTTATAAATTAGGAGATGTTCGGGTCTGGCTGACATAAATAGGCACTATTATTAGACCTGTGTAAGTGCTGTCACTGTTCCCCCTAACTCTCTTTGATGGTTATTTCCCCAGTCTTTAACAGTTTCCTCATATGCATGTGCCAATTATTAATTGGAATACTCAAAAGATTCTCTGCAGATCTTTGGGGGGCTGAGGCGGGAGGATCACTTGAGCCCAGAAGTTGGAGGTTGCAGAGAGGCAAGATCGCACCACTGCTCTCCAGCCTGGACAGCAGAGTGAGACCCTGACTCAAAAAAAAAAAAAGGAAAAGAAAAAAAAATTTTTAAGTTTTTTATATACATACATTAAGCATTTTGTTTTAACCTAAAACATATAAATATACATTCACGAACCAGACTTTTTTTTTTTTTCTTGAGATGAAGTCTTGCTCTTGTCACCAGGCTGGAGTGCAATGGCGCGATCTCGGCTCACTGCAACCTCTGCCTCCCAGGTTCAAGCAATTCTTCTGCCTCAGCCTCTGGAGTAGCTGGGATTACAGGCGCCTGCCACCACGTCCGGCAAATTTTTTTTTTTTTTTTGTATTTTTTTTAGTAGAGACGGGGTTTCACCATGTTGTCCAGGCTGGTCTCGAACTCCTGACCTCAGGTGATCCACCTGCCTTGGCCTCCCAAATTGCTGGGATTACAGGCATAAGCCACCACGCCAGGCCCATGAACCAGACTTTCAGTGAAGAGCAAAGATGTATTCTTCGATGTTATTTGATTGGAGTTCCGATATTCTCTCTACCGATTTCTAAAAAACTTAATTTTTAACTTACAATTGGATAAATTCATAAATCCTTGGTTCCTTCATGCTCATAGCCACTAGTATCTCTAAGGTTATGAAAGCATCATGCTGAATTCCTCCATCCCCTCAATGACACCCTTTCAACAAGTAATAGCAACTAATATTTGCTAACTGAGTGACTGGTAGGAAGTAAGTGAAGAATCAGGAGAACTGTTAGAGCCATACCAGAGAAAATCACAAGAAAGGCAGGACTGCAAAGATCTAGTGGAGGCTGTGAGAAAAGGTAAACCCCTTCTTAAGCTCATCTGCCCCTTTAGTTACCACTGGCTGTCTCACTCCTGGATTTATGTGACTCCCTTAGCTATACTTTCCCAGCCCCCTGGGATGTTCCCCACTCATCCTATTCACCCACAAAGAAATATTGTCAAAATCAATTGGGTGATGATTAGGAGCCATTATCTGCCTGCTGTGCTGAAAAGGATACAGGGCTATCTGCAGAAACCTTTCATGACGGGCTAAAAAAATATTCCAGTATATCTAGGAGTGGTGTCACTTCTAAGTGGGAAAATCAAAGTCAATCCATAGTCTTTTCATACTATTGGCTTGTTACGTTTACAAGGTGTTATATTTCTAAAGCAAACACTATACGAAATATGAAAAATTCATGCTTGACTTAAAGGGAAGAAAAAAGTAAAGGGAACCATTTTGATAGTGGAACAGATATACTCAGATTCAAGGACTGAATAAATAGATTTGTAACATTTTCTTGCTTTGCCCTCTGGAGCTCTGCCTTCTGTAATCTTCCCAGTGTCAGTCCTCCAGGTTCTCTGTCCTCGCAACTCGGATTTAGAATTACGGATAAAAGATGCCTAAAATCCAATTTCTTGATTGAGGAAACTGAGGCCTGGAAAGTGAATTAAGTCTCCCAAAGTTGGCCAGAGACTAAGAGTCTTGTCTCTTCATTCTATCCAGTGTTCTTTTCACTCTGCTGACTTTCTTGGTATTACTTCCCTTCAGTTTTGAAAATTACTTTCATTTATTATTTGTCCAAACCTATTGAGACTAAAGCTTCACATTATATTTAATAGTTGCATATCATCTACTGCCAATTTCTGGTTTTCACCTTTGAGGGAGCAGATGCTGCAAAACATGGAGAATATTCTGATAAATATACACTACAAAGATAATCTATTCTACTTTTAAGAGCTAGGAATGATTTATTGGAATAGATATCATGGGATTGTAAATTCCTGAGTAAAGTTCATTATGATGATCAACAATATCCAACAAAGTAGGAGAAGGATTACTGAGTAAAGTAAAAACCCACTAAAATATGAATAGCATAATTGGTGCCTGTGCTATTTAAAAAAGCAACTGAGATGAACCTTGGATCTTCGGGAAGTGGCATGATGTGGCAGAAAGAACACTGTCTTGGAATTCAGAAAATTAAGGTGTCCATCCTGATTACTCAATTTATGAGCTATGTGATCTTAGGTAAATCACTTGGACTTCTCTAAGCTTAATTTCATTATGCATGCAATGGAAAACAGAAATCCTGGCTATTTCAAGTAGCTGTTATAAGGATTGAATTAAATAATATATGAGAGATTATTACAATTCAAAAATCTGAGACCATATGCCTCTGCATGATGGCAGAGGACCATGTGCGTTGTATTCAACAGTATATTCCCAACATCTAACATAGTGTCTGGCACATGGTAAGCATACAATAAATATGGAAGACATTCATGAATTAAATAAATGAAGATAATTATAGGAAAAAATATCATTCTTATCACTATTTCTTGCTGTGGAAATGTTTATGGGGGGATAAAGCCAAGTACATGAATAGAGCAGAGGCGGGGGAGGCAAGAAAAGGAACAAAATGATTGGTATCACTTCCTTCCTAGAACAGAAGCAGAGGTTACAGAATCAAAAAAAAGAATGATCAAAGTGACCAGTCTCTAAACCTACCCTTTTTCTTTCATTGCCTCATTCACCCCACCTCTCAATCCCACCATTGATTTTTCTTTTTAAGATTGCCTTTGGGCATTGACCTCATTAATTTCAGAGTCATGGTTAAGCCATTGCTTTCAGTGTTTTTATTAAGACCTGTATATGTCCTCTCTGTAGTTATTAGAAACAGTGCTGTTTTTCATTTATATTGGATGTAACTAATTCAGAGTTCTTTCCTCTTAGCCCTCTCCAAAGACTACAATGGCCAGGGGGAGAGACAGTGGACTTCAGGGACTACTTGAGAGGAAAATCAGTATAGTTCATTTCTTTTTACTTCAACTAAAATGACTCTAGGTAAAAGTCCTATGGGATAGGTGCCTGGTTGAAAATGTATCTCTCACTGAGTTGTCCTTTTTTAGTTTTATAGATGTGCTCCATCACACACACAGGAATTTCATAAAAATGTTTTTCTTTGCCACAGAGGTCAGGGTTTTGCAGGCCTTTGGAGAATAGATAACACACCTAAATGTCAGCTCAACTAAAGAACCATGTTACCCGACTGGAACGCCTCAATCTTGGTACTTGGCAGACTTTGGGAACACCTCAAACCACATGTACTTTAGAGAATGCAGACAAGTCACAAAATTAATTCAGTCTAGTCTGGCCAAACACTCTCAATGTACTTCTAAATTTGAACTAATTGATAGCCTCTCCTCCCTCAGTTACACTTGTTATAGCCAATTCAATTGGTTTTAACTGGATTCACATAAAATTCACCTACTTTTTGCTTTCACAAATATAACTGACAGGAACAAACAAAAACAGTTCTATCTGTAAAAAGCAATGCAGTAATAAAACTTTGGACCTTGAAGCTTACAGAAGACTAATGAGATAATGTCTAAAATGTGTTTGAGCTGCATGTGTGAAAGACTCTATGGAGATAGAAAACATGATAAATAATGCAACTAACCTTTGTGTCAGGAAAGCTCCTGTCTTCTGGAGGATATAATAAGTATTAAATAAATATTTTACAAATATGTTCCTGCTAATCTTTTCTGTCAACTCCAGCCCAGGTAGGTTGAAAAGGACTATTACTCCCATCAAAACAAATAAGAATCTTAGTTTCTAATGAAAAGTTTTCCAAGAAAATTCCAATTGGAATCCATGACTTTAGGTAACGCTTTCATATTAAGCCAAGCTTCTGACTTCAATTTCAGCTCTTGGTCCATTTTATTGTCAATGTGAAAGCACTAGTCTTGGCCCCCTCCAACTTTTCACTCTATTCAAGCCAAAGGCATCCCTGTGGGATTCTCTAGCTATCCTAAATTGAAAAAAAAAATCACAAAGCACACCCTCTTTGGGGTTCTTCAACCATCAAAGAACACTCAACAAATTATGTTGTCAACAGTGACCACATAATGGACTTCAATAACTTAAGAGCTCAATTCAATTACCTATAAACCTTAATCTGCTCCTTCATGAAAATCCCTTCACTTAAAAGTACACAAAACCTTTATTTCTTCTTATGACATCTCTTATCCCTAAAATTATAAATAAGAAAACTAATTTTTCATGAATTCTACAAAATAACAAAATGGGACACAAAATTGAGCAAAAAATTTTCTGACGGGAATGTCAAAAACACCTGGCAAACACTCTTCTCACAAGCTGGCATAGGCCTATAAATCTCCCATTTGTTTGTTTAAAATCTGTATCATTTCATTTTTCAGAGCCTTACTTGAAGACAAGCCATTACCTTTTTGAACTCATCCAATCCTAAGCATTTTCTAGAATAATCAAGTAAAAAAAATTCTACCACAAAAATAAAAAAGTCTCAGAGGTGGGAAGAGCTTTGTCACATTGTCTGATTTAGCCCTTGCTAAATCAGCCCTTGTTTAGTTAACAAATATTGAAACTGATGACTTATGGGCAGTGGGCCATCCTTGACCTTTGGGGATATATACAAAGTAATAAGACAACTCTGTCCCCTAAAAGGAGTTTACAGTTTACTAATGTTTTCCCAAAGTACCTGAGTACTTAGGGAGAAGGTATGAATGTAAAAATGAAGATTCCTAAGCTTAGCCTCAAACTTACTGATTCAGAAATTCTAGGGATTAAACCCAGAAATCTGCTCTTTAAAAAGCATCTTGGGTAATTCTTGTGCACAACATTTGAGAACCACCACTCTGGTAGGTCTGAGAGATGTGCACAAGTATGAGTTAGGGAAATGCTGAATAGAAGACTCATCTTTTAGGGACATAAAAAAATTGATCAGCACCTTCCCTCATTAATGCCAGATACAAACTGGAAAAAAAAGAAAAGTCATCTCTTAGCCAAAACCAGACATTCTTCTAAATCATATTCACCACTAAGTTGGATTGTGAGTTATCAATTTTATAACAGAAACACTTAGTGCAGAAACCCAAAATTTCTAGTGACCTACCATTCTCCCTAAAATGCCTAATTCACTGCGTGCATGGGCTCACACCTGTAATCCCAGCACTTTGGGAAGCCGAGGCTGGCAGATCACTTGAGGTCAGGAGTTGGAGACCAGCCTGGCCAACATGGTGAAACCCTGTCTCTACTAAAAATACAAAAAAAAGTAGCTGGGCATGGGCGCTCACCTGTAATTCCAGCTACTCGCGAGGCTGAGGCATGAGAATCTCTTGAACCTGGGAGGCGGAGGTTCCTGTGAGCCAAGATTGCGCCACTGCACTCCAGCCTGGGCAACAGAGTGAGATTCCGTCTCAAAAATAATAATAATAATAATAATAATAATAATAATAATAATAATAAAATGACTAATTCACTGGATATTTAGTTTCATTTAGGTTATGAACCACATATTTTAGCCTATTTTCTTCCCGTGAGAGTAGTATTCATAAGCAATTTTCATAGTTTTTTTCCCTTTCACAGAAATACAAAAAAACTACTAAACATAAAAAAATGTTGAATTTAGAAACATTTGAGGTATCTGGGCTTTAAGAAAGTAAGCTCTTAACAGAATTAACTGGCACATACAGATTCTGCACAAGACCAAACTCTGTACACAGAAAAATCACCTGGGGAGTGGCTATCAATGCAAATGGCTGAAGAATCTGAGTTGGTAAAAGTAAGATGGATAACTGAATTTTTAACAAGCACCCCAGCTAATTCTAATGTAAATTGTTTTGAGAAAACATTCCAGAATTTTCAAGATTTCAAGATTCCAAGCTCATGACATCCCAACCTGTCTTCATGTCTAAATCAATATATTAAACACAGTAGACTGCCAATGCATACATATTTAAATAATTAAAGTAATTTTATATTTAATTAAAGTATAAAAGGGAACAAACAGGGGAAGTCAGTTTACCTAATCAGAGCCCACATTCTGTAAGTCAGAGCTGGGGAATCTTATTGATATAATGAATTGCCCTCCAGATCCAGGAGCCACATGCAGTAAAGGGCTTTGCCGTTGTTTCTTTTAGAGAGTATATAAAATACTCTGATTACCTACTTATAAAATTAAAAATATACTGAATGATGTATGTGTGTAGCAAAGGGAATGGCTGAGGTTGGAGGGAGAGTTATTCTCTGGACATCAACAATAATCTGAGAAATAAAATTCTGAGGATCATATAAAATAAAACCAAATAGAATCTGTCCTTGGTCTAAGCATCTCCCACTGCTGATGTTAGGATAGTAATTTCCTCATTCCCACAGGAATTAATTGTGAACAATTAAACACGTGGTATTATCTAATTACTAATAATTCACAGAGAACTGAGAGATTCTTATCCTCACGTCCTTTGGGGGAACCTGAATATGAGTGGGTTCTGGGGTTGTATGCTTTCTGTAAGTCTGGGAAGCACACTTTATATGTGCATATAGCATGCAGTTTCTCAGATAGTCCACAAACATGTGAAAGGAGCACTGGCTTACTACTTACAGGTAGTAGTAAGGAGAATAACTGTTCGTGACCCTAAACAGTGGCTCAGCTTCTTCAGCTATAAAATGGGTACTCAGGTTGATCTGTATTCATGGTCCAGGTTCTTTGCACTCAGCCATGATGCTTCCCACGCCATGTGCTTAACTGAGGTTTATGTGGGAGGATCACATGAGACAATTTTTGTAAAAGTGCTCTGTAAGCTGTAAAGCACTATACAGATGAAGCGGATTATTATTAGTCTTTTACGAAGCCCAGCGATAAAGATGCAAAGTGACCCAGAAAAAGAAAACTGAGTAGACAAACCTGAAATACAACATCTATAGCCCCTAGAACAGTTACCCTGTACATGGTAGGTAGGTGCTTAATAAGTAGAGTGAGTAAAGAAAAACGCAAAACAGGTTTGTGCCTCCATCATACTAGGTCTGATACCAAGAAGAAATAAATATACCTAAGGTCAATGATAGTTTCATTCAACCATACAAACCCAAATAATCCAAGAGCCTAAGATTTTAAATTAAAAATTACTTCAAAGAAAGAGCATGGAAACGTGAAATGTGACCCGGAATCCGCAATTAAATCGGTATATTCTTACCTCTTCAGTCTTTCCAACGCAGTCTTGCAGGGATACAGGACCTGGGTGAGGGTGTGGAGTGCTTCCCTGCACCTGGTAGATCTACATAACTGTTCCTAGCAACCTCTTGAGGAAATAATACATTCTATAGAATGTTGGGTACCTAAGCTCTCTGTTTTGGATTTGAAAGGCTGCGTTTTAGTGATTTTTAAGCCAAACAAGATTTATCCCATAACAGCCCCCCAAAAACACGCACAGAAAAGAAGAATGAGAGGGGCGGGTAGGTAGAGAAGCAGTTATTCACTTTATAAAACAATTCTCTATAGGATTCTTTTGTCAGTTTCCTAGACTATGTAAAATGTGATTCAAATTAAAATATTTAAATCACATACCCACATCTTGACATGGGCAGCTATTTGTAAAATGAGGCAAACCCACACTGGGAAATACCAAATTAAAAAAAAATCAGGGAAAAAATATTTTCTTCTGGGTGGCCCTAAACTGCTTTCTTTTTCCCCATTGCAAATGTATTTTTATGCTGGGTTACATTTCCAAAACAGGAGTGTTTTTTTTCTATCGTTGAAATGAAACAAACAAGTTTGCTTTCAGAGCTACAGAAATGCCCAACTGTTAGGAAAAAAAAAACAAAAAACCGTTTTCCACTGGCCGCTTGCCTCTCTTATCCCCATGCAACCTTGCCTATTGGCCCCTTTCCCTAGGAGAGCCCCTGGGGCTGTCTGATGGAACTGATTGTAAAACTATTTTGTGCAGTAAAAAAGTCGTTTCTTCAAAATCTGAGACCACCCAGAACATGCCCAATCTTTGGCAAATATCGACTGGTTTCCTCAGTATTTGACTAGCTGTACACCGAGTAACTGTCCCGGGTTTCTGGGTCTTTATCTGAGAAGAAATGAGGGGGAAATGTTTCAGAAGATGAAAAAAGGAAGAAAACCTCTCATCCAAAATCTGTTCAAAATTCATTTTGTGCGTTTCGAAGGGGGAGGACAGGAGAATTTAGTGCAAAGACGGCCTCCACCAAACGAAACCGTCCAACATTTGCAAAAGCTTTTAAAATAAACTGCTCAGGGATCAGGGGTTTGCTGGAAACTCCCGGTCGCTTGAAGCCCTGTCCCTCCACTCCGGGCACCCTGGCCTCCCCAGGGTGGGCACCCCTCCTGCACGGAGAGCGGCGGCTGGGATCTCGGAGCAGGGTCGGCTATGGCCCTGGAGGCAGCGGCTCACAGAGAAAAAGCTCTGGCTTTTCTCCGCCCGCTGCGTTCCTCTTCTTACAGCCTCGGGTGTCACATATTAGGTGCTCAATAAATGTGGACATAGGAAACGAAAAGTCCGAATCTGTCCTTACGCCCCCAAGGCGAATTCTGGGGCGCGCGGGTTTATTCCGACCCACTACCACATCGCGTTTCCTGAGGTAACCCGGCCTCGGCTCTGCGGCCCCAGCGGCTGGAGAGCCACGGAGAAGGCGGGCTACGGGCGACAAGATGGAGAGCCGGCCCGAGAGGGACAGAGGCCGCGCTGGCAGCGAGCTGGGGGGCCCACCTGACCGTCCTGCGGGCAGCCCGGCCCCGCGCTCCCATTGACAAGGAGGTCCGCGCCGCCGGCGCGTGGGGCGGGGGCGGAGGCGGGGTGGGGCGCCCCGGCGCGCGCCCGGCCCCACTCCCCGCCCCCGCCAGTCCCGCAAGCACCCACCCCGGGGGAGCCGCGGGCCGGGAGGGCGCTGGGGGGAGGGGCAGGCCGCTCCGCGAGCGCGTGTGCGCGCCGCCGCCGGCTGACGCGAACTCCGGCGCGCGCCTCCCCCGCCCCGCGCCCTCCCCGTCCCGGGGGCCCGGCGCGCGGCCCTGCTGACGTCAGCTGGCGGCCCGCGGAGCCGGGTGCGCAGAGCCGCTGGCGCACTCGCGCGCTGCGCTGGCCTCCTCCCCGCCCCGGGCCCAGGCGCGCGCGCGCTTGTTCGCTCTCCCATTTTTTTTTTCCCCTCCCTCCCTGCCTCTCTCTCTCTCCCTCTCCCTCGAGCTCCCGGCTGGCTGCGGCTCCCTGGCGCTCTCCCTCTCTCTCCGGTAGGCTCACCGAGCGATGCGAGCTCTGGGAGACAGCGACGCCGCCTCCCGCTAGAGACCTGCCCCTCGGCCCGGCCCCCTGCCCAACCCTGCCCAGCGCGCGGGGGTCGGCGAAGGCGCCGCGGACGCACCGACGGCTGAAGAGCGGCGATGCACATGCACTAGCAGCACCCCCTAACTCACTCCCTCCACATCCCGCGCCGCCGCCGCCGCCTCCTCCACCTCCTCCTCCGCCGCCGCCGCCTCCTCCTCCTCCGGCAGCCGCGGCAGCAGGACCCACCCTGCCCCCCACCCCACCCTCTGTCGGCTCCGGCTGCGGCTCCAGCCTCGACTATTATTTTATTTATTTTGGGTCGTGCACAAGCCTCAGTGCCTGCAGTCCGCGCCTCCTCGGCCCGCGGGCGCCTCCTCCCTTGGCTCCGGAGCCCCAGACCCCGGCCACCCTCGATTCGACAACCCCAGACCCCTGCCAGCTGCCGCGAGTCTCCGCTGCTGGAATCTTGTTAGCGGCTGTCTTTTTGGAGGGTTCTGGTTTCCCGACATTTTTGTTTCCAGCCCAGGAGAGGATATCGTGATTTTCCCCCCTTGAGCCCAGGCTCTGCTCTCTGGGGGGGTGGGGGGCGCTCCAAGCCGGGGAGCCGTGCCAGCCGAGTCGTGCGGGCTGTGGCAGGGAAGGGGCCACCATGGGATGTACTCTGAGCGCAGAGGAGAGAGCCGCCCTCGAGCGGAGCAAGGCGATTGAGAAAAACCTCAAAGAGGATGGCATCAGCGCCGCCAAAGACGTGAAATTACTCCTGCTCGGTAAGGACCGCCGCTGCTACCCCCATCCCCCGACCCCGGCCACTCCGCACCCCCTGCCACCAGCTCCCCCACCCCACTCGCGCCCGGGAGACCTGGTCCCCAAGTTGGCACCACCATGTGCCCAGGATCGCCCACCCCCTCGCATGCCTTAGTCCCCCCCTCCCCCTGTTCCCTTAAGCTGACACTCACCAGTTTTTCCCCACTGTCTGTGTCCCAACAGGGGCTGGAGAATCAGGAAAAAGCACCATTGTGAAGCAGATGAAGTAAGTCCCTGTGGCATTGGGATTCGTACTTTTATTAAGAATAATTTTTAAATCGTTTTTATTACATTGCTTACTCCACATTGCTCTCCAGGCCTGTTTTTTAATTCGTGCACACACACACACACACACACACACCCCTATATTTGACTCCCCTCCCCCACTCCCTACGTTGGTTCTGGGTCCTCCACCCTAACTCCTGGGTGGGTGTTTTTTGGGAGGGGGAAGGGGAGCGCCTGTAGTTGTATGAATGACAGTGTCCGCCATATTGATCAGAACATCACACTATTGGCATGATTATGATCATTACTCTTGCTTGTGGAATATTTTCTGTGTCTCACTGCCTCCATTTCTGTCTGTGTCTCTGTTTCATTCTGTCTCTATTTCTTTCTCCTCTTCCCTCCATACCTCCCTATCCCCCAAGGTCCGTAATCCCACTTCCCCCTGCTCTTTTCCTGGGGCAGTGATTTTGAACTTGGCTAACATGGAGGGGACCCAGCCCTAGACTGGGGTGGAGGATCAAGTGTCTGCTGTTCATGCGTTTGGTGCTGAATTGGAGGCTGTGGTTTCTACATCCCCTCGCACCCCCTCCCCCGCAAAAAAAGAGGGCCAGGGTTAGGGGAGGGGTCGTGTGCTAGGGGAAGGAGTGGGTTTCCAAACGTAGGTGACGGGCACAGTTTTATCCAAGGTAGAGGTGGAAGGGGGAGGGAAGCTGCCTGTGAGGCTGAATGTCCGCCCCTTGCTGCCCCCAGCTCCTCTCCTCCCCCACCCTCCCAGCATTGCTCTCCTGACACCCGCAGTTTTCGTTCGCTCCGTGGCCTTTATCAGTGTATTTATTTACACTCTGCATAGGCCGTGTTCCATGTAATCTACCCACAATGCGGATTTCAGGCCCCACTTGCCGCCGCCCCCTTCTGCCTTAGCTATCAGTTTCCCCTCCTAATTAACTGGGGGTGGATTTGAGTGATGGTTGAAAATTAAAACAAAATGGGATATTCCTTCCCTTCCACACTTTCTCAATAAGGAGCCTCGCCCCTCCTTTCCACTTGCAGGCTCGCTTCTTGCCCTATCCACTCGGCAGTTCCTGGTGATCCCACAGGCAGGTTTGCTTGGGGAGGGGGTGGCCGGCAGCGAAGGGGTGTGCGCCCTCCGGGCCTCCTGTTTCGGTTGGCCTGTCAGTTCGAGACGGAGGAGTTCGTTTAGACCGTTTAGCGAAGATTCCACGTCGCTTTGCTGTGACACCTTCGTGCACACACAGCTCCTAATTAGGGGTTGCTGTGCAGTAAACAAAAATGATTATTTTTCAACTTGACACAATAGCCGAAATAATTGCATCGCGTAGGGAAACAATGGAAAATAAAAACCCCTTTCGTGGGAAGGTGGGAGTGGGAGACGAAGCATGCTTGCGGTTTCAGAACCAAGATGCAAAAAATCTTGGATGTGTAACAGGCATGACAAGCGGGTTCTAGGCGGCGCCATGATGGTAGGGAGTAGCGACTCGGAGACAATTTTCCCATCTGCTTGACATGTTCTTATTTTTATTCGAGAGCTCCCTGGGGCTTTCTTCGCAGAGCCCCCCTTGGCTCGCCGCACCCTTCTGAGCCAGGGGTAATTTAGCTTGGGGCTTCTCTTGAGCTTGTGCAACCCAAATTGATGGGGAGGCGGGGCCTGGGGAATTGCCCTTTGCAACAAGGTGCATGTTGCATCTGTCTGGAGCCCTTGCAGATCTGTAAATGCAAGCCGCGCCACCCCTTTCTCCCGAGGGGGGACGTTTTAAAACTTCAGAAGTCTGTAATCAGCAGTGGCGGACTCGGAGCCCAGTAGAAGCCCCAGCCACCTGAGCTGGATGAGGTTTCAGGCGTTGCAAGTGGTGGACAGCGCCCAGCCGAGGCCGGAAAAGTCGATGGGGCTCAGTTCGGCGACGCTCGGCTAGGTTCGGTGCGGTCTGGGCGCGGGGCTCGGAGGGAGTCGGCGGTGTTCGGAGCCGAGTCGGTGCTCCGGCGGAGAGAGCCGAGCCGCTTCGGAGGGGGTCGAAAGCATTCGGAAATACTCGGGGGAGGGGAGTGCGCAGGAGGGGAAGGAGGAGGGGGAGAGGCCAGAGTCTGCAAATTAACTTTGCATCCGCCAAAGCAACTGCTTTTCCTGAACATGCCCCATAAATTAGGTTGATTTAATGAGAAGTTTAAAAATATATACTGAATCCCCCAAAGGGGTGCCTCGCCTTTTTTTATTCAAAGAGAGCTGAGCTCTCTGAGGAAATAGGTGTGCCACTTTAGGATGAAAATTCCTAATTATGTACTGGGCAGGAAATCTTAAATGAAGGCTGGATGTAGACTTCCCCAGGAAAGTCCTCTGTGTCTTGTATTTGGTTACACCGAGGAGGGGGGAAAATGAAGTGAGTGATGTTTGAGATTGTTAAATCAGAAATCAGAGCATTTCTTCTCTTTCCCTTTACTTCTCCTTTTTTTTTTTTTTTTTTTCCAACCTTACAGGACACCTTTTTCAAGAAAAATGTCAGGAAAACAGATTTTGTAGGTAAAACAATTTTTTTTTTAAAGCACAATACACCAACTCTCTTTAGGAAGTAGGGTAGGTCTGTTCAAAAGGTCCATCACAAAAGTTTCTGGTTCCTGGTTTGCCACAAGGGACCCTGGCGTCCTGTCCTCCTGAAGCATTCATGAATGGCAGTTTTCCCTGTGAGCCTTCCAGCTTGGCTTGAAATACATCAGATCAGGGCCTTGTGCCAAGCTGAATGCAGGACTTGTTTTGTTAACCACAAAATGTGGGATTGGTGTCACTGTATCCTAGTAACAAATTTTTTTGAGTCCTCCCTTGCAGAGATGGTTTTTGAGATGGCCACTTGACTGAGAGTCACTTTGAGTCAGGAGAATTCTACTGTGGATGGGGCCAGGCCCGAAAATCTAGGTGGCATTTATAGAAAGCAGTTTCCAACTTCCTTGTGCAATACAATTGGTGACCAACCTATCAGGCCATATGTACAGGTTAATTAGGAAGCTGTGTTGTTTCACCTGGACAGATGAAATTCAGCAGAAAGCCCTCTTTAGGTTACACCCTGTGATAACCCAGTGATTTCCTAATGGGGGGCTGCAGTCTAATAGCTCAGCACATTGGATTGAGAGGAAGAATGTGGATATTCAGACATCACTGAATAAAACTCCTTTTATTTAGCATTTCCAGAAGAGCAAAGAGTCATTCCATTGAGCCTGTGTTCTCATCCTTGTTGTGGTGTGCTAATTTGAAGAAACTGGCTTCCATATATTTCCATAGTAACTGAAGTGAAATAATAAAGGACCGGCTGGCAATTGCTGTTTAGAACAAAGGGTTAACATCTTCATCAGCCTAGGAACATTGCAGAGATACTGACATAAAGTTCTTCTGCTTGATAAGTGTTGTAAGGGGAAACGTGCATCTGCTTAAGAGATACCAGTTTAGAGTGTCATTTGAAAAGCCTGATTCTCAGTACTTATATTAAAATTTTTATTTGAACATAGTGTTTTGGGTTCCCCCCCCCTTGTGTGTGTGATTGTGAATTCGTGTGAGGGAGCTCTGTGTCAGACAATCCAAAATATTTCAGTACTGAGAAATAAACAGTGATAATTGAGACAGCACAAATATAATTTTATACATACCATGTGTGAGTAATCAGTGACTCTTTTTTTGCATGGCATTTTAAATAATTTTGCTTGTTAGGGGGTTGTGACCTCACCTGTGATACAGCCTCATCATTTTGTAGTCAGTCAATAAGACTCTGAGTTATTCAGACTAATCAGAAAATTTTTAAAGAATTGTCAATTTTATTTAATTGCCAAACCCTTACAAAGAAATCCCATAACAAGTTGTAATTTTATGAGGTGTAGAATTGACAGAATATCACTTTAAGTGACTTCCCAGTTCTGAACAAATAGTGACACCCACTTGGACCATGTACCTGGTGAAAATGTAAAATGGACTGCGGAATTGCTCTGGGAGCCACAGTTTGCCCTCATTCGAGGTGCTGAATTTTCTGTAATGTTGAGTTCAGGCTATCTGTCTCTGGAGCATTAAGTGGAATTTTTAGAAAGGGAGTTCGAAGGTGGCCATGAGGCATTGCATGCTAGCTGGTAGTCTTTACCGAAATGGGCACAATAAAATCGAGCACTTTGGTTGTGCGTCCATTCCCACAGTACCTGCTTAGTGCCATTTTAAAACAAATTTAAGAATTTGCCTGATGAAGATGTCATTGCTCATACAAATATTCCAGCCTGACAAGTGGGATGTGATTCAGAGAACAGACCCTACCCTGTCAGGAAAGGCTGTCTTAAAAGGTCACCTGTCACCAAAAAGCTGATGGCTTTTTCCTCCCAGCTGACCCTGACTTTGTAATTAGGGTATCTACTGTTTGGTATGGGTTCAGGGCAAGCTTGCAGTCTTCACTTGATCTTAGCCAAAAGGCTGAGAAGCAGTCAAGCTTGCATTCTTTCAGCACAATGCTCTTCAGCACCTACTAAATGACAGGCATTAATGGAGGTGAATAGCAACCTACAGCCATTACTCCATGAAAGTGCGTCCGTCTAAAAGGACATTTCCCACACTGGCCCCCAGGGTCGCACGTTGGGTTAGTATTCTACTGAGAGCCACTCTTCTAGATTTGTAGACTTGTTATTTCTGCAGTCATCTCAATGGCTGCTTTGCCTCCCTCCCTTCGTCCCTCTCTATGTTTATTCAAATGGATGCACCTTGCTCTCTGGAGACAGCAAGAGTGCGAACGGAATGTCAGATCAAGTAGCAGATGAGTTCTCTTTTCCTGATGGATGGTGCTCTCTCCCTCCTTACTGTGCACTGAGCTGTAAATACCAGCAGACCTTCCTGCCAGAAGAGTGGCAAATAGTCCACCCGATCTCCTCAGGAGTCAGCTGTGGAATTCTTGAGCCTGGGTTACCTATTGGATTCTAAAGTAGAACCTATATGCTTGTTGAAAAGGGTTGTTGCCAGTTAGATTAAATGGGTGAAGCTTCATGAGAACCAACATGGCTGGAAAAGAATGCAGAACGTCTGTTCTATGTGTGAACAGGGCTGGATTAGATTTACGATGCTCAGAGTGGGAGTGTGTCTTGTTTCTTTTAACACATGGAACTCGCAGATTATTTTGTGCTTCTTCACATGCCACATCTGCTAAAGATAGGACAAGATCACTCATGTTTTTCAGCTGCTCACAATACCCTATCTCCGTTAACACTGGAGATTTAATATGAGTAGAATGAGGCCCTATTTTTCCGATATGTGCTCAGCCCATCTGGATACTGGGACTTGACTCCCTGTCTCCTAGGGTGTTTTCATTCTCATTTCTTATGGAGCCAGACAGGCCATTATCACCAGAATACATCTTGATCTGAAAGACAACAGAAAAGCTGGTGAAGGGGTGATTCCAAACTGAAAAAAACAAAACAAAACAAAAAAAACCACATTTTGGAAAGAGTTACCCTCAGAATTGACACTAATAGAGAAAACTTTTGATTCTGAAAAAAGAAAGTGTGCCTGTTTGTACATACCCACAGAGTGTGGGTTTACAAATGGCAGATGTTGAGAAGAGCACTCACCTCACTTTCTTACTGATTGCATCATCTTAAAAAGCTTGAAGATGCTCAAATGAACTCCATCCTAAGAATTTCTTCAAATCTGTGTCACATTCTTATTTTCTTCCATCCCTCTCATTCACACACAGCATTGGTAGAAAGGAAGCTGTCCAACAGATCTGTGATTAGCACTGAGGGGAAGGAGAGGAGAGAGCAGTGGCTTGTTAACTGGTTCAGATAAATAGGTAGTTTCTTGTGTTTAGAGAAGCAGTTTAGCATGCTTCTCTAAAATTGAGAGTTGGTTAAGAGCATAGACTCTGCAAACAGGCTGCCTGGCTTCAAATCTTGGCTCTACTGCTAACTAAATATGTGACCTTACACAAGGCCCATAACATTTGGTGCCTCAGTTTCCTTACCTGTAAAATGGGACTGATAATGAAAATAACTACTAATAGGATTGTGGAGAGCATGAAATGAGTTAACATATGAAATGTGCTTTGAGTAGTGTCTAGAATGTAGAAATCATTATACAAATGTTAGCTCTAGTTTTTATTCCTTTGATTAGTGGGTGTTCCCTTCCCATGTGGAGTTCTCTTGTCAAGTAAGTATGTGGGACTTAGCCACCCTGAGAAGCAGAAGGGGGGTGCTGTGGTTCATGTTCATGGCTTCTTCCCCTTGCCTGCTCTGCAGCACCAGTTATATAACAAACTGTGTTGTCATAACTGATGTGACATTTTTGATGGCGCAGCTGCTTCAGCCCAAGAGCTGGGGTGACATTTCAAAGGGTGGGAAAGAGCACTGAACCAGGAGTCCAGGTCAGTAGCTCTGCCTCTGCCCCTCCGAGGGCTCGGTTTCCTGAAAGAGTTGGACCAGGGCTACCCCAGGCTCCCTTCCTGTTGTCAACGGTGTATGAAATTGGGAATTCCCTTTGTTTTCAGGGTCTTGATGTTCTCAATATTAAAGCATGAATTATGGTTTTATCCCATGGGGGTGTAGGGTATCCATGAAAGTTCTTTTAAGACTAAGTTAATTGCAGAATAGCAACCTCAGCCACAGAGCTTTGTCAGCCAGGAAATTTGTAGTTCTGAGAGTCAATTTGAGAAAAACACCTCTAACCAAACTTTTCATGCAGACATGGTTCTTAAACCAAAGAGGAGGATCTGAAAGTATCTCATTAGTAAGAAACAGGATGTTTCTGGGAGGAGAGAGCCAGTGACATTAGAAGAGAAGTGGTTTTTCCGTGGCTTCCAGGATGCTCAGAAGTGGAGACAGCCCTAGCGTTCACCAGAAATGGCTGCATATGAAGAAACTTGCCTGGGTTAAGGTGCCTAAAACCCAGGGAGCAGAGAGATTTGCAGACTAGTAAAAGGGGAGGCTCAGGAGAACTGTATTTTAATTTTGATTCACTCTCTCATTTAACTTTGGGCAGATCATTTGGCCACCCTGGGCCTCAATTTGTTCATCTGTTAATTGGGATG
This sequence comes from Homo sapiens, assembly GCF_000001405.40. NCBI lineage: Eukaryota > Metazoa > Chordata > Mammalia > Primates > Hominidae > Homo > Homo sapiens. The sequence continues at coordinate 56,199,665 of NC_000016.10, forward strand.
TGGGTTTTCACCATAGAATTTCTCAGGGCTCTTTCGGGTTTCCAGCTCTAAGATGCAGTAAATGCAAAGAGAAACTTAGAAGCCTGAAAGGCGGTGGGGAATAGTGGGAGTATTTACCACCCACAGCTTTTATCTGCTGAGCCATCTTTAGTTCTAATTTTCTTTACAGAGAAGAGGAAAAACATTGTGCTTTTCATAGCACCAAAAAATTAAAGTAAAATAAAATCTTGCAAGGCTAATAGTTGGTGCCCTGAATTTGGCCCCTTACTCTCTTGATTTGTCAACCATCCTAGAAATAAGTAGAATGGAGAAAAGAGAAAGGGAGAATAATACATAAGACTAGGATTTCATAGCTAACAATTTACCTTGGATTCTCTGCCTGTGTCTTAGCCAACAGATAGGTTTTCTGTAGAATATTGTTACTTATGAGAATAGCTTCTCCATGCTTTAAAATTGATCCTGGGGTCACCTGACCCCAGGGTCTCAGAGCACTAATGCATATTGCACATTGTGAATTAATTAGGTGTTTATTTGTCTGTATCCCTTGCTAGCCTGGGTGTCCCTTCCCACCAGGGCTCCCTGAAGCAAGGATGTTACTTATTTTTGCTCATAGTACAGCACCATGCCCAATGCCTGGCACAAAGGAGGTCTTAATAAACGTTAGTTAAAGAAAAGGAAGAATACGAGGTATATAAGGAATGAACCTTATTATTCTCCATAAACCAAAATAATCATGTTGAAAGCTTTTGGTGGCCATGGAATGTGTTCATCATTTTCAATCTATTATATTCATTTGTTTATCAACCTGTGAGCAAATATAGTCATCAATTCCATTTTACAGATGAGGAAGTGAGGTTCAAAGAAGTAAGGTGGCTTGCTCAAGGCCACACAGCTTAGTAGGTGACAGTGTTGTATTCAGACAATGATTTGTCTAATTCTAAAACCTGTGTTCTTTTCGTTGTAACTCCACACCTTTCTTACTAGACCACCCCCAGTATGGGCAGTAGAGACCTGGCAGTCTACGACCTCACACCCAGATGTTGATGGTGCCAGCTGTGGTTGAGGTCAGTGGCTGAGAGAATAGAAAGTGCCTAATTGGTGCTGAGTTCCTTCTGGAGGTGGTAGTAATGGTCATCATATATCACATTGATTTGGATACCAGAGTATTCCCTAGCAACCATCTGGACAGGCCTTGAAATGATTTTTCATTACCGCCTCAAAAATGGGGGCCATTTTCAGATTGCAACAGAGAGAAGGCTCTGGCTTTGGTGGAGGCAGGTGTCTTGGAGAACTATGGAAAGACAGGATGGTAGGGGATCCATCCATCTGTCCATCCATAAGCATTTATGATTGCCTATTTTGTGGGTAGCATACACACAGTGTCATGGAAGTAGAGAGGAAGGCCTCAGTCCTTGTCCTGAAGGAACTCATGGTCTGGAGGGAGCTACACAAAAAAGACTCTTGCACTTCAGGTAGGAAGGGCCACAATGTCTGTATACACAGTGTGCTATGGTAGAACAGAAGGCACCTTCTCTAGGCAGGAAGTTCAGGGAAGACAGCCAAGAGACAATGGCATGTGAACTGAGCCTTTAAAACAAGTGGTAGTTCACCAGGTCGAAAAAAAGGAATGCCAGGCAGAGGGACTGGCATGTGTAAAGGCATTAAGATGTCACCACATGGAACATGCTAGGAGTGTAAAATAGTTTGATTTGACTAGAGCAAAATATGTAAGAGGAGTGTTAAGAAATGAGGAATGAAAGATTGGACAGAAACCAGATCATGAAAGGCCTTATCTATTGTGCTAAGGACTTTGGATTTTATTCTGAAGATAATGAGATGCCACCTGAGGGTTGGCATTAGATCACCTACGTAGACTGGAGGAGATCAGCTCTGGAGGTTGGGAGACCAGATGGAAAGTTACTTCTGTGACCCAGTTGGGAAAAAGATTAAGAACTAAGTTAAAGCAGTGGTAGTGTGGGTGGGGAAAGGAAACAGATTCAAGAGATATTTGGGCAGTGGAATAATTGAACTTATTTGTTGATCAGTTGGAAGAGCATTGAGGAGGAGATAAATTTTAATGAGTATGGACAAAAATGAGTCCAGGATTCCTGGTTTGGGCTACTGGTGGATGGTAGTTAAATGCAGGAGGAAGAGAGAAGACTTGGGGAGAAAAGTGATGACTGCATTTGGTCATGTTGACGATTCTTGTGGATCATCTGAGTGCAGCTCCTGGTAGTGGGTCAGATAGGACACACCTGGGGAGAGGGGTCAATTTGAAATTCTGTGGTGCTTTTGAGTGGCGAGAGCCATAGAAGTTGGTAACCTTAGTAGGCTGAGTGAGAAGGAGAGAGAAGGCAGGCATGCGTCTCCCATCACACACACATTCCAGCTCCAGGAAATGAGAATAATTTAGGAAGAGGAACCTGTGAGGGAAACTGAGAAGGGGTGATCTGAGAAATGAAAAAGAAAACCCAAGGCAGAGTAGCATCATGAAAGCCAAGGAAGAAAAGACTTTCAAGGGCAGGAAGTGGTTAGTTGAGTCAGATATTTCAGTAGACAAATAAGATGAAGATTGGCAGGTGTCCATGGAGTCTGGCAAGTTGTTGGTGACCTTGGCAAGAGCAGTTTCAATAGACTGGTGGGAGAAAAGCCAAATTGCAGTGGAGTTAAGAAATGTGTGGGATTGAGGAAATCCATGAAGAACCCCCCTCCCAGCCCAAAAGAAATGTGGGCTACAGAAAAAAAGGAGTGAGAGGTAGGGAGGGAGAGAGCCCTCCTGGAAGGGCTTTGCTTTTATTGTTCATTTCTACATGGGAGTAGCTGGATCCATTGAGAAGTTATCCAGATCCCTGATGAATGGAAAAGTTGAAGGTATAGGAAGGAGGAAGTGGTAGAAGGAACACAACCCCTTAGGGGATGGGTAGCTTGAGCTTGACATGAACGTGCATCTCCTTCCCTAAGACAGACAGGAGGACAGTAAGGATGGGAAGTCTGTAGAGAAATTCTAGGGCATAATGATGAGGACAGGAAGTTGAGGGAGCTCCTGCCTTAGCATTTCTTTTCTCTGTGAAGTGAGAAGAATTAAAAAGCAGCTGTGCTTATTTACTGGAGCACCAAAGACCAATAACATTTATTCTATTAAAACCACTCATTTATTCATTTATCTAATATTTGTCTCACACCTATTATGCATTAGGCACTGTTCTGGGTGCTCGGAGTGTCAGTGATGAACAAATCAAGTCCCAGAGGAACCGGGTAATAACCTCATACACAAACAATCGGACGCAGTAATTGCAGACTGAAAGTTTTTTCTGGGGTTACACCTTTAGGGGAGGCCTCGTACTGATCACAGAGGGATCCAATTTCTGCCTTCAGAGAGTTGCACCAGTTGGAGGAGACAAATTCAATTCTCAAAGGTGCAGAAGAAGCAGTGATGGAATTTAATTTGGACACAGGCTCAGGATTAAGCTGGGAGGGAACTGGGTGGAGAAGTGAAAGTTGCACAGACACTGTTGTTTTACTCCACCGAGCTTTACTCATCACAGGCTGCTCCAGTGGGGCTGCCAGTCACTGCCCCCTGCTGCTTGAAGAGAGAAGTAGGTTCATGACTCAGGCCTTGCCATTCACAGCATCTCATTCCTCTGGCCACAGTGATTGGCCCAGGGATGGGCATGTGACTCAAGTGAGGCCAATCATCATCCTTCTCTGGAATTTTATAGTCACTATGAGAAAAAAGCTCTTTTCCCTGGGATCCCAGCAAGGTCCTCACTGGGCTGGAATGATGAAAGCTTGAGCTAGCTGTCTGTGGCCATGTTTCCACATCTCAATTGCCCTCTGCAAGGAGGAAGCGTGCTTATCATGGGAGAGACTGAGGCTTTGGGAGACTGGAGGACAAAAGAGAGAATGGAGAGAAGAAACACAAAGAGAGAGGGAGCCAGAAAGACATCTGATGGTGATACTGGTATCTCTGAAGCAGGTTCTATGGAGCTGACAGTTATGTGAATCAATAAATCTCTTCTTTTACACAAACTAATTTGAGCTGGGATTCTGTCCCTTATGACCAAGATCACGCTGACGAAAAGCACAAGGCCTTCCAGGATCTGAACAACTAGTATGAGCTAAAGTACAGAAGTAGGCCTGGAACATTCAGGACACCACCAGGGAGTAGTGGGCAGGCTCATGTGGCTGAAGAGCTGGGGTTTGTGGGAATGTGAAGAGAAGTGACTGGAAAGGAAGAGTAGGGCTAGATTATAGGGTTCCCTGATAGTTTTTCTAAGGGGTATATAGGGTGCCAAGTCAGGAGAGCCTACCAGTAGGAGGCCAGAGATGAGGCTTTAGAGCAAAGAGATTTCTGTAGTCTGACCTAAGGAATTGGTAGGAAAGGCAATGAGAAGTTGGATGGGGGAGAGATTTTGGAGGCAGGAGAGATGACCCCTGGTGTCTAGTTGAATGAACATGAGAAGGAGAGAGTATATCAGAGAACTCCTCCCCATTTTGAACCTGTGAGATGGGATTTAGTTATGCCATCAAGTTAGGAAACACAGGAGCAGGGAAGAGATAGCAGAGAGGATATGGCAGGTGAACCCATAAGCATGAATTTCAGGTCCTTACAGGGTAACAGGAAATGTTGAGTTGTTTGCTTGGGAGGTAGTTCTGGCATTTAGAAGAGAGATCTGGGCTAGAAGGAAAAGTGGGCTTAGCTGCCCTTGTGGTCGGGCCATGAGAGTGGATGTGGTGTCCCTGGGGTGAGCATACATATGGCCAGGAGAGGGAGGGCCCAGGGAAGGGGTGCACCATTGTGGCAGTGAGGAAGGGAACCTTCCTTCAGTAGACCCACAGGTAGCTCCAACTGGCAAAAGGAGCCAGAGAGCAGAGTAGCAGGAGGCAAACCCAGAGCGCCCTGCCACAGTGGATCCCCAGGAAGGGAATGTGCTTCAGGAATTCTGGGTGGCGAGCAGGGTTCTGTTTCATGGCATTGCCAAGTTAGATAGTACTGAGGAAAGACCATTGTATTTGAAGCTATTGCGGGCTTTTAAAAGTGCAGTTTCAGTGGAGGGAGAGGGATAAAAGCCAAACTCAAAAAATTTTTATGGTAGAAATAGGTCTGGACTGGGAGTCAAGAACCCAAGTTCTCATCCCAGCTCTGTTCCTGTTTAGCTTGATGGTCCCCAGGCGAGTTCCTTAACTTCCTTAGGACTTAGTATCCTCACATATAAAATTAGGAAACTGGATCGCGTGATCTATAAGCTTCTACTCAAGTCTTGAGGTCATAATTTATATCTTTCTCTCCAGCAAAACAGATGTTCTTGTGGCAAAGGAATTCCCCTCCTTCTCCCTTGGCCACCCCCAACTGACATAATAAATTATAAAAAAAATTAAGCTTTCAGAACTCTAGTGCTAATTGAGAAAGAAAACTGGGACATCAGCTCAGGGAATTGTGGACACCAGTGCATGTTGTGTCCATATGTACTCTCCACTGAGAATGTGGGGCCCTGCGATGTAGGAATTTGTCTTGTAATACTGTCAGAGTTATGAGACCTGGATGGTTTGACGCTGTTCCACAGGGAGAAGTGCTGAAGGTGGTTCCACAGTACAAAGACAAAACAACTCCTGGGGTCCCTCTCTGAATTCACGTGGAAAGAAAAAGGAAGGCTGTGAATCTGAGCTGGCTGTGTGCAGGAGCTCCAGCCAGGGCAGACAACAAGAGCTGGAGGGACCCATGCATTAGGAGATGGACAAGCCTGAGGGCACCAGTGGGCAAGGGCAGGAGAGGCACCCACTCTATCTCCCTGGTACTCTGTGGCCTCATTGGTGGGAGGACCTTGGGGAAGGGATGGTAGAATGGTGATGTGTGGAGAGCCTAGTTCTGAGCTGTGGCCATTCTTCCTACTCTTAATTCCCCATGTGCTATGGAAGGCCTGTTTCTTCTTTGAATCCTTTCCTTAGAGTTTCGACCACATGGCCCTTGCTATTCCCTGTCTTCTTTGGTGTGGGTTTGTTCATTCTGTGAAGGCCATTGGAAGACCAGCCATAGTTTGGCACTTTCTCAGTTTCTAGGAATAGATTCTTTACTAAGATAGACAAGCTCCCTGCCTCAAGGACCTTACAGTTTTAGAGAAGGAAGATGGTACAGGAATAATTGAAGGCAAAGGTCATTTCATATAGTCATGCGTTCTAAAGGAGGAAACTGGGATTAAATAATGGAGAGGGATTGGAGGACATGAGGGGTAAAAAAGCAGATCAGGAAAGATCTGAGGAAGAGGGAACAGCAGATCCAAAGGCTGTGGCACAGACATGAGCAGAAAGAAGGCCAGTGGAGCTCTAGACCACAGGGAGGGAAAAATAGCACACAATGAGGTTAAAGAGGCAGTTAGGGCCGGGCGTGGTGCCTCACACCTGTAATCCCAGCACTTTGGGAGGCTGAGGTGGGCGGATCACAAAGTCAGGAGATCCAGACCATCCTGGATAACACGGTGAAACCTCGTCTTTACAAAAAATACAAAACATTAGCTGGGCATGGTGGTGGGCGACTGTAGTCACAGCTACTCGGGAGGCTGAGGCAGGAGAATCACTTGAACCCGGTAGGCAGAGGTTGCAGTGAGCCGAGATCACGCCATTGCACTCCAGCCTGGGCGACAGCGTGAGACTCCATCTCAATTTAAAAAAAAAAAAAAAAAAAAAGAGGCAGTTAGGAGCCAATGTTCAAGGAAGGCCTGTTGGCTATGGAAGGACATTTGGGTTTCATTTTGAATGCCGTGGGAGATTGACAACTTGACCTGACTTATACATTAAAAGATACCTCTGCATCCTGGAAAAGGCAAAACCACAGGGATGGAAATTACATCAGTGGTTTCCAGGGAATTGGGTGTGGATGGAGCTTGCAAAGGGGCACAAGGGAACTTTTGTGGGTGATGTAAATATTTTCTCTCGTAATTGCGGTGATGGTTACACTACTGTGTATGTTTATCGAAAGTCATCAAACTGTATACCTAAAAAGGGTGAATTTTACTCTAAGTAAATTATACTTCAATAAACCTGACTTACAAAATGCATATTTTTTAATCAAAAAAAGAATTGCAGTAAGGCTTAACAGAATCCCTCTGGCCGTCCTGTGGAAGGTACATGGCAGGGAGCAAGTCTGGAAACAGGGACGGTTGCACAGTCCAAGCCATACGCCCCTTCAATGCTGTGCTTACAATTCAGCCTGTATTATTTGCTGATCCCAGTGGCTTCCTTACACCAGCTTATTGATGTGTGTTCCTAGTTTTCCTGTTTACCTAGCTTTTCCTTCAAAACTGGTTTGAAACCTCAGTGTGGATAGAAACCATCTGCTTCTTTTGTATGTGCCCATGGGAGATGGCTTATTACATATTACTCTCCTTACATTTAAGTAGTCTTTAACATTTGCAAGCAATTCATGATCTCCTTTGAGCCTTACAACATCAGGCTGCACATATGTTACCATGTTCCCATTTTACAGATGAAGAAACTGAGGCGAAAATAATTCAGTATAGCAGTGTGAAAGAAGCATGAACTTTGGAGATTTTGGCTTTGCCATTTGTTGGCTATCAGTGTGATTTGGGAAAATTATTCAGTCTCTCTGAACCTCAGTTTACTGATTGTTAAGAAAAGACCAAAAAAATAAATAAATAAACACACTGCAGATACACTGTGAGGAGTAAGTGAGATAACACAGCTAAAAGCAGGTAGCAGATAATTGAAATTCCCTAAATGGTAGCTATTTGTATCATTTTTGCTATCAGAGAAAACATGATTTATTTAAGGTGATGTGGCCAGTACGTGGTAGAACTAGAGCCTAGTTTTTCTGATTCTAGGTGTGTTTCTCTTTCCATCACACCACTCAGAACATTCTTAATTGTTATCAATTAATTGTTCCAGGGCTAACTACTTTTTACCAACTTGGATGCTTAAATACAATTGTTGATTATTCAGCAAATATTTATTGAGCACTCACCATATGTTCAACACTGTTGTTGACACAGGATATAATAGTAAGTCAAAATAGGCTCCACCTCTGCCCCTACAGGTAATAAAGCAGAATGGTGAGGGAGCACCTACCTCGGTGTGGGGTCTGGGAAGACTTCCTAGGGGAGGTAACATTGACACTGTCTTTAAAAGAAACATTTTTGTTGTGATGTAGATCAATATACATGCAAAATGTACATTAATCTTATATGTTTTACAGATTTTTAGAAAGCAAGCACTCAGGTAACCATCACTAGGTAAAAAAGTAGGACATTGCTAGTGCCCAAGAATGTCCCTAAATATCCCTTTTTGATCACAGCTCCCTGCCTCACTCCTTACTACCTTAACTTTCGTGGTAAGTTTCATGGGTCCTTGCCTTTCTTTAGAGTTTACCACCTACATATGCATCCTCTAATCATTTAGTCTAGTTTCTCCTGGTTTTGATATAATTGGAATCATGCTATTTGTATCTTTTCTTCAGTATTACATTCATAATATCCCAGTTGTATGTAGCTGGAGTTGATTTTCATTGCTATATAGTATTCTATGGTATTCATTTTATGAATATTTTTAATTTTCCTATGTAGCATTCATAAATATTAGTGAATATTCATGAATATGCTATATATTATTCTTCACCTCATTGCTATATAGTATTCTTTGTTACACACCAGCTGTGACTATACTGTAATTTATTTATCCATTCTACTGTTGATGTGGCATTTTATCATTTTGAGTTTGGAGCAGTTATAAAAGATGCTGCTATCAATGTGTGTGTGTGTGTGTGTGTGTGTGTGTGCGCGCGCGCGCACGTGTGTGTGTGTGTATTCTGGGGCACATGCATTTGTGAAGGGTTCTTTGAAGAGGAATTGCTGGGAATCTTCAACTGCATTAGATAATATACAGTGTTTTCCGAAGTGGTAATTCCATCTTTATATTCACGGTAGCAGAAAGAATTTCTGTTATTATAAATTCTTGCTGCCAATATTTGGTACTGTCCAATTTTTTCAATTTTACCAAACCAATAGGCAAGTAGTAGATCTCATTGTGGTTTTACTTTACATAGTCTAGATTGCTAAAGAGGTTGAACAGCTTTTCCTATATTTATTGGACATTTGGATTTCCTCTTTTGTGAGGTACCTGTTCTTTTGCCACTTTTTAAATTAGGTTGTAATTTTCTCATTAATTTGTAGGTGTTCTTTATGTGTTGTAAATACTAGTCTTTTTTGTTTTTTTGTTTTTTGTTTTCATTGCAAATATTACCTCCCATTCCCTGGCTTGTCTTTTCACTTTGTTAATGGTGTTTTATGCTAAACAGATATTTCTCTTTTTTAATGTAGTCATTCTTTCAGTCTCCCTCTTTTTGGTTAGTGTTTTTTTTGTGTGTGTCCTATTTAAGAAGAAGTCTTTCCTTATCTTGAAGCTCAAAGGCTACCCTCTATTTCCCGCCTCTTTAAAAAGCTTTGGAGATTTATTTTATTTTCTATTTAACTGTTTAATTTACTTGTAGTTGATTCTTGTGTATGATGTAAGTTGTTTTTTCTCTAATGGATACTCATTGGTTCCAGCTTTCTGTCACTGTTTCTGTGGGGCCACCACTGTCATAGGTTAAACATGTATGTGATAAGCATGCAGGGACCTGTTTCTTAGCTCATATAGCATCCCATTGGACTCTATTCTTATGACAGTGCCACACTGTCTTGATTATGATAGCTTTGTAACATGTCTTGATATTTGGTTTAGCAAATCCCACTCCCCTTGGTCTTCATGAGTGTCTTGGCTGTTCTCAGCTCTTTGTGCTTGCATGTAAATGTTAGAATCAGTTTTTGTGATGCATGCACACACACACATCCCTATTAGGATATTAGGATCTGTTGATTAGTATTTATTCGAATCCACTACTCTGAGTAGAATTGACATCTCTAAATCTTGAGTCTTCCTGATCCATGAGCATGATATGTTTCACCATTATTTATCATAATTTCTTTTAAGAAATATTTATAATTTTTCCCATGAAGAGCTCATGTACTTTTTGTTAGATTTATAACTAGATACTTAATGTTTACAATGGTCTTGTAATTGCTTCTTTTTTTTAAGAGCAGTTTTAGATTCACAGCAGAATTGAGAAAGGGGTACAGAAAATTCCCATACGTCCCTCCCCACACACATGCCCAGCCTCCCCCTTATCAGCAGTTCTCACCAGAGGGCACAGTTATTCCAGTTGATGAACCTATACTGGCGCATTATAATCACCCAAAGTTCATGGTTTACCTTAGGCTTTACTCTTGGTGGTGTACATTCTATGGGTTTGGACAAATATGTAATGACATGTATCCATCATTTTGGTATCATACAGAGTATTTTCACTGCCTTAAAAATCCTCTGTGCTCCACCTGTTCTTTGTTCTTCCCCCAACTCCTGGCTACCAGGAATGTTTTTACTGTCGCTATAGCTTTGCCTTTTCCAGAAATGTCACATAGTTGGAATCATACAGTTGGACTCAAAAGACTTCTAATATGTAGCCTTTTCAGATTGGCTTTTTCTCTTAGTAATATATATGTAAGGCCCCTCCATGTGTTTTCATGGCTTGACAACTTATTTTCTTTTAGCACTGAATAATATTCCACTGTCTGGATATACCACAGTTGTTTATCCATGCACCTACTGGAGAACATCTTGGTTGCTTCCAAGTTTTGGGAATTATGAATAAACCTGCTGTAAACATTCACGTGCAGGTTTTTGTGTGGACATAAGTTTTTAAATCCTTTGGGTAAATACCAAGGAGCACAATTGCTGGATTGTGTGGTAAGAACAGGTTTAGTTTTGTAGGAAACTGCCAAATTGTCTTCCAAAATATATAGATATATCATCTTGCATTTCTACCAGCAACAAATGCGAGTTCCTGTTGTCTGCAACGTCACCAGCATTTGGTGTTGTCCGTTTTTGGATTTTGTCCATTCTAATATGTATGTTGTGGTATCTCGTTGTTAGAGAAATTTGGATTTCTCTAATGATAAATGATGCGGAGCATCTTTTCATATGCTTATTTGCCATCTGTATATCTCCTTTGGTGAGGTGTCTGTTAAGGGCTTTGGCCCACTTTTTAATTGGGTCATTTGTGTTCTTATTGTTGAATTTTAAGAGTTCTTTCTATATTTTGGATAACAGCCTTTTATCTGGTCTTTTGCAAATATTTTCTCCTAACCTGTGGTTTGTCTTCTCAGTCTCTGGTTAATTGCTTCATTTTTTGAATTGCATTTTGTATCTGTTTCTGGTATATAGAAATACAGTTGACTTTTGTGTATTGATTTTTAAATTGATCCACCTTAATTGTTGTATAATTCTAATAGTTAATTTGTAGATTCTAAGGCCCAGAGAGGGGAGTGATCTGACTAGGTTCCTATGGCTAGCTAGTAGCAGAGCAAGCATGAATGTGGTCCTATTTCTGCTGACTTCCAAGGAGAGAATATTCAGGAAGGGTTAGGGAAAGCCAGGTGGGGAGTAGGAAATAACATTTATTGAACACCTGTTATTTACAATGCTTAATATGCAGATCAGCTTAACTCTCATTGGAGGCAGATTATTGATAACCCCTTTTTATAGATGAGGAAAGTAAGATTCAGAGAGATGATGAAATAAACGTGTTCAGGCACATCACTGAAAGAACAGTCTACGGTTGGAGGAGTGCTGTTGCTCTATCAAGCATACACCAGACTACATGCCTTCTGCATTTGAGCATAGACACCCCCAGAACTCCCTGGGCCTCCTACCTCCAGCTATGCCGTCCTCCAGGGTCCCCTCCCAGCCCAGCTCTGGGGCTGCCTCTATTAAGGCTCTGCTAGCATCTCTAGACTTGTGCAGGCCTGGTTACTGTCAACTCTTGGGTTGAGTTTCTGCCCAAAGTTCTGAGGTCAGTCTCCACCCCTGCCCTTCTACATAGTTCCCTCCCAACCAAGGAAATGAGTTCACAACTTGTTGAGTTCTAGGAACCAAATTAGGAGTTGCTCTGGGCATCTTGTTTCAGTCGCGACTTGAAAATGCGGTTGAGGTTTTATGACTGCTTTGTTATACAGTGGCCTAGAGAGAATTTATGGTCGCAGTGCTTCCCAGCACCCCCTCCCGCTTCTCGTTGATTGTCCAGAGCTGGCTGCATACAAGGAGAGGGTTTGCTTCTGCTGGCTGTGCAAAGGCATGGGGAAATGCTCTGTGTGTGAACACAGCCCAGCAGTGCTCTATTCAGCGTGACAACTTCCTACTTTGGAACACATGGCTCTTCACAGGGTGACTGTAAATTATGCAACTCCAGAGTCAAAGAATGAGGAATAATGGGGGAAAGGAAGGGACAAACTGCAAACTTCAGCCTGGATCTGAAATGTGAGTGTGGAGACCCAGGCTGCTTGGCAATTGATGGGAGGAGAGTCTTCAACGACTGAGAAAAACCAGGAAGTCCTGTCGGGACTACTTGTGAGAGTGGCTTTTACTGTTTAAAAAATGTAAATGTTCTTTTCAAACTCTGTTTATCAATTCAGGGAGAGTTTTAGAAACTTGGAGGGACATTTACAAAAGAAAGTAGTCACATGCGTTACCAAAAGTAATTGAATGCCATACATGGTATGTAACCTTTGTCCCGATGGCTCCAACTCGTCCTTTTTTATTATTGCTTCATGCTAAAAATTGGTGCTCCTAAGGGCAATTGTACAGATTCTCACCTTCTCCTCCACCCGCAATGGTCCTGGAATGCAGTGAACTCTGCTTCGATAAGCTTTGTGGAATGTTCCTGTCTCTTGGCTGACTGTCATCTCTCATGACTTGCTGCTTTCAGTGGTCCCACCTCAAGCATTATTCCCCTTCTCTTGTTCTGCTCTGAATCTGCGATGGCCCAGAAAACTAAACGACCAGATTTGTCACAATAGTGTGTAGAGCAAGAATGAATAGGATATAATTGAGGACCTGAGGAACTCTTCTAGAAGTAGAGTGTTTGTGCTTTAGTGCTTGGACTTGTCTGCATTTCTGCCTATCTATGACACAGGATTAAGTATGTAAAAATGAATTGGCAGTTACTATACAGATGTAAGTGATGGTGACAAGGTCGCTGTTGTGCTATGTGGGTGCTCAGAGTTCTTCATTGTGCTTGTCCTTCCTGGCTCCTGGTAGGGTTTCGATTCACAGAAATTACTGGACAGGTAGCTTCCAGATAAGAGTGATGAACTATCATTTCTGACAAAAGATGTTGGACAGGCTGTGGCAGCAAGGAGGTGATCAGAAGACTCCCTAGAGCACAGGGGATCTGGCAGGCTTTTTCTATAAAATGACATGGATACACACAGGGTCAGGCTGCCTGTGGGCAGAGACGTCCCCAGGAGCCCTGCCCGGTGGCCAGCACCACGGACATCTGCTCACCTGTGGCAGAACTCGGAGTCTCACAGCTAAGCCAGGCCAGACCCAGTTGCTACTTTTTGGTCAAGACCCGCTCTAGGAATTCTTCCAGGGAAGAGGGAATGTGAATTTGTCTGTTTTCAGATATGTGTAGCCTTTACACAAAAGTGTTTGAAATTATTTGGTTAAAATGCTTTCCATCGAGGTTATTCTTTCTTTCTTCTTTTTTTTTTCCCACTCTGCAGATATCCATTGAGCTTCTACTCTGTACCGAGCACCATCTTAAGTGTTGTAACTGAGCAAGACACACAAAATCTCTGCCCTCCTGGAGTGTTCTGACATTCTTGTTAGGGGAGACAGGCAATAAATAAGGAAAATACATAGTAGTATTATACATCAGCTGGTGACAAGTGCTATGGAGAAGAATAAAGCAGGCAAGGGGCATGAGCGGGAGGGAATGTTAGTTTTGGTTTTGGGGGTGTTTTTCTGAGATGGGATGGCGGAGGATGAGTCTTGCCATGTTGTCAAGGCTGGTTTTGAACTCCTGAGCTTAAGTGATCCTCCCAAGTGGCTGAGATTACAGGTGCACACCACCATGCATGCCTTGATATTACAGTTTTTTAAGTCGTCAGGGAGGGCCATACTAGAAGATGAAATTGGAGAAAAGCCTTGATGGAGGTGAAGGAGCCAGCCATGTGCACTTGGGGGAAGAGTGCTCCAGGCAGCCAGAAATAGACAGTACAGAGGCTCCAAGTCCCGAGTCTGCCCGTGTGCAAACCACAAGGAGGTTTATATGTCTGGAGTCACAAAAAAAAACTGGAACAATGGGTGCCCTCATGGAGTCAGTAGTTTCTCTGGGTGTGGTCTCACTAAAGACAGGGGCGGGAAAGAAATCCCCATCACAGACTCGTGTAGACCTGTGACTTGTGGGCATTCAGACTGTGTTATTCCGCTGCCAGGCCTAGGGCTTGGGGGTGGTGTCCTGTGGATGTGTGTGTGTATCCTGACAAAGGAGGGACATGGAAGGGAAGGATCCCTTCCATGAATGAAGGGGGTTGACTCTGGCATAATCTAGGAAGAATTCTAGGAAGACTCAGTTATTTCTGGTTGGTTTACAGGAGACAAACACTGAACATGTTGGGCTGCCTTGCCTTGCTGGTCTCCTAGTGGAGGAGGCTCTCATTGCTGGGGCTTCCCGTTGGCCCTAGCTCTGCATCTGCTCTCCCATATCAGCATTACCAGACCATGAGCACTGAGGCTGTCACAGGACAAGGAGCCTGGCCCCAGACCTCATTCAGGGCTGCTGACCCAGCTTTGGGCTCCACCGTAGACGTGCTCAGTAAGCAAGCCTGGGGTCTAGGGGCAGACACCTGGGAGCAGAGTCACAGGGGCAGGTTTCCCCAAGTGTAGCCTGAAAGTTTAGTGGTATACAAATACACACTTTATTTTAATGTGTTTTAGGACAAAAGGTTCCTAACACATCAAAACCATAGTTTTACAGATAATTATTGCTTAGGATGAAGTTAAAGTAAACAGGACGTTTTTAAAAAGACACTAAAAATCATGTGGGTGGCACAAAAATCCTATCTAAGTAGTGCTAACCTCAAGTCTGCCCTCAGCATGGGAGTACCAATTTCTGTCTAGGGGTTCCCATCTCTTAGGGATGAGAATGCCTTGGAAGAAGTCCTCCTCTGCCATCCTGGGAACACAGTAGCTGTCCCTCTGTCCCAACCCCAAGCCTGTGAGCTGTCCACAATTCTCACTTCTTCCCAACACTTGCGTACCGGGTGTTTCTGTCCCATGGCCTGTGCCTGGCCTGGGCCCCCTCACTGCCATCACCTCCCAGCCTTCCTCTGGGTCCGGTGCATAAAGTCTCCTCAGCTGCCTTCTAGAAATGCTGTTTCTGCCCTTCACTGCCATGCTAAGTCACCCTCTGCATTGGGTCTGGGCATTGGCTTGGCTTGGAGGACATACCATGGTGTAGTGCACCACACTGATCCTGAGTTGGCTCCCCCTACTACAGAACGCCTTCTCCCTGGCACCCACCACCTCCTGCCTCCATACCCATAGCTGGTGGCTGCCAAAGCATGCTTCCTCCTCTTTCTCTGTAGATCTGGCCTCCAAGGGCCGCTCAAGTCTCATCTGGTCCATGGGGTGTTCCTCTGGAAGCTGAACCACACTGGTCTCTCCAGTTCTGTAATTCTTTTACACAGGATGTCTGTACCCCACCATTAAGAGTTTTTATATGCCCTCAAGGTCCCATAGAGATGACTTCTTTGTCTATCTGAGTTTCGTAGACACACGAGCAAACACACACATGCACTACTACCAGAACAGAATAGTCTTGCTCACCATGAGCCTGACACAGAGCTCTGTGCGGGAGCCAATTGAAGAGAAGCGGTTTCAGCACAATGAAGGGTACCAGCCTGGCTTGAATCCTGGCAGTGCTACCTTCTAGTTTTGTGGCCTTGGGCAACTAGGTTTGAGGATGATATGAAACAGTGTAGAAATTACTGAGCCCAGTACTAGGAACATAATAAGATAATTGTGGTTGTTATTGTTCACTAATTGGCAAACATTTGCTATATGTACGTTTGGTTCCTTGTCTAGGCTGTAAACCTCCTGTGGATTCTTGGGGCACAGTGAATATTCAGGGTACATTTACATAATAAGTAGAGTGGTCCATTTACATTGCTGTGGGTTCTCTCATAAATTGGCTGTTAGGTGTAGAAGTTTTTGCAAGCTTATATGAAACTTCAGTATACATACATGATATGTATCATTTGTGTGTTTGGTTCACAGTGGGTTAAGAATTGTTGAGCTTATCAAACCACAGTTCTGTATTGAGTACTTACTGTATACAGGTGAGAGGGAAGTGTATACCCCCACTCTCTTCCTGATGAGAAGACTGCTGTCTCTGACTGTCCCATCTCCTTTCTCCACAGCTTGGATGTGTACCTCTGCTCCCTATCTCTACAGATCTTGGAGTTTTTAGCTCTCCAGCAGGTGCTAGGACCAGGTTTCAGCAATAGAGGAGTGGGTGGCAGGGTTGTAGTGCTAAGTGCACCATTCTTTACACTTATTTCTACTGCTAGGAGCAAAAAAATCCAAAGGAAACATCATCTTGGTTTAGGCAGTGGTTACACAGGTGACACAGCTATAAAAATCCACTAAAATGTACATTTAAGATGTGTATGTTTTACTATAGGTAAATAATATCTCCATTTTTTAAAAGGTGATCATAATGCTTTTTGTTAAGCAAAGGAAGTCCCAGGGAATTAAGCATTGCCCCTCTGAGTTCACCAGCCTCAATTCCACTGGGAGGGCCACTCAGCCGGGGGAGGTATTTGAACCCTTAAAAGTCAAGGATACACCCCAGGCAGCCTAGTTTTCCCTACTCAACTCTTAGGCATTGGCCATCCATGAACCTTCTTCATTCTTCACATTTGCACCAGGGAAGAGATGCCCCAGCACCTGCTTCAGGCCACAGCTCTTTCTTTGGCACAAACCTGCCTGCCATTGTGAATCATTAAGTGTTCAAGTCTTGTCTCTGCCACCTTGGGGTTTTTTACCCACTATAAAATGGCGATAAGACCTGATGTGGCTGTTAGGAGTATCAAATGATATAATGGATGTGAAAGTCTCACAGGACTGTAAAATATAAGCTGTCAACAAAGTGCACCTCCAAGCCCAGCTTATTTCCACAGTATTCAAGAGCCACAAGGTTTGGAAGAGTAGTAAAGTCTAGTGGTTCAGCAGGTAGGCTCTGGAGGCAGACAGCCTGAGTTCATTGGTCCTGGCCCTGCCACTTAACAGCTGTGGGACCTCAGCCAAGTGCTTATCCCCTTGGTGCCTCAGTTTCTTACATTGTCAAATGGGAATAATGATAGCACTTACCCACAGGATTGTAGTAAGGATTAGATGAGTTAATCCAGATAAAGCACTTGGCTTAGGGCTCAGCTATGCAGCTAATATTGCTGGGAGCAAGGGTCTCTGCTGAGCCTTGAGAGAGGACATCTTTATTGGGCAGAAACAGACAAAAACTGAACAGATCTCATTTGGATATAATGCTTCATGTCCTGGCTATATTTTCCATAATTTGGAGCTCAAGATTGATTGGTAAGTTTTTTCATGCTGAAACCATTCATCTTTCGAGTTTTCCTAATAAATAAAGGTCCCTGTGACATGTTCTTGCCTTCAGAGTTTTGCTGCACCATCTATCGTGAGCCCTCTGATTTACAATTCAGCAAAAAAGTGACAGACTGGGTATTCTTGTTCAATCCAAGGTGATTGCTGCATAGTCATTTTTAATAAGACATCAGATTTAGCTAAACGCTTGCAGTGAGGTATTGTGCATATTAAATTCAGGATGCTGGTTATACGGGCTGAGGCTCTGCATCTTTCTATTGTGAGTTGTGAGTTTAAAAATCACATAAAACTGACATAGTGGATTCTTTGCTGCCTAAGGGGGCAAGAGACCCTTGTTATTAGAGTCAAGTGTTGACTCTTTCTCCATCTAGTGAATAAAGTAAGTGAAGTGAAGTATTGAATGAGTGTTTGTGAGGCCCTGGGTAAGGGGGTTACATTTGTTGAAGGGCTGGTGAGTGACAGGTGTTTTAGATGTAAGATTATTTAATCATCAGGCATTATAACATGAGTTAGGTATTATGACTCCCTGTCTACAGATGGGAAAACTAAAACTAGAGAGGTTAAGTCAGGTGTCCAAGTTCACTCTCTTAGGGTTGAGCCAGGATGTGATCCTGAGAGCTTTCCTAAAGCCCCATATTGCACTATTTTAGGGTTACCATTAACAGTATGTTATGTATGAACGATCTTATTCCTGAGTAGCTTAAAATCAAATAGGAGAGACAAAACATGTAAGCAAATTAACAGCAATGCATGGTAAAGTCCCATAAGGGACAGAGAATGTGCTGTGTATGTTCCTAGGAGGAAAGAGGCATTTGTTCAGATGGAGGCAAGGAAGATGCCAAACAACTCACCATCTGAAATTCATTTTGTTGGGCCTAGCATTTTTATCCTAATGTCCAAGTATGTATTTCTGATATTCTAAGAATTGCCAAAAATAATTATGAAGCTGTGCCTAGCCCCAGGTGGGCGAGAGATCCTCTCAAATGTCCCACTGTAGCATGTCTCTTTATTTCCTTTCTGTCCTTTGCTGAAAATGAAAAATGTCCCATTGTACTGAGTAGAGCTGCTCTCTCCCTAAGCTCAATGGCCATCTGGCTCACACCTTCCTGAACAAAGAGGTGAGTTGTATCTGGGCCTCCACTGCCTTGTGTAGTAGTTGAGGACAGACCATCACCCACCAGTCTTTTGGTTCTTGCAGGGATGTTGAGGTGACAGTATCGGTGGAGAAAACCCAAGTGGAGCACACGTGCCCTGCTGCAGCAGGCTCGGCAGGAGAGATTTTCGGCAGATAAAATGAGAGATGACGAGACCTGGTGAACTTGGGGCCCAACTATACCATCACCGTGATACTTGGCTCGGTGGGCCACCAGCACTTGAGCAGGGCATGTACTCTGCCCCTGTGAGAGCTTGACAGCAACCCGCTGCCCAGTACTTCCTGCCTGGTGTGACCCTGCCTGCCCCCACCCAGCTTCTTCCCTTGCCCATTGCCATGTCTCTCTCTATGCTGGAACCACACTGGTCTTCCATCCGTGTTTGTAAGATTTTGTGTGTGATCTCTCACTCATCTCCAGGCCTTTGTCCATGGTGTGCCCTATTCCTGGAGGCATCTTCACCCTGCTTTTTGCTTGGCCAAAGGCTACTCACAGCCCATGCCTCAGCATAGATGTCACCTCACGGAAGCCTTCTTTGAACCCATAGACCGCTGGTGTTTCAATTGCACATTGAACAGACCGCCCCTCACTTTACACTGCTCCTTCTATTATCTTTTCATTGTGGGCATGCACCCACACATTTTTTAAAATGTGAAACACACCACTTTAGGGGAATATGCTCAGTTGGAGCTGTTCTTGCCCTCACCACACCCACCCCCCAACCCAGCTGCTCTTCTGAGTTGGCCCATTGTGGAAAGAAGCCATTGCACCCTAGGAATATCATGGGGCATGACCACCTAATGTCAAGGACACGTGCCAACGGACATGTTAGTGCACCCCGGGAGTGTACTGGTGCCCAATGACCATACCTTTTCCATCCCACTGGGTCTTGTTTGAAACCACCACATTGGGTTTAGGTCTGCTATTGTTAACCCTTCCTATTGCCCTGCCTTCTTGGAGCTCCAAAGACCTTCTGGCAGTGAGTTCTCACCTAGCCCTCCCCTCTCTGGCAAGACCCTAGGTCAGGGAGGAAGGTCCTGTGTGGCAAGAAAGCCTGTCAGGCTTGGGAAGTCAAGGCACCCCATTGCATCTCTTCTCCTGCTTACCATTCTCACAGCAGAAAGCTTCTTGGGGGAGTCCTTAGTTTGTCAGCTCATCATGACTGTATGTCCTCCAGAAAAACCAGGGTTTTTAAAAGAGTTTTTTTTCTTTGGTATCGGATATTAGGAAATGTATCCTTCACCTACCCTCTGCCCCTTCTCCCAGAAAAAGAGACTAATGCACAGAGTGGAACTTTAGATTTTCTTAAGGTGTACAGCAAACCAGAGGTCAAGACTTGAACCCACATCTTTTGACCCTTGATACAGGCCCTGTCCATTGTCCCATTCCACTTTTTGTGTGGCTCCTTCATGGCTCTGACCTCCCCCATTCTCGGGAAGAAGCCTGAAACCCCCGGCCTGCAAAATAGCCCTTGAGAGAGAAGCATCTGGAAGTGTGTGCTAAAGCTCCCAGAGCAATGGGGGGATTCTGCCACATGGCTGCTGTCAGTAGGGTAAGGTTCTGGACTCTCTAAAGTCTGAGAATTTGAATTCCTAGAACTAGAGAAGGCCCATGTCAGTTCAAAAGTCAGAGCAGAGGAAAATTAGGAATCTTGTTTTTAATGCAGAGGAACAAAAGGAGTGGAACCATAGCCCCAGAAATGTCAACAGAAAGGGCAGAGGTGAAGGTGGCCCCTGACAAAACTTCTCCATACCTATTATTTTTGTAAAATCTCCCCATAGCTCTTTGGACAGCCATGTGAACAGATATCTTTGGCCTCTTTTTGCAGGTAAAGAATCTGAGGTTGGAGGCAGGCTGGGACAAGGCTCCTGAGTCCTAGCCTGGGGGTCTGCCATCATACCTACCTGCTTACAAAAAAATCACCTCTATATCCTACATATACCCTTTCCTCCCACGTATGCTGTTTCCTCCCCTCTGAAAAAAAGTACCTCAGAATGTGCTTTCAGAGATCATTCTTTCAAAAATTGTTCACTAGAGCCTACTGTGGCCAGGTTCCCTGGTAAGTCCAGGCTTCCAGTATAAAATGACATATGGACTTTCTCCTGCAAGCATTCACAGCATTCTGGAGAAGTTTGGGGTCCAAAACTGAGGTTCTTAATGTCTTTTGGGTCACAAACCCCTATGAGAAACTGATGGAAACTATGAAGAATTTCCTTAGAAAAATGCTCCTGCATTTTTTAATTTAAAAAACAAATGTTTGCGTATGGGGGTTGCTGTGGTTTGAATGTGCGTCCCCTACAAAATTCATGTAGAAACTTAATCTCTAATGCAACAGTATTTAGAGGTGAGGCCTTTAGGAGGTGCTTAGGTCACAAGGGTTCCACCCTCGTGGATGGGATTAGCGTGGGTTTTTTGTTGTTGTTGTTGTTGTTGTTGTTTGAGACAGAGTCTCACCCTGTCACCCAGGCTGGAGTGCAGTGGCACAATCTTGGCTCACTGCAACCTCTGCTGCCCGGGTTCAAGCAATTCTTCTGCCTCAGCCACCTGAGTACCTGGGATTACAGGTGCCTGCCACCGCGACCTGCTGATTTTTGTAGTTTTAGTAGAGACAGGGTTTCACCATCTTGGCCAGGCTGGTCTTGAACTCCTGACCTCGTGATCCACCTGCCTTGGCCTCCCAAAGTGCTGGGATTACAGGCATGAGCCACTGCACCCAGCCTTGGATTAGCGTTTTAATAAAAGAGCTCAAGGGGGCAAGTTCACCCCTTCCATGCCCTTTTGCCCTTCTACCTTCTGCCATGGGAGGATGCTTCAAGAAGGCCCCACTAGACACTGAATGCCAGTGCCTCAACGTTGGACTCCCCAACCTCTACAACTGCGAGAAAATAAGTCTCTCTTCTTTATAAATGCCTAATCTCAGGTATTTTTTTTATAGCAGCATGGACAGACTATGACAGGGGTTAGCAGTCTCCCAGAGGCAGTCTGGGGACCCACCACACCCTGCCTCAAGTGTTCACCGATTTCAGATGAAGAAGTCATGGGGCCAGGTGCAGTGGTTCAAGCCTGTAATACCAACACTTTGGGAAGCCAAAGTGGGTGGATCCCTTGAGGTCAGGAGTTCATGACCAGCCTGGCCAACATGGTGAAACCCCATCTCTACTAAAAATACAAAAATTAGCTGGGTGTGGTGGTGTACACTTGTAATCCCAGCTACTCAGGAGGCTGAGGCAGGAGAATCGCTTGAACCCAGGAGGCAGAGGTTGCAGTGAGCCGAGATCGCGCCACTGCACTCTGCAGCCTGGGTGACAAAAGGAGACTGCATCTCAAAAAAAAAAAAAAAAAAAAAAACATGGGACCAGATGATGCAGATGATGAAATTATAGTCTTGTTCTTGAGAACAGTTGTTAATTCTCCAAAGGAAGCTTGTACCACGGGGTACAAGGATAAAAGCATGGGTATGATTTTTCTGGTCATCGTCATCATTGTTTCAGGAGTCAAAGTTGTACACATGTCAATGTCCTGTGGTCTTTGATTTTTTCCCAGGTTGGAGGGGAAACCAAGGCAGGAGGGGTAGCCAGCACCAGAGCCAGTAATGGTGTCTGGAGAGAATGTAGCCATCCAACCCCAGTGCTCTGCTTCTATGCAGGGATGGCAAGAGGCTAGGTGGGATGTTGAGGGAAACTTAGGAAAAGAGCTGGAAGTCAAGCACAGAAGTTTTGCAATGGAGTTTACAAGAGTTTTTAAGATAACTCAACTTTGAGATGAACAGGAGATTGAGAAAGCCTTTATAAGGTCTTCCTAAGTGATGCTGACAGCTAAGAGTGGCATGCCCCTGAGAGTCTATGATTATCTCGCAGGAGAGATCTTTATGGGAGCCTTATTAAGAACAGAGCATGTCAGTGGGAGGGAGGGAGGGAGCAGCAGCGTGTTCACAGCTCTGGAGGGCAAGTGAGGCAGCCTCCTTGATTTGCAAAGTGCTTTGCAGTCCTTTTTCATTATTTCTGCAACAGACCCATGAGATGGGTAGAGAACCACCCTGCTCCCCACAAATTGTAGAACACTAGGAGGTAGTGGGCTGTCCATCTAAAGGTGTCCTTATAATAACTGGATGGTCCCTGGGTTTGCCCCTCTACAACCAACATGATGTGATAACCTAGATTAGAATGCCTCCCCACTCCCCAGACCTTGGAGTCTTGTGATTGCTTGTATCAGTGGCCTCTTCAGAACAAAAGCATACAAGCTTGTCCTTCTATGAGATTGTAACCCCTCAAGCATGCTCACTAGTTGGAGGAAATTCTGACAGCCCTACTCCAGGCTTGAGGCTCGCCCTGGAGCCTGGTAACTTGAGCCTCCATCGTAGGTGTGTGTGAGAAAGGAAATGCAGAAATGGAGTGAGCCGAGGAAAAACCCAGGGGCGACAGATCCTCGGAGAGCATTTCATCCAGTCCTTTCCCTTGACACGTGGGAGAGCAATGTGACACGGCTTTGCTGCTAGATGGTGAAGACTGGCGATGAGGTGATAATGATAGCTAGCATGTTTTGAGTGCCATGTCCCAGGCATGGTGCCTGATATCACCTGTGCACCCTGCGAGATGAGCTTTGCAGCGTGGTTGAGTATCTGTGTTATATACAGAGACCCTGGTGCTAGAGCCCCAGCACCCAGCTCCAGCACCTTCTGGGTGTATAACTGGGTTTCTTATTGTGGCTGTTTCAATTGGCCACAGATTTTGTGGTTTAAAACAATAAGATGTATTGTTTTACAGTTCTATTGGTCAGAAGCCCCATTCAAGTTCACCAGCCTAAAATCAAGGTGTCAGCAGGCTGTGTTCCCTTCTGGGGCTTCTAGGGGGGAGAATCCATTCCTTGCTCTTGGAGATTTTGGCAGAATTCAATGCCTGCCGTTATAAGAGCCCCCTTTTCATCCTGGCTGGAAACCGAGGGCTGTTCCCAGGTTCTAGAGGTGGCTGCCACATATCTTGGCAGAGGCCCCTGCTTTCCTCTATCTTAAAAGCCAGCAGTGGCAAGTTGAGTTTTTCTCAGGCACATCTGACTCTTCCTCCATTGTTATATCTCTCTCTCTTTCTCTGATCCAGCCAGGAAAGGTTCTCTGCTTTTAAGGACTCATGTGATTAGATTGGACCTACCCGGATAATCCAGGATAATCTCCACATCTCATAACCTTAATGGCATCTGCAAAGTCCCTTTGGCCCTGTAAAGTTCCAGGGATTAGGATGTGGACCTCTTTGTTGGGAGAGGGGGCATTATTCTGCTCATCACAGTGACCTAGGGAAATTTGCTTGACTTCTTGGTTTAAGTGGGAAAGATGATGGTACCCACCTTTGGGTTATGAGGATGGGATGTGGAACCCCTCATAGCACCTGGAATGTTGGTAAATACTTAGTTGGTGTTAGCTGTGAGGGTTGTTATCAAACCTGTTTTACGGTTGAGGACACTGAGATTTAAGACTTTGAGTAACTCACCTGAAGAACAAGATTTAAACTCCTTGCGAGAAAGGACAAACTGCACTGTATTCATCTCTTTCATCCCCCACAGGGCTGGCCCACAAAAGATGTTCAGTAAATGGATGTTGAATGAATGAGGGGAACCAGAAAGAGTAAATGACTTGTCTGAGTGCTGTTAGAGAAGGTCAGAGATGAAGGGACTCTCAGAAGAGGTCAAGTTCAAGCCTTTCATCTTATACCTGGGAATCTGAGGCTCAGTGGGGAAGCGGGGCCTGCCTCAGAAGATGGGCAGTGCAGAGCCCCAGGATGTGGCCAGTGCCTGTCTGGCCAGTACGTCTTCCTCTGGACCAGGCCGTATTCATTTCCCTGGAGGTCTCTAGATCCTGTGGTCTAAGCCAAGCCAGAAGCTGGTCCAGTGGGATAGAAGTATTGATTCTGGCCTGGCCCCTGGTACAGCGTCAGGCAGAGGAGCTCAGTAGAAGAGTGAGAGGTGAGAGTCCTGCCTTTCTTCCTGCAGTGGCCTTTGGAGAAGCCTATCTGAAGCTTGTTCTCAGGCTTCTCTAGACCTCCTTAGGCTGCTACCCGGTAGGATAGCAGCCAGATAGATGCCCATGGCCCACTCATGCCCATGTTAATACCTTCTGCTCTGACCTAAGGCTGCATGGCATAGATGGGGGACTGGGGTTTTATTTTTATTTATTTATTTTGAGGCAGAGTCTCACTCTGTCACCCAGGCTGGAGTGCAATGTTGTGATCTCAGCTCACTGCAGCTTTGCCTCCCAGGTTCAAGCAATTCTTGTGCCTCTGTCAGCCTCCCAAGTAGCTGTGACTACAGCGTGCATCACCACGTCTGGCTAATTTTTTGTATTTTTAGTAGAGATGGGGTTTCACCATGTTAGCCAGGCTAGTCTCGAACTCCTGACCTCAAGTGATCCACCAAAGTGTTGGGATTACAGGCACGAGCCACCGTGCCCGGCCCAGGACTTGGGTTTTAGTCTGCCCATTTACACTTACGGCTTTGTGGTATTTAGGGCATTTGGCTCCTTGGGACTAATTTCATCTGTAGCCCATCTGGACACTTATAAGGTCTCAAACAATCCTCGTTTCAGGTGCCCTTTAGAGGATGGTTCAAAAACTTTCACATCAGCCTCAGGGACAGAGCTGTGCTGTCATTCCAAGGGCTTCTGGCTCCACTGAGGCTGAACACAACTTGGCAGCCAGTGAAATCTTTCTGGACAGCTGATAGTGTCCCCCATCTCCATGGGAGCCAGCTAAGGTAGGACAGGGTGCTAACCAGTAACTTTGCTGTGCTAGGCTGCCCCTGACACAAGGCAGCCACAGGAAAAGCCATTATATCTCTGTAGAGCAGGATGTGGCATTTATGCTGTCTCATTGGAATCAGGGCTTCGTTGTCTGTTTGTTTGAGGAGGATTGAGCAAAATCTGGATTGGTTTTCCTAGGCAAGAAATGCCAAGTGTCATGATGTCAGGGTTACCAGGTAACTGAGTAGAGGAATGGAATATATGGGTGGTGCCTGGAAAGGGGAGCTAATACGTGTTCCTACTACATACCAGCTCCAGGCTTGGCACTTTTGTGCATTGCTTGCCATGGTTTACTGCAGGTATGACTTGCCCAGTTTTACAGAAGAGAAAATGGAGGTTGGGAGGTGGTGACTCTCCCTGATCACCCAGAGGGAACTAGCAGAAATTGTTTGGGCTCTAGCTAGTTAAATATGAGCTTAGTTCAGTTGCCAAGTCAACATCTGTGTGTGTGCACTCTGTTGAGATCTGATGGGGCTGGAGCCATCTTCTCTGCCTTCTAATGGGAGGGTGGAGTTCATTCTGGTGGATAGGGAATCAATAAAACAGGGGTATAAAAATGATAGCCCCATCCATTAGTAAGACAGTAAGCATTTATTGAGTGTCTTCTGTGTGCTCTGTTCTAGTCACTGGGGACATACCTCATTCAGGGAGCTGCCATTCTAGTTTCATGAAGACGGAGAAACACACAAAGTTAACTAAATGAGATCGTTGCCAGCACTGAGTGCCATGAAGAATGTGATAGAGGATAGTTGAGGAGCTCCTTTAGCTAAAGTAGGCAGGGAGAGCTTCCTGAAGGAATGAAATCTCAGCCAGGATGCAAATGATGAGAATGGGGCAGCCATGGAAAGGTGTGGGGAAAAAGCTTTCCAAGCAGAAGGAACAGGAGTACAAAGACAGTACAAAGACAGAGCCAGTGGTGAGCCTGAGTGTGCAGGGAAGCCATTGGAAGGAGTTAATTAGGAGAGAGATGATCTGACTTCTACTTTGAGTTTGCTGTGGCTGCTGTGTGGAGGACGGGCTGTGGAGGGGCAAGAGAGGGAGCAGGGAGACCAAGGAGGGGGCATCATAGCCTTTCAGTTGGGTGAAAGATGGTGGTAACTGGGACCAAGTTTGTGGCAGTAGACAGTGAGAAATTATTAGAATCAGGCAGTATTTTAGAGTTAGAGTCAATAGGGCCTACTTATGATTAGGATAGTGGTGTGCTGGTAAACCAGCCAAGGGTGGGAGGGAGGCCCTTGTTGGTAGAGCTTGCCAGTTTCTGTGGTGTAATATTCCCACCACAGCTGGTTTCAAGCTACCCATCTGGCCAGTGAGTGATGCAACGTTAGCTCTTGTGAGCCAGCACAACTCACTCCAGCACACCACTGGGTCAGGCCATGGAAGATAGAAGCAAGAAGGACTGAAGAGCATTCCATGGCTTTGCTCTGAGCACCTGGGTAGATGGGGATGCCGTCTACTGAGGTAGGAAAGACTAGAGGTGGAAAGAAAGATCCTGGGGCAGTGGCAGGAAAAAATGGTTTTGCTCTGGCCATGTTAATTTTTAAATGCACATTAGATATCTATTTTATAAGTTTTGGGCACTTGCATCCTTTATGTCATTTAAGTGTCAGTCCTTTCAATAACTATGAGTTTGGTGGTTTCTTCTCCATTCACAGAACAATAAACCGAGGATGCAAGGGACCAAGAAACTTAACCAAGGTTGTACAATCAGTAAATGACAGAGCTGGATTTGAACTTGGGTCTGACCCTGCCCCAAGGGCCGAATCATTGCCCACACTGCCCTCCAGAAAGCATCCCACTCTTAGCTTGATGCTACATTTTTGGGATTTAAAAGGGGATCTTTAGGAAGTTTTGAACAGCCTTTATACCGGAGAAGTAATCACAGAATGGTTGCTCAGAGACCAGACTCTGCCCTTTGATGTGTTGTGTGGTTTTGTTTTTTAAGGGGTGTGGCGGGTAGGGAAAAAGAGGAAGGTGGGGAGGGGAAACTGTTTGTTTCATTTTGTTTTATTGGCCCATGCAGTTTTTTTGTTTTTGTTTTTGTTTTTTAAAGAAAACAAGAAGAAGAAGAAAGAGAGAAATGTAATTGTTTTAGGCAAGTCTGCGCGCCCCCGCCACTGCTCCTGGCCTCCTCCATTCCCTGCTGTCTCACCACCTGCCCATTTGACACACGTGACACTTGCTTGGCTCAGGAGGCATCCAGTGTCCCGTGCTCTAGAGGAGCCCAGGTGTAGTGGCCTCTGCAGGCAGGCTCTTGGCTTCATCCTTGCACCTCAGGGAGTGAGCACCTGGTTCCCACCCTGTCTCCAGGCCTGAGCCAGTCACTGGGGCCTGGGGTGTGTTTGATTTGCACTCTCTGCTGCTCCCTTCCTGACCACTGCCAGCTACCTAAGACATCACTGTGCTTCAACGGTAAGAGCTGTGGTCTTTGGCCAGGCACAGTGGCTCATGCCTGTAATCCCAGCACTTTGGGATGCCAAGGCAAGACGATCACTTAAGCCCAGGAGGTCAAGGCTATAGTGAGCCATGACAGTGCCATTATGCTCTAGCCTGAGTGACAGAGGAAGACCCTGTCTCAAAAAAAAAAAAAAAAAAAAAAAAAGAATTATGGTCTTTCTGATTCTATACATACTAAAGCAATCCCACCTCTTTCCCTGGCTTTATTGGTATTATTTTCCCTGGTATTATTGTTGTTATTTTGCTAACATAATGAGGCTCGGAGGCATGGTTTTTCTGCCTTTTGGCCTTCTTGCTGGTGATATGTTCAATTTAATGGTGTTCTTCAGTGTCACTAGGCGTGGCTGGAGCTGAGTGGAAGCTGCCATCAGGTAGTCTGAGAGGAGCACACAACTGCGTAAATGGCTGTGTCTGCCTGGCTCCCTTGGACCGAGAAGCCTCCATTCCCTGCCTGGGCAGTGCTGGGCTTGGTTACCTGAAGAGGCATAGCAGGATTGACAGGAAGCTCTCACCCCACGGTTGGCATGACCAGATAGCCCTGAGCATGATGCCAGGGCTGGTGGCACTTTGCAGAGCCGAAAAGGGAGGCCAGCCTGCATCCATCTGCCTCCGTCTGCACAGTTATGTGTTCCAAGTGCAACCAGAAGAAGGCTTCCCCAGGCTTAGCCAGGGCCACCACCAGGCCAGACTGGAATAGGCCGAGACATACCCAGAGAGTGGCAGGGTTCTCCTGGCATTTCCATGTATGTACCTCTTTAGTAAAAGATGTTTGAGCTGGTAACCCTGTGTATATGCATATGTATGTGTATATACGTGAGTGTGTGTGTGTATATATGTGAGTGTGTGTGTGTATATATGTGAGTGTGTGTGTATATATATATACATATATATTTATTTATTTATTTAGATTATGTATATTAAAATACATAAAGAAAAATAGAAAATAGAAAAGTTAACTGGAAGTTATCATAACTAGAAATGTGATGTTTTCTTCTGTGCCCCTATGGATCCTGACTCACACCTTGAGCTTGCCGGCCCTGAGCCGGGACCAGGAGCTGTAAGTAATTGCATCTCTGCTTCCCACCAGGGCAATGGGAAGAGCTTCATGTTCAGAAAACTTGGCTCCAAGCCCCAGTTCTGCTAACTCACTTGCAGCATGCTGTGGGCACATCTCCTGGCCACACTGCCCCACTTCTGTCAGGTCTGCATGAATGTCACTTTAAGACCACCCTATGTAAATTAGCATCCCACTGTTACCGCCCCTTCACTTACCCTGCTTCATATATCTTAAAAGTGCGTAGTGCTACTGACGTGTATATATAGATAAAAGTTTATTCATAGGTTTGTTGTTATACATGTTTGTTAGTTATCTTTACTCGTGTATGCTCCATGAGAGCAAGGATTATCTTTTGTTCTCTGCTGTGTGTGTGGTACATAGTAGGAGCTCAGTATATATTTGTTGATTGAATGAATTAACTTTTGTTTTATATAACCCAATGCTACTTAGTAAACTTTTGTAATGGAGGAGAAATGAAAAAGACTTTAATGCTTGAAAGGAGGATTTGGAGGCTAGAGGTAGAATCATTTTGAGGAATATCTGCTTTGTATAGCCGACACCATTGCTGTTTTTGTTTTTTTGTTTGTTTGTTTTGAGATGGAGTCTCACTTACTCTGTCACCCAGGCTGGAGTGCAGTGGCATAATCTCAGCTCACTGCGACTTCCACCTCCCAGGTTCAAGTAATTCTCGTGCCTCAGCCTCCTGAGTAGCTGTGATTATAGGCACACACCACCTCGCCTGACTAATTTTTTTTGTATTTTTAGTAGAGACAGGGTTTCACCATGTTGGCCAGGCTGGTCTCAAACTCCTGACTTCAAGTGATCCACCCTCCTTGGCCTCCCAAAGTGCTGGGATTACAGGCGTGAGCCACTGTGCCCTGCCCCCATTGTTGTTTTTACCCATGTGAAAACAAGTACTGGGGACCAGGAGCTATAAATAATTGGATCTCTGCTGACAACCAGGCACTGTTCATGGATGGGTGGGTGGATGGATGGATGGATGGATGGATGGATGGATGGATGGATGAATAAATAGATAGAATTTAATCTTCACAATAACCCATTGAGATTAAGTTTCATTGTCTCCATTTCACAGATTAAAAAACAAAACAAAAATGCAAAACCTTGAGGCCCAGAAACTCAAGTGTATCTAATTCCAAAGTACCTAAAACCATGACTAAACAGAATGCAGGTACCCAGTGAGTGTCTGTGGAATGAACGAAATCCTAGCTTGTTACACTCTTAGAACTTCTCGAGCTTTTCCACCAAGTAGCTTTTGTGGAAGAAGATGGTGAGTGTGTGCCCAGGAGAGTCGAAGGGCATCGCCTGTAGCAGTCCACCTCAAGCCAGAGTTGTGTTTTTTTAACATCTGGCTTTTTATTTTAAAAATCCATGTGAATTTCTGTATTATCCTTCATATGGTGAAACAAACTCCTCCTGTTTGTTTTACAGGAAAAATGATGCTTTTGATCATTTGGTCACTTATGTTCCATAACTTTAAAAAAAAAAAATGTCAATGAAAGCTGCTGCTCTGCATGTACTGCGGGAGTGGCATGCTTCTGGCATGAATTCTGTGCACCTACGAGCTGCCCAGCCTGGTGTGCAGTGACCACAGTGGAGGCTGCTGTGGGGCCTGGTCTCTTCCATGCCCCTCAGTGGGATCTTGTGCCATTCGCCCCCTGTGCAAACACAGCTTGTCCAGAGGAAGCGGGACATTCACCTCCAAGCCCCAGCCATCTGTTGTTTCAGGCCTGGATGAGGGCTTCATCTGGGTGAATGGGCCTTCAGCAAACAGTGCCTCGCCTGGTCCCCTGATAAGGGGTTTACCTCTCCAGCAGATTTTATAGCTCTGCCCTTCATCCATAATCAGAGCGTGGGTGGGGAGAGACAGAGAGTATGAAATATCCCTGAAGCTATTGGAATAGCCTTTATGGTTTGTTGTATATAAACCTGTGTTCTGGTGTGGTATGTGAAACGGACCACTGAGACTCAGCCCACAAGACTTTGATGTCACATAGCTAAGGGCCCCTTTTCTGGTTCATGTTTCAGTGACTGGGTTTCTGAGCATCTTCTCTAATATAGGGGTCCAGACTCCAGGATTTCCATTGACTCGCGATAAGGTTTCTTCATTCTTTGTGTCTTTGCTTTCCTCTTCCTGGAAACTGAGTTCAGGCATGTCCAGAGTCATGTGTGGTTTAAAACTGAAAAGGCTCATAGAGACCATCCAGCCCTTGCATTTCTCAGATGGGGAACTGAGGCCCAGAGACAGAAAGGGAGGGTGTGCCCCGTTGTGCTCTGTCAGTCTGCAACCTCTCAGCCCGGGTCTGTGGAGTTGGTGCCCTGGGTGTCTGTCCCTGTCAGGAGACAGCTGAGGCTTTGTTCAGCATTTCTTATCTGGTTAATCCCCACCCTGTGGGTATGTCATATAGCCAGGACCCAAAGACAGGAAGAGATGAGGAGAATGAGGATGTACAAGTCCCAAAACAGGATGACACCATTACCTGGGCAGTGTGGCTTATGCTTTATGTGAAAGACTCTGTTGGTCCATGCTCAGACTCAGCCCAGCCTACTCCATGGCCAGGCCCAGACCTTGACTGGCAACTCACCTCCCAGCCCTCTGAAATCCACCGTGGGGTAGGCTCAGAGCAGACTCACCCTTACCCAAGAAAAGAACTCCATTCAGGTCTCTGCCCATATGTCACCTCTTCCAAGAGGCCTTCCATGACACCCTGTCTTAAATAGCAGTCCTCATCACTTGCCGTCTCCACGCTCTGCTTAATTCTTCATTTATTACCACCTTTCCTGTATTTGTGTGTTCATTTTTTCTTTTCCTTTTCTAGAATATATGTTCCCTGAGAGCCAGGTCCGAGTCTGTTTTGTCCCTAGCACCTAGAAGAGTACCTGGCATGTTCTCTGTGAGCGGGGATTAGAGAGAGAGTGGAACTTGGGGAACAACTGGGAGGGACTAAAAGAACTGGGAAAGTGGGAGGGACGTGGTCAAGGAAGAGAATGAGCACCCTTTTCTGAACCACTTAAATAAATCTGAATGCAGACTGTGTTTGAAAAGAGCTGCTTCAAGGGGCTCATCTGTGATTCCTTGAAAAATCACCAGGCTTGGTACTAGGCACTGGCACCTGAAGTCAGGGGTTTTTGATTCCCTGGCAGTCCAACCTGTATTTCCCAAGGGCCCTCTACTCCTCTGAGGCTCAGTATTCTCTCCACCTGGCAGGATAGGGCCCTTGGCAAGATGGAGCCTGGTCCCAGGAGAAGGTGCACCTCTGTGACGATGTCGTCCCTGTGGCCACCTGTCAGTGCTTTTCCCATCTGGTTGGCAGATCAGAGAGAGAAAGAGAATGTGGGGGCTGGAGGAGGGGGGCCCAGACCATCTGATCCATTCCCATTTATTGCAGATGGGCAAGTGGGACTGATGCCTAGAGAGGGTAAAGGACCTACCTAAGGAAACACAGCAAGGCGTTGACGGATGTCTGCTTTAAAAAAAAAAATGTTTCCTTTACTATTGCTCATCTTTTGATGCATCCTCCCTCCTGCAGCCTCTCCTACAAAAATAAAAAAAATTCCACAAAAGCTTAGCAAGGGCTTCCTAATGCTTGCTGTAACATAATTGACCCTCTTGAGCCTCGTAGCTCTGAGAAGTTCATGGATCTTCAGAAATGCGCCCAGTAAGACGAATAGTGTTTCTGTCTAGAGAGAGTGGCTCTAATGAGTCAGGCATTTCCCAGGTTCATATCCTTTGGAATTCGGTTCTGTGAGCTTTAAACTTGTGTTCTATACCTCCCCTCAGAAGAGTTGTAAGGTCAAGCAAGTGTAGAAAATGCTGCCTGCTACAAAAACTCTTGGAGAGACACAATGGACTTTAGCATATTAAAGCCTCTGAGAAGTTCTATAATTAACAAAAATCCAACAGCTCTTTTTGTGTAATTCAGTTTCCCACACTTGTTTGACCTCAGAACTCTTTTTGCATGAAAAACTATTGGCCTCTCACAGAGCTGGTCTTCCTCCAACCACAGACCCAACAGACCACTCACACAAGGGAGTACTCAGCACTTACTTTTCATTTTATACAGTTATGGCTTTTTGTTATTTCAGTATAAAATACGTTGGAAAAAAAACATGACATATAATAGGCCTCCTCAAAAGGGGTTGGGGTGAAGCGCCCTCCAACTAACTTTTTACTTCTTATAACCAGAAAGACAAAAGACAGCTTCACGAAGACATCTCTTCTTCTTTATATCCTTGTGATTCTATTTTTATTGCTCTAAGAGCCTATAGGCCATTTCCATTTTGTGAGTACAATAAAACATGCCCCTTACTCAAATGGCTTTCAAGACAGGCCGGAAGGACTTCACCATAAGGAAAATGCATCTATGACACTCCTGTAGCTTGGGAGGTGGAGTATCATTGCACTGAATGGATTTGAATCCTGCCATCACCAGGCATCATTACTTAATCTAGCTGTGTCTGTTTTCTCATCTGTAAAATGGAGTGCTCATAGTACCTGGCTAAAGTTGTTTTGAGGATTATATGAGATCTGTGTTTAACATTTAGAATGGGGTCCGATACAAAGCCGATACTTACCTGTTACTGCTATTATCATAGAATGAGAGCTCTGTGTAGGCAGTGACTTTGTTTTGTTCACTATTTACATGCCCCAGTGTCTAGAACAGGGATTAGCACATAGTAGGTGCTTAGTAAAGTTTGGTTGGATGAATAAGTGAATGAAAAAATGAATGGAAGGTCTTCTATGTATGGAGAGCAATACACGTTTCTGAGAGTCAGATTCTAGCAGAGAAGGCACCAGATTAAAAGTGAGCTGCTTGCTGTAGGCCAAGGCTTTTGCTTCCTCTGCCGTGTCCTCTCTGTGTATGAATGAGAAGCCAGCACCCATAAGGATGCAAGTCATGGTGTGGAACTCAGAAGCAGAGCGTGAGGTGATTTCCTGGAAGGTGGCAGTGTCATCTGAATGTTTCAGGCCTCAAGAATCCAAGCTTGTGGATTTCTATTCCTGGTTACTACAGGCAGGTCTGTGTCTGCCCAGCCAGAGAGTTGCCACCATTTACCCTTGGAGCCTCCCAGCGAAGATGCTGCCCATGGAGCTGCTTTTGAAGGGGGAGTGCTTCTAGCTGTCTGAGGCAGGCTGAGGGCCCCTTGGCCACCTTGACACTCTTGTTCCCCAAAGGCTCCATGCCCCCTTGTCTGTGGGTTGGCACCACATAATGACATGTTAACCCTTGGCCTGCTGATGTTGATTTTACCTTCTCTTGAGGGAATATAACCAAGGCACTGGACCAAAATAAACAGCCCAGATGCTGTGCTGACCCGGCTCTGCTGGGAAGCATGGTATTGATTTGCCCCCAGCCTCTCTACCTTCAGTAACCTCATC
This sequence comes from Homo sapiens, assembly GCF_000001405.40. Taxonomy (NCBI): domain Eukaryota; kingdom Metazoa; phylum Chordata; class Mammalia; order Primates; family Hominidae; genus Homo; species Homo sapiens. Next base: position 56,234,026 of record NC_000016.10, read on the forward strand.
TCTGCCTGAGGCTCCTAAGCTGGGAGGTTGATTCACTTCTTTCCTTGGCAGTGTATTCACCCAAACACCCACACCCACTTTGTTTATATTCCTAAAGAAGCCAGCATTAGCTATTTTTAAGGACTGTGAGTGGCCCTAGGTGCCCAACCCTCCTGGTCTGGCTGTAGGCAGGAGGTGACACCCCAAGGAGAGTCTACCTGTCTCAACCTCTCTGGTGGGAAAACCCAGTAGCCACCAGCCTAGGGAATGCCAAAGGCCTAAGCAAACACTTGTGCAGCCAGCCAGCCTCATGGCCTTGGCCCTCTGGCCAGAATGCCCTTAGGCTGAGGGTACTCATGGTTGGTGGGGTGGGGCAGTTCAGACTGATCTCCAAAGAGGGGATTGACAGACATGCTCGGGGCCTGCAGCTGAATACTGTCTTTAGGGAAGTGCAGCTGGAAAGAGGGTTTAGCTGTGATTCAGCCAGGCCTGCAGTTCCTCAGCCTTGCCCATGAGGCTCTAATAGCCAGTTTAAGGAGAGCTCACTGAAAGTCTGCATGAACCCATGAACTGTTTCACAGCTGACCCAGCTTCCCAGTTCTGCAGCTTCCATTTTCCCCTGTCCCTGGGTGGTTTGCTTCTCAAATCCAGGGAGTCTTCTCCGAGGGTACAGGAGTTTTTGAGGGAGTGTGGTTCAGAATGGGACCAGCCCCTTCCCCTCTGGTTCCCCCCCAACTCCTATTCCAGTGACCACATTGGGCATGCAGGGGGCCCTTTCCAACTCAAAGATCCTCCAAGAGAAAACATTCTAGCCTTAAAAATTGAGGAAAACAGTCTACCTCTGTCCCCCTGGTCATCTGCTTGAGCCAGAGAATCTGTTTCACTTTGGGGGTGGGCAGTGTGTGGCCATCGGGAGCTACACTGGCTATTTGCTTGCCCCAGTGGCTAGTTAATGTTCAGCCACCAGCTGCCTGTGAAAATGCTGTTTATGTCTTTCTTACCCCACAGCCCCTCGGGGAGTTTAAATAAGGTGCTGCGGCACTTGAGTTCTGCAAAAGACACCTATTCGCTGACCAGACAAAGATGCTTAGCCACAACTCACAACTCTCAGGGTGCAGTTCGAAGAGGAGGAAGCAGCATGGCATATAAAGCTCATGCTCCCTTGAAGGCTGGTGATTGAGACAAGTTATGTCTTCTAGCATTTGACTCCCTCAAAGAGATTGCAGGACTTCCCTCTGATTGCAGGTGGCTCAATCCACTCAGATCACCTAGAAACTTGATAGAGATTTAGAATCTTAAAGAAGACAGAAGCTTAGACAGAGCATGTAGCCCAGCCCATCAACAGATGAAGAAGTTGAATCCTGCAGGGACTACAAGGAGGTAGGTAGAGCTAGCAGAACTGAAGGCCGGCGGGACACTACGCAGTCCAGGCAAGGGGCTCTGCTGCTGCAGCCTGTGCCTGTCTACCATTTCCCTTTGGCTCCTGGCACCTGCCTGGTCAGTTCTCCTCGACATCCCCTGAGAGCACAACCAGTCTGACAATTGTTCCTAAAGGCAGTGCTCCTAGGGGAATGCCTGCTGAGAGGGAGGCTTTCATTTAACATGGGACTTGGGTGGAAATGCGGAGTGTGTCCTATCCTCCCAGGCCTCCCTGGATAATCTGTCAGGACTGTCCTGCTGTGCAGCCAACAGCCTCTGTGTCCTTACTCTGCTGGGATCACCCAGCCCTGCCTGGGAGCTAAGAGAGTGGCCCAGCCTTGTAGGTAGCCACTTGCCCTTTGGATTAAGATGAATATGCATGATTCTGGCAGGAGATAAGATATTTATCTTATTTATTTGACATGCATGGATTTCTTGGCTCTGTGTGAAGTAGGAAGGGAAATGGAGTGGTGGAAGTTGGTAGATGGGCATTTTATGTACACGACTTGGACCTTTATCATTTGAAATTTTCACAAAGGGGGATCAAGGCTCTCCCGTTTTCACTGAGATGGTGATTCTTTGAGTCATAGCCTATTTTGACTTGGAGAAGCTGGGTACCAGGTCTCCACTCAAGTTCAGGCAGTCATTCTTGGTTTCACTTCTCAGGTAAAGAGGCATGTTCTCCCATTATTGCTTCTGAGATCTTTCCTAAAGATGATGAACTGGTTGACCTTTGCTGACAAGTCCACATTAGTCTGCTGTGGGGAGAAGAAGTGAGTGGTGTGGGCAATTCTGGCTGAAGTTTAAATTGCAGAATTGAACCTTAGATATGAGTTTCATAGTAGATGTGTTGGAGAAAAGAGAGCCTGGGTTAACTGTATCTTTTCTAGTCCCTTCACAAAACACAGGCACGCACACACATACAGAAGGAGAGAGAGACAGAGAAAGAGATCATTCAGTTTGAATCCATAGAATTGACCCTGGGAGGTAGATTAGAAGAGAGAAAGGGAAAGTGGAGGTGGCTTTCTTAGGAGCTTTAGACATTTCCAGGTATGACTTCCAGATAGGTCTGGACCTCAGTGTTCCAGGCCAACCCAGTCAAGTTCATATTGGCCAACATCAGAGAGACGAAGTACCAGTCTTAGGTCACCCTGCAAAAAAACCTGACTCCCAGTCCAGTGCCCTTTTCACTCTACTATGTTACTTCTTTCCTAGAGTGACCTTTCCAAGCTAGTCCATGGCTCACCAGAGCAAATTGGTCTCGTGGCATTATAGTTACACCAGCGCTTTGTTTCCAAACGCAGTGATCCTCTGTAATCGCCAAATACCTATGGCTTTGAGGGACTTTTGAACACAAAGGCAGACTCACCAAGAGAAAACAAAGTCTCATCACCATTTAAAGTTTTCAGATTCTGAATACATTCTGAAAATGGCAGTTAGAAGTGCTTTAGCCAAGGGCCGTGTCCCAGGAACGTGTAGGATTGTGCATTTGGATATCTGTGTCTAGCTTCATCACTTATTGCTGGGTGATCCTGGATAAGTTTACTTAATTTATCTGTGCCTCAGTAGCCTCATCTGTAAGAGTAGAATTATAATAGAACTTAGGTCATAAAATTTTTGTGAGGATTAAGTGGAATGCTGTACATGAAGTACTTAGCACATTGCTTAGCACAAAATGAGTACTCAAAAATATTTACTATCAGTATTTTATTCTTTTGTTTTCAGGTAAGTCTCTCTTATAATTGTACATGCTATCAACCAGTGCAAATTAATATGGTATCAAGAATATGAAGAATCAAAAGACTAAAGAGTAATGACATTAGCTGGTGGGGTTTATGCAGTCATTCGTTAAACAGATATTTGTTAAGCATCATCTATGTACCTGACATGGAGCTGAATATTGGAGCTGAGTAAGATAGATGTGATCTTACCTTCATGAACCCCTCCTCTTGTAGGGGAGACAGACATTTAATGAGTAACTACGGCTGTGCAGAGCAATGCCACAGGATGCCTGTATCTGAAAGAGAAAGGAGAGGAAGGAGAGAGGAGAAACCATGCGTTCTGGTGGCCACCCCACTGCTGCAACCAGAAGAACACAGCCATCTCCCTGGAAATCATTCTGATAAATTTAACTCTAGGGGAAAAACACAGCCGGTCCATTTCCAAACTGGAATTCTCCCCCCATGTGTTTTTGGGAAGCACAGATGCCTTGGCGTTTTCCCTCTAACAATAACAGAGATTGTTCACAATTATGAATGGTTTTGGTTGACTTCAGCTCCAACAAAACCATGAATCATTTCATAACTTCTGAAATTGCAAAGAAATAACAAACACTCTGGCTCCAGAAAAAAAAAATGGACACATTATGAAGCACAAAGTCGTCTAAATGAAAATGTGAATTCTTTTTTGTTTGTTTAGCAGCTGCACGTTGCAAGGCCAGCTGGCAACGGATAAAAGACCCAAGTTAGTGTCTAGGTTCCTGGGGTACCACTTGTATAGTCTCATCTGTGGGATCCGTAACCAGCTATGATATAAACTTCGTTCTCCATCTTTCTCAAAACTTTGGGCCAGCAGCATTATTTCATACATTTTACAATATTCTGAGAAAGCGAGAGTGAAAGGAGGTGCTTGGGCTGAGGCTCGTGACAGAGGGTCTCCATCATGGGTCCCATCACAGATCCCCCCCCGCCCGCCCCACACACATTTGTGGGACGACTTTTTTTCAGCAGGCCTGCTGCATCCTCCTGATATCTAGCCACAAGAGGAGGTTTTCAAAACGTGGGACCAAGAGGATCAGGCTTCCCCCAGTCTGACAGCCTCTGAGGTACCAACAAGGCCTGGCATTGGAGCAAGGTTGGCTACTCCTCTTCTCTCTTAATCCAGAAAACTGCATCCTTTCCTAAAGGCTGGAGACACACAGCTATCCTTGATTGCAGTCCAGTCTTGCCTGTGCACGTGGCCAGAGGCACAGCGGGTTCTAACACCTTGGGGCTGAGACCAGATTGGAGAGTGGGGGACAAGCACATGACCACAGCACCACAGTCACAGAGTCTTCCTCCCCACCTTGTTGACTTTCTTTTTTCATGTTAATAATGTCAACATAGTGGTGGCCATCCCACTGCTGCAAGAACATTTGTTGGAAAGATACTTCTTTTGGAAAACAGGCTCAGGGGAGCAATTGTTCCCCCTCAAGTCTGCCTGCACTCCTGATCTCTTTCCACGCTGCAGGGTACACAGCAGACAGCAGTAGACTCAGGCCCATTGGCATAGCATGTGCTTCCCACACACGCATTTTTTAAAGTAATAATTTTGTTACACAATTAATGCTTATTTCTCATAGATAATGTAGGATATACAGACTTTAAAATGGAAGAAAATAAATATAGCCTATATTTCTATTACTCAGAGCGAATCATAATTTGCGTTTGGGTATATATGTTTCTAGACTTCTTTCAATGCATGTGTATGTGTTTTTAAACAAAAGCTAGTATCAAACTGAACACATAATTTTATTGGCCCTCTTTACTCTCACTGTACACTCTGAACATTTTCCCATATCTACATATATGATTGCATATCACTTTATGCCCTGCAGACATCTCTGTAAATCTCTGGAAGATTTTTCCTTTTGTGTCCTTCTCCCTACCATCAGAGATGGAGACAATAGAAAATACACTTCAGTGTCACATCACAGACTCACATCTTGAGCACTGATGTAAGTTTTGCACTAGCCCATCACAGGCACTCTGCCTGAGACCCTTCCTGCTTTAGCTGTGATTATGAGTGCCCAGTTCATCAGCCAATTCATTGCCAAGGTAGAGCCTAGCTCTGTAAAATGCCCACAAGCTTTGGCAGCATGAAAACCATGCAAAGTTGCATTGATGCTACTCACAAGCCCCAAATAGGTGGTCTCAAAAGAGAAAAAAGACTTATGTTTTAATAAAACTCCCTTTAATAATTAGGTGCTTTAATAAAAGGCCACTTGGGTCACTGTCTGCCTCCTCAGCCTAGACTTCCTGCAGTTGGAAAAAACCTTCCAAGGACAGAGAGGGTTCTAGGGACATACTGGACAGGCCCTGTTCCCAGCCGCTGAGCCCACAGGGACTGACAAGGCACCACCCCATAAGAATGTCTGTACCCTTTTGGAGCCTACATCTGTAGGTGCTGAGGCATCACATTCTTCAGGTTCTAATGAAGAATTATTGCAGTGATGAGTTGTAGAAATAATCATTTAATGTTTATTATTCTGAGGAAAATTTAAGAATTTCTGTATTCAGAGCAGATTGACAAATATGGCAACCACTTCACATAATCCACACGCTAGATCCTTATAAATGTCATTGTTATCACTGGAGCCTCAGCTATGGTTGTCTTTCCCAAGCTGGATGAATAGGACTGCCAGTTATTCACTAAAGATAGAGACAGCACATGGCTTCTCTTAGGCCTGGTTGCTGGGCAGAGGCTATAGCATTGCCTTGGGGTAGGGGGTGCAGGTCTCAGCAACTATCCTTGAGCCCTTCAACAGGGAGTCCTGTCTCCACAAAGATGTTTATAGGTCAGGCTTTTGAGTCAGAAGAACAACTTGCAGTTGTTTTCTGGGGCCACAGGAGTTGATTGGGTAGGTGGTCTGGAAAATGAAGAAGCAGGAGGCTTCACATAACACACCCTGGATTTAGGGTGGGGACACAGCCAGCCCCAGTGTAATCTTACAATGGAGATGGGATCTCTTCCTCAGGTGTGTCTGAAAGCCACCTCAGCAGCCTCCAGGGAAGTGTCCTCTCATTGGTCTCAGCTCAGTGTGTGGAGGGCTCGGGAGTGGTTAGAGGCAGGCTCATGCAGACACCATTCCCTGGAATGTGCTTGTCTGTATGGTCATGGAAGGATTTTTTCTGCCTCCTCACATCCAAATTCAGCTTAGTAGACTGTTATTGGGCACCCGTGCTGGTGCCTTGCCTCTGGTGTCTGGCTGGGGAGGCAGTGTGAACACCAGGGACTTCACATCCCAGGGTGATAGCAGTTTTCAACCACTTTCCTAGAACTGCTTGGTTTTTGAACCATGGTGCTGTTTAATGCTTTTATTGAGTGGTGGGTCCCATATGTGTATACATTTGAGCATGTCAGTTTGACAGCATTTCTTCTCTTGTCTTGAACTTTTATCTGAGCCTCATATCAGAATCGAATTTTTCCCATTTCTCTCAACCTTTGCCAAGTCCTCCATGTAATGCCTACACAGGACCTGAAGAGGAACTCCATGGTCTGATTTGGGTTTAATTGGTTGGTCTTAGATTTCCCCTCCCTCTCCAGGCTCAGGGTGCCTCATAGCTGGGCACTTAGGGTGACAAGCTTATGAGCTATAGAGCAGGCTGGGGTGTTTATCCTCGTGCACAGTCACGAGGAGAAGGATGCTTATAAAACTAGAACAGGATGAGACTCTGTGGGATATGGTTTGATTTGCCTCAGCTCAGGAAGCCCACCCCGATGGAGAAGGAGAAGGCAGGTAGAAGCCAAGGGAATGACAGTCAAGGCCAGGATGCCTCCACAGGGAAGAGTGCTCCTTCCAGGAGGTGGCATCAGCACCGTCCAGCTCTCTCTAGGGCTCCGTACTCTCTGTGTACATGGTGGCCCAGGCTTTACTTCCTGCTTTTTGGAGTGGGACCTCGAGAACCAAGCAGTCCTGCCACTGCAGCCCAAGCGGAGCATGCAGTTCTTTGCCACAGGCCTTACAGCGCTCTGACGCTGCTCCCATGGAACTTTTCCCAACCAATTCAGAGCACTTTGAGGGCCACAGTGATGCTGGGAGCCTGTGTTGTGAGTCCCACTGCTATCCAGGGAAGGCCAGTGTGAATGAGTAGCAGTGCTGGGGAGTAAAGCATCACTTCTCAAGCCCTGTCCTCAGGCTCATGTGCAGCACTAGCGATGCAGCACTGACTGCACACAGCATGCCACTCAGTCACTGAGGAGGGGAAGTGAGCCCCTTTTAGTTCTCTTCCAGTGCTTCCCATCGAGTTGAGGAGAGTCCATTGGGCACTAGAACAGCTTAATATCCCTCTAAAGCTTGCCAATCTTTTGAAACAAATAGTCTGTTATAGGTTTGTTTGCATTGTATTTGTTTCCATGGTTATCTCCTATTTAAAGCAGGTGATACCATTTAAGGCAACAATGTAAAATTTCCTTTTTAAATAATAACAAATAATAATAATATTTGTTTGCAGTGTATAGAATTAAACTACCAAGCAAATGAAGCATAATGGTATAGGCTATGGCCAAAAATCATGAGGGTAATGGAGTGACTCAAGTTTGAGAAATGCTGAACCAGACCTGCTGCTTTCCTTATCCTGCAGTCCAGTGTCCCTTCGTGACAAGGCATTTGAGAAGGTATTTTGATTGAGTGTATGTTTATACCACTCACAAGGAGGTCCCAGTTACGAGCCTGTGGGAGCTGGGCATGAGCAGAAGCTGTGCTGCTTGCTGGCAGAAACTGGCCTGAGCTGCAATGGGAAGCTACACTGGGAAGATGAAAAGCCCTGGCCTCAGAAGCCCTGTACCTGGAAAAGGGCTAAATCCCAGGGTGGTCACTGCTAGTTAGGGGGTGCTGTGTCATTCATTCATCCCACTCTCCTGCCAGCCCAGGACAGTCTCTGGGGCACAGCAGTGATAGCAGAAATGCTAATAGCAAACATGCATTGGACTCTCACTGCATTCTGGCACTTCACCTGAGTCATTTACTTCTCATAATGCTGAAAGGTAACAGTGGTAGTGGTAGTAATAAGGGGAGGAGAAGAAGGAAGATGAAAAAAATGTTAATATTTATTGAATATTCACCCCCAAATCATTTATAGATTGAACATAATCCCTATCAAAATCCCAGGTGCCTTCTTTGTAGAAATTGACAAGCTGATTCTAAAATTCAAATGGAATTTCAAGAGATTCAGAATAGCCAAAACAATCCTGAAAGAGAAGAATAAGGTAGGACTCACACCTCCCAATTTCAAAACTTGCTACAAAGCAATGATAATCAGTACAACATGGTACTAGCAAAAGAATAGGCATCTAGATCAATGGAGTAGAATTGAGAGTCCAGGAATAAACTTATACATCTATGACCAACTGATCTTTGACAAGGATGTCAAGATCATTCAGTGAGGAAAGAATAGTGTTTTCAACAAATGGTATTGGGACAACTGGATAGCCACAGGGAAAAGAATAAATTTGGATCCTTATCTCACACCATATACAAAAATTAATTCAAAATGGATCAAAGACTTAAACAAAAGAACAAAAACTAAAACATAGGGGTAAATCTTCATGACTTTGGCAAAGCATTCTTAAATAAAACATCATAAACAACAAAAGAAAAACAATAGATAAATTAGACTTTATCAAAATTTAAAAATTGTATGCTTTAGAGCAGTGGTCCCCAACCCCTGGGCCACAGACTGGTGGGAACCCACCAGGCCATACAGCAGGAAGTGAGTAGCAGGTGAGTGAGCAAAGCTTCATCTGTATTTACAGCCGCTCCCTATCGCTCACATTACTGCCTCAGCTCTGCCTCCTGTTAGATCAGAAGGAGCATTAGATTCTTATAGGAATGGGAACGCTGTTGTGAACTGTACATGCAAGGGATCTAGGTTGCATGCTTCTTATAAGAATCTAATGCCTGATGATCTGTCACTGTCTCCCATCACCCCTAGACGGGACCATCTAGTTGCAGGAAAACAAGCTCAGGGCTCCCACTGATTCTACATTATGGTGAGTTATATAATTATTTCATTATATATAGCAATGTAATAATAATAGAAATAAAGTACACAATAAATGTAATGTACTTGAGTCATCCTGAAACCACTCCATCCCCCACAACCCCAGTCCATGGAAAATTGTCTCCCATGAAATTGGCCCCTGGTTCCAAAAAGGTTGGGGACTGCTGCTTTAGAGGATATTGTCAGTAAAGTACAAAGACAACCCACAGAGTGGGAAAAAATATTTGCAACTCATATGTCTGATCAGGGATTTGTGCCCAAAATATATAAAGAACTCTTACAACTCAATAATAAAAAAACAACCTAACTTAAAAATGGGCAAAGGATCTGAATACACACGCCTCCAAAGACAATATACAAATGACCAATAGCACATGAAAAGATGCTTGACGTTATTGGCCATCAGGGAAATGGATGGAGAAAAAAAGTAGATTACTGGTTGCCAAGGAATTGGAGGGAGCCCAGGAGGGTAGGGGGTGACAGCTAGAGGCTACAGGGTTATTTTTTTTTTAGCAGATATATGTTCCAGAATTGACTATAGTGATGGTTGTACATATCTGTGACTGTACCAAAACAAACTAAATTGTATACTCTAAATAGGCAAATTATATGATGTGTGAATTTTATCTCAGTGAAGCTGTTGAAAACATTTATTGAGCTCCAGGCACAGTTCTTAAGCATTTTACGTGCATTAACTCATTTGCGGTCACCCAGTGAGGTAGGCCCTGTTATACAAATGTCACCATTTTGCAGCTGAGGAAACTGAGGCAGAGTTGCCCAGGGCACTATTAATATCTCCTTCTAGTGCATAAGGAAAATGAGGCACAGAGTTTAGAGTTTGTGTTCTGTCTGTGGTCACACAGCTGGTACAGCGGAGGCAGAATCACAGTGTGATCCCAGACCCCACTCTTGGCCACTCGCCATGCTATACTACAGGCAAAGCAAAGGGTTCCTGCCCATGGGGAGCTGTAATCTACTTGAGTGTAGGCACGTAAATGGGAAAGAGGTTGAGAAACTGTCAGGATGACCACCTACTAATTCGCTCTGAGACTTCAGTTAAGGCACAGAATTCCTGGGCCTCAGTTTCTTCCTCTTTTAAACCAAGTCTTAGGCTGGATAAAAGAGGGCCCCATCCTGGGGTTCATGAAAGTAGTAATGCTGGTCTATGGATAACACTTAGCATAAAAAAAAAAAAAACCTAACATTATATTTGCATTCAGGCCTGGAGACCATAGAGCATCTTTGCTCTTGGCTGAAATTACGTCCCACCAGGGTAGTAACCCTGGTTACCTCCAGCTGATGAGAAGCTTCGATTAGCAGTCACGTATCTGACTCTGCTTGACAAGAATAAGAAACTGGATCCCTCATTGCTTGTTCTGGGACCACTTGCTGGGGAAGGCCACCCTCAGGTCTAGGGGCTTCCGCTGCGATTCTCTAAGGTCATTTGACCCCCTGGGACTTGCCCTCCCTTGGACTCCCTGGCTTTCCTCTAGTCTCTAGGGTCCCAGCTATTTTTTCCACCACACCCAGGGTTCCCTGTGGCAGGCCCAAGCTAAGGTGGATGTGCAGAGTGTGGGCTGGCCAGTATAGCCAAGCTGGGCAAATGCACGTGCTGTCAGGAGCATGGACAGAGCTCCCGGTGCTCAGAGTCCACCACCGCTTCTGCTCTTCCTACAGGCAGAAGGCAAAGGCCTGTTTCCCACTGAATAGCACCTTCTCCAGTCATGCCTGGGGAGCTCTGAAAATAAACCAGATTGGGAATAGTCAGGATGTGGGCTACTGATGGCCCCTCGGGTCTATCCAGTGCATTTTCTCTGGCACTAATTTTCAAAGAAAGTTTCACTAAAACATTTTCCACTGGGCAAAATCATGCCTTTAGAATCAGCCTACACTAGAGTCTTAGGATAGCTGAGCCAGGAGAAAGCACTAGACAACATTTATTTATTTTATAGATAAAAAAAAAAACTCTGTTAAAGATGCTTCATCTACCCTTGTTGTTCCAGGGAGATGTGGCCTCTGCTAGGCTGTTGCGGCTGAGCTGATGATCAGGGCAATTTATCCATTCTTAGAAATCTGGTGAGCCCTGCTTCGGCTCTGTGCAACTGCTAAATTCAGTTTGTATGGATTTGGCTTGGAATCACGGCCCTGACGTTCCATTTGATTCAGCTTGGCTGGGGTAACGCTCAGGTCTTTTGTAGAAGAGTTCACAACACTGGCCAGTTAAAGGGTGGTGTGCCCTCAGGCAGTCAGAAAATCTTGTCCACTGACTCATTCATTAACCCACAAACAGAACAGGCATTGCCCTAAGTATTTGGGGGTATGAAAGAAGCTGATGTGGATGTGTTCCTGTCCCAGAAGGAGCTGATGGTTGTATCTATGAAGGTAAGCATTTTTGTAGATACGAGCACCAGCCACCCTAAGCAAAGGCAGAGAATGCTTAGGCCAGACAGAGGGCTAGGGCACTTGAATAGAAAGAGAGCAATTCTTGGGTACAAGAAGCCCAAGGGAAGTTTTCTGGAAGAGGTGGCATTTGAGCTGGCCCCTATAGAATCAATAAGATTGGGAAACTGATATGGTGTACTTTCTCTGTCAAAACATGGCCCATGGAGAACAAAAAACATAGCAATTGAGACACAGTACCAAGTCTGGAGGGTAGACTTATAAAAATTGTGAAAAGTGTTGGGAAAGGAAAATGCAGGCCTTTTAGGAGAGACTAATGGGAGGTTTATAATTCAGATTGGGTGTGTAGGGGGGTAAGGGGCACCAGGATTCAAACTCGGATCTTAATGTTTCCAGAGCCCACACCCATAATTACTGCCCTGCTTCCTCCCAGCTGAGATCTCTGCAGGGCCCCTGGGTGAATCAGAGACAGAAGTCAGGCCTCCCAACTCCCTGGGTCAGCCCTCTTTCCTCACAGCCTACCTGCTGCCTGAGCTGCTGCCTCAGGGCACATGCCTGTCTGCCTGGCTGATGTTTCCCATCAGTGGCTGACTCCACACTGTGCTCTTGGAGGTGAGGTCAGGGACAGCCCAAGCACCCAGACTGCTTAGGGCAGACATGCAAGGCTCAGGCCCTCCTGAAGCAGTCGTTAACCTTTCTTCAAAGGTCATGTTGTGGAAAACCCCTACTTCAGCCTCCCAGCTGTAATCACAAAGGGCATCAGTGAGAAAGCCTTTTCCTGGGAATGTCTGTTCTTGGTAACATGCCCAGGTCACAATCTGGAACATCAGAGTCCCGTTCACAGAAACACGGATCCTGTTGCAGGCACTCTGGCCCCACCATCGCCCAGTCCTGGAGGGTACTTCTGGATACTGGACGATCAAGTTCAGTGTCTCCTGGCTAAAGGCAGCTCACGTAAACTTCGCAGCTGCAGCCTGAGAGGCACGAGGACCCAGTGTGTCCACGAACCAGAGGTCTTTGTCCTCTGCCTAGGGTTTCCCATAAGGAAAAGCTCACACGGCACCGCTGTCCCCACAGCGCCCTGCTGTGGAGCTTGTTCTCTGTGTGTCCATGTTCCCCGTCATGTGCCCTCCCACTCCAGTGATCATTGCTAGTCTGCTGCTGTCACTTCCCTCCTCCTGTCCCTCTTCCTCTCTGACAACCCTTTCCCAGAATGCCTCTCCTCTCCCCTCCCTGGGTGTCATTCTCTTCAAAAAGGTTTTTTAAAGAGCGAATGTTTAATTTGTGTTTGTTGACTAAATGAATTAATCAAGTAGGGCTCTTCATTATGTAATGCCTTGTACATGCAAAAGATTATATGACATCAATAGAAGGTATTAAGAATAAATAAAATGCCCACTTTACCAAGTTAAGGCCCCTATCTATGTGGCCCTCTGCCAGAGTAACAGCTTCCTTAAGTGGCCCTTTTTTCCTCTTCTCCCCGCAGTCTAATCCACTGTCCACCTGACTGCTGGGGCCATCTTTGCCCGCCTCAGCTCCCCTCCGTTGCTGTCACCAGCTACCCAGGTCAGCATGGCCCGTCAGCAGAGCACATGGGCTGGCGCCGGCCATCCAGGCAGAACAGAACTGCGCTAGCCTGTGCCCTGTACCCTGCTGTCTCCCTGTCTTGGGGTGCACAGTTTCCTTTACCTGGAATAACCCCACCCACATGTCCCATGTCTCTGCCTGTCACACCCACCTTTCCTTCTAGGCCGCAAAATGTCATGGTTTTCCCAAAGCTGTACCCAATTTCTCCACTCAGCTGTACTTCCTCCTTCTCTGAGCCCCTTTAAAACATAGGTGGTTTTGCTTTTCTCTTGCAGTGTATCTGACATTTTGCTACCTTTTATTAGGGTGAGGTTTTTTTTTTTTTTTTTTTTTCATTTCTAATCTCACATACTGGATTATAAGTGTCTTGTGGACAGCCACATGTCTTTGAATTTGTAGGGCCTAGTAGAGCATCTTGTGCATACATAATAGGTCCTCAACAAATAATTGGATTAGAATGGATTGAACAGTCCTCCCCTAAAGCTCACCTCACATCTCCTTCCCTGAAATCCTATAAAAATAAGCACTTGTCTCCCGAGGGAGAAGGGCTTCTTGGAGCAGGAATGTGGTTGATGCTTAATAAATAATAGCTGGATGAACAAATATTTGCAAACATCCTGCCTAAGATAGAGGATTGGACTCAGTGCTTCCTGGGGCAGAAAGTTGTTTAACCTCTATCACTTCTTGATAAATAATCCCTACATTAGGATATTTGGAATTGCCAACTAGGTATCATGTAAAGGCAAAACAATTATGATACTGAATGTGCATTCTCACACACATTGGTTGAGGATTACAGCTCTCAGAAGGTTGTTCATAAAGGCATGATGTCTCTCTGTAGGTCTCTTTGGGGACAGGGGATTTTGAGGGAGATTCTGTTGGCCCAGTCTCAACTGTTAGTGCCTTTAAGAAAACCCAAACTGATTTTCTTTAGACAACACTAAGAAAAGCATGCACAATTCTTTGAAACAATTTTTAACAGTAAAACATATTTATACCTTTTAATTGTGCTGTCTTAACATTTAGAGAAATTAATATGCAAAAACTTTCACCACTCTTAACTCTCGTTTCTGTTTTCCAGTGCTACCTTCCAGTCTTTGTCCATGTGTATGAAAGAAGCTTTCATTTCTGCCAGAAATGAAATCAAACTTCTGATGTTTTCCTGTTATAAACATCAAATCTAACAGGCAAACTTTGTGAACACCTACTGTGTCCAAAGCCATGTACTGAGAATGGCGGGAGATACAAAAAGAGTTTGTTCACTACACAAGTATATACTAAATGCTTGCCCTGTGCCTAGAGCTGTTCTGGTCCATGATAACAGCTGTGGGTGAGACAGGTCCTCAGCTTCCAGGATGGAAAGAGAGGCACCACACAGAAAAATAATATGTCAGGGGCAGATAGGCTATGAAGAAAAATAAACAGGGAGGGACTTAGAGGGGGCCATTGTTTTATGAGAGTGGTCAGGGACATTCTCTCCAAGATAACATTTAAGCAGCCTCTGAAGGAAGTGTGGAGGTGAGGGAAGAGTGTTCTAGGCAGAAGAAACAGCAAGTGCAAAGGCCCTGAGGTGGGAGTGGTTTTTAAGAAACAGAAGCCTCTATGGCGGGAGGGATAGGTTGGGGAAATATGAAGTCAAGAGAGGGAGCCAGAGGACTGGGCTACTTTAGAGGCTGCAGAAGGACTTGGACTTTTATTCCAGGTGTGATGGGAGCCCATGGGAAGTGTTGATCTCACTGTGGAGAACAGCCCAGAGACAGGAATAGATGCAGGGAGATCATTAAGGGGCTGCTGAAGTTTCTCAGGAGAGAGGCTGTGGTGGCCTATATAAGGTGCTCTACTAGGCCGCACAAATTCAGAGACATGGGGCTGTCCACAAGAAACTACGGTGGTAGTGATTTAGGGAGGTAGCAGAGCAATCAGGTCCTGGATGTGTTTTGAAAGTAAAGCCAACAGATTTCCTTTCATATTGAATGTAGGTGTGAGAGAAAGAGAGGAGTCAAGGTTGAATCCAAGGTTTTTGGCCTGAGTAACTGATAAAATGGAGGTGATGGTCTCTGAGATACATGGAATGGGGGGGAACAAGTTTGGGCAGTGAAGTCAGGAGTTTTGTTTGGATTCTCGAAGCTGCATATGGCTCCTCCGAAGTTCATGGCAGGTGCTGCTACGACACCGTTTCCTTCAGAGCCCCAGCATGGCCTCACCATCTCAACACAGTGCTGCAGAACCCAATCTAGAATGAAAACCATCGCACTTTCCTGGCATTGACAGACAATCCAGGCATATCCACTGGGGAGGGGAGAGGAGTGCTGGGGAGGAGGCTGTTCTGTGGACAACTGGCATGATCAGGGAAAGCACCAAGGGGGAGAGGAGCTGGAACAGAGCTTTTGTGTCAAGGAGCCACTGGCTGCAAGTAACAGAAAACCCAATTCAGAAGGGCTTAAACCATACCGGAAATTATGAACACATATATCAAGAAGTCTGGAAATTAAGCAGGCCCACGGTTGCCCAATGAAGCTATCAGGGACCCAAGTCTTTTCTCTCTATTCATTGTGCCTGCCTCAGCACACCAGCTGGCTCCTCCCTGCAGCAGCTCCAGGCATTATGGTTTCACCACCTAAATCAAGGGAAATGACAGGGTCGAGCCTCTCCCTATTTTAGAAGCCCTGCTGGGAGACTGGCCCTTACGCTGGACAGATTTAGCCCTCATTGCACAGATTTGGGTCCCATGTCTCTTCTTAAACCAATCACTGGTTAGGGCAGTGGGTTTACATGATGTGCTTCTGCCAATCAAGAGGAGATAGGGACACCAGGACACAGCTCAGACTTGGCCAACAGGGAAGAGAGAGAACAATGGTGGATGGCTTGGCCACCAACAGTGTCTGCTCCAGCCCCAAACCATCAGGAAGAATTGGTACTGAGAAGTAAGAAGGGAGGGCGTTCTAGGTGGGGAGAAAAGCATGAGCAGAGGCACAGAAGCATGAAGATACAAGGTATGTCCCTCAGACAAGTTGGCGGGGTTGATGAGTTGTATACAGTGTGGCATGGAATGAAGGCCAGAAAGAAACCGTAATTGCTAACCTTATTTGGGGATCTTCTTGGCTTACCAGGGGTCTTCAGACCAGTACTTAAAAACCACAGATCTAGAAGGCCAACCATCTCAAGGAAGGAATTCTTGAAGAACTGTAAGCCTTGGCCAATTAGACTAGATAAAGCCACTGTTAATATTCCTCTGAGCACTTCCACTTTGGGGGAAGATGGAATGTCCTCAGCTTAGTCCCTGTGCTGATGCCAGGTTTAGTTGGGTGGCTCTTGGGTAGAAAAAAGAGCATGCAAGACAGAGCTTTCCTTTGGAAAACATAGCCAGAAGCTGATCCTGAGTATCAGTCATCCTGCTTTCATTGAGATTGCGTATCAAACCCTTTCAGGTACAAATGGCAGAAATCCTGCCCAATGACTTAAAAAATAAGCTTAGCCACCTCTCTCACTGAAAAGTCTGGCTCCTGGGGCTGTAAGGATGTTATCAGGACCTAGTGGCTCCTCTCTAGGCTCTGCTTTCCTCCATGTTAACTTCACTCTCAGGTGGATTCACCCCTCAGCCTCAGCTCCAAATCCCCATGCAAAGTGTTTCTTTACTGGATATCCCAGGAAGAGTCTTAATGCTTCTCACTGATTCTGATTGACTTATGTTCCATCCCTGAACCAACCATTGTGGTTTTGGGGAATGGAATATGTTGACTTAGTCCCCACCTTAATGACATTTGGCCAAGAGCTGGGGAGAAGTGGCTCTTCGAACACTTGATGTTGGCAAAGAGGTGAAAGAATGAATATAAGGTGGCCCCAAGCCACAAATGTCTAATCTATGATTTTACCCCCGAGTCTAAGATCTCACATTTTTCACTTCAGCATCAGTTTGTGTGTTTTACAGTCTACAACAGGCTATCATAGGCATCCCACTTAATCCTAATAACACCCCTATAAAGGAGGCTGGGTGGCAATTATCCTATTTATAGATGAGGAGACTGAGGGTTAGAGAAATTCAGTTATTTGTCCAGGACCATCTCGATCGAAATTGGCAAGTCTGGCCTTTGAACCTGGGACTTGTAACCCTCTTCCAGTGAAGTTGCCCATTACACTGATGACTTACAATGCATCTGCCTGCATATTCGAGGAGAGAAGTTCTTAAAACTTCTACAAGTGAAATCAAGTTCACTTCTGTAAGTGAAATCAAGTTGAAGAGTCAGCTCAAGGAGTGCAATATGTAAATGGTAAAATAAACAACATCATTAAGCTCAAGGGCATGTTTTAATAACAGTTAAATAACTTTTACAAAATAGCAAATATTTTCCCATTCTGCTGAAATGGGTCTTAGGAAAAAGGATTGTAATATAGAACCCCAGGTGGTCAAGTGCACATTGGATTTTCCTAACAGCCTCCTTTATAAAGAAGAGCTTGCCTGTGGCTTTGTTTCCTTACTCTCCAGCCTCACCTTCCTCCCCTTGCCTATGCTCAAACCATTGCCCACTAATAGTTCTGCAGATCCCAGGATAGAAGTTAATCTGCTTGGAAGGTTGGTCCACTTAGCTTTTCCCCACAGGTGTCATTTTGGTACCTGGTGAGAGGGTCTGCCTGTCTCCCTCTCACTCTGCACTCCAGCACCAGTCAGCGAGGCTGCCATCTTCCCTGATCAAGAGCTGGCTCCAGAGTGAACTGTAAAGCACCCCTGTTAGATTTCCTGGCATTTGTAAGGACCTTTTCTGGGGCCCAGACAGAACCAGAGGCCTCCAGCCAGAGGCACCAATCCTCTGAGGCCCTGGTGCATGGGCAACAAATGAGACTTTTTGCCTCCAGAAGGAGCTATAAGCAGAAATTATAGGAAGTATAATAAATCATCCTCCCGCCCTCAAAGTAGGGCCACACCAAGGAAGGTAGAGGGAATTCTGTATCAAATGAGCTGATCAGGCCAAAATGTGTGTTTACTTCTCATTGAGAACATATCTGCAGGTACATGGTAAACTACAAGTACTATACTGTGTTCCTCTTGGTTATTAGTCTCTGGATGGCACAGCCAATTGCAGTACAAGGTGGGATGGCCCCTGTGAACCCAAGTCTTCTGACTCCAAGTCCCCAAGGCTGGCCCCCTAGATGCCAGGCTGCTGGACAGGACCCTCAGACAAGGCTAGGGAAAGCAGTAAGTGCTGTGCTTCCTGGGCCAGCCTCAGCAGGGCACTGGGTTGCAAGGAGAGCAGTTCAGATGAGGTGGGCACTCTAGTGCCTTGCTCAGAGCACAAGCTTCCAAGTAACACAGAAGCTCAGTTCTGCCACTCACCACCTGAGTGACCTTGAGCAAGCGAGTTGATCTCTCTTGGCCTGCATTTCCTCCTCTGAGGAATCTTCTAATAGTACCTTTCTTGGAGAGTCGTGAGGATGAAATGGGGAGGTGCACACAAACCACCCAGCACGACGTCTGGCACAGGGTATTTGCTTGATACTTTCGCATAGTGAGGCTGACATAGGAAGAACTTCTCATCACAGCTCATCCACACCCCCACATCAGGAATGCTCAAGTAGACCCTTCTCCCCTCCCAACCTTCCTCCTGGCCCCGGCCCCATCCAGCTGTTCCTTCTTGTGGGCAGTGGGGTGGGCCCTGTCTTCAGTGCAGACATGCCCTGTTGCCCTTGAGTGCATTGGCCTGTCCCCCCCACCAACCCCAACAGCTCACAGGGCCTCTTGGTATGGGAAGTGCAAGTCACCCTGAGGAGGTGCCGTCCATGCTGGAGCCAGATTCTGAGGCTGCAATGGAACTTTGGGCTGATGCACTCACATTGCTTGCCTTCTGCCAAGAGTTCTGCTGGGGAGCTGCCCTCGGCTAACCTCTGAGTGTCTGACTAGATAGCAGCAGCGGCAGCAGCAGCCATCTCTGGAGCCAAGCATTTGAGCAGAGAACAGCTGCTCCTGGTCCTGGGCCCCCTCTTGCCTGGCCCAGGTTCCAGTCAGCTCTGCCTAAAAGACTCCCCAGGGCAGCCTGGCTCTGGTGCCAGGACCCTTCACCCTCCTCGTTCCTCCATCTCACCCGCAACAGTGTGTGACTGATCGACTCCTCCTGCCACTTTGTCTTATCACGAAGATTAGCAGGGAGGAAGCTGGGATGTGGAGTCAGAAGACCTGGGTTGGAGCCCCAGCCCGGCTACTTGCTGGCCTGTGACCTTGAGCAGGTCCCATCCTTTCCACACTTCTGGAAGATGGGAGAAGAGAATCTTTATTCTTTCTTCTTAATTGGGCAAGTGTGATTAATTGTAATGCAATGCAGAGTTGCCTGATGAGAAGCTTTTAAAGCAAGCCAGAGGTGTGTTTGAGTGAAAGATGAAAATATTCTTTACAGCCCTGTGGGGCGGGTGTTGGTCACTCTTCATCTGTTTGGTGTTGGTAGGTGAAAGCAGGCCAGCTCACTGGGCCACTCTTCAGCCTCCATGCTGAGCCCTGTTACCTACTGGGTCCCTCTCAAGTTCAGTCCCTGTGGGAGGTATGCACAGACATGTGTAGCCAGGATTTGACCCGATGGGCCATGCACTTTGCCATCACATGGAAGCAGAGTGGGGGACATGTGGCAGCTTGTGGGATGAAGGGGCCAGACCTGGGCCCTGCCTTCTCCCCAGCCTGGGGTAGCAGGGAGATGCCAACTCTTCCTGGGATTGAGCTTCTACTTAAAAAACAAACAAAAAAAAGTGTTGAAATTCTAATTAAAAGTTGTATTAAGTTCCAGTGTACACGGGGCATTTTTTATAATGTTAAATGTTCCCATTTAAGAACATATGCCTTTTCTTCAAATCTGGTTTTATGCCCTTCCATAAAATTTTTTTTTATTAAACATACATTGTTTGTTTGGGGAAGATAAAATTTTGTTTAATTAAAAAAATAAACATATCTTGTGAAATTTATTAAGTTTATATCTGTGATCAAGTTTTGTAAGTGATTCAGGTCCCAACAAATGATCTATTCCAGATTCAAGGAATGCAGGGCCCTATATATTTCTAGTAATTCAAATTATATTTTTTATTTTCTCTGTTATCTTAATTTTTGCCTATATGTCTATTTTTGAAATAGACATCTTTGAAATTTCACACTAAAATTTTATTTATTCCATTTCTAATAATGGATGCTTCATATATTTAGCTTCTGTGTTTAATGCATTAAAGTTTCTGATGGTCATTAATGTCTTCATAAAATAAGTGTTCCTTTTATCATCACAAACATCTGTATCCTCTGCAGCATTTTTTTAAACTAAAATTCTCCCTTATCTAATTAATTTTGACACTTCTCCCTCCTTTTGTTTGCACTTGCCTAGTATCTGCTTGCCTATGCATTTATTTTCAACATTTCTGTATACCTTTATTTTAATCAGTTTTCTTATAAACAGCATGCACCTGGAGCTTGGTTTTTGTTTTAATTTCTTAACCCAATCTGGCATCTTCTGTTTTTAATGAGTAATCTAATCTGTTGACTGATGTACTGGATTTTATTTCTTCCATCTACAGTATGTTTATAATTTCTTTCTGTCGTATTTTGTTTCCCTTGCTTGTGCTGGTTTAATGTAGTTGCTTCAAATTTCATCTTTTCCCCATATTCTCTATGTTCCCATAGAGAACACAGGGAAAGTTCTCTACTTTTCCCTTTCATTAAAGGTTACATTCTTTTTCCCTTAATTCATAATTAAACACATATTGCTTTAATGTTATTTGAACACAAGATAACATGAAATAACTGTTCCTCCCTCCAAGATGTTCCATTCTCTCCCTGCTCTTCCCTGCTTCAGTGGGATGAGACGTTAAAATTGTTTCCCTGTCCCTACTTAAGATGAGACCTTGGAACACTTTTCCTCCCATCCTCTTCAACTCCTTGATTCTGTTAGGAACATTTAATATTTTTAGCTTTGAGCTGTTGGTGGAATTTCCCTTGTAGTATGTCCCTTCTATTTTCAGAGTCCTTCTTTAGCAGTTCCATTCCCAGAACATCTACCATTCTCCATTTAGATTTAGGAGAAAAGGGAGGGGCAGGTGTGTGGCAATCTTCCTTACTCCTCACGGTTTCCTGACCAGTTCATTTTCCCCAGGTCAAGGAAAAATGTTCTGCCACATTTGTTGTTTGTTGCTTTAAGTATTTTCCATAGATGAGATGTATGGGTGATAAACTATGAATTCTTGTGTGTTTCCTCTAAAAAATGATGGGCAAACTATTTGAGGTCTTTGGTTATCTTTTCTGAGTAGTGTATACATGGTATTCTGCTCTCTTTTAGTTTGTAGTGTTTCAGATGAGAAGTTCAATGTCAGTCTTACTCTTTTTTCCTTATAGGCAATATGTTCTTTCTGTCTGGAAGCTTTTAAGATTTTGTGTTCATCTTGAAGTTTAGCAGTTGTACCAAGGTAACCTATGTGTATGTCTTTTCTTGTCGTCCTTCCTGGAACTGTGTGAGCCTTTTCAATCTGTAGAGTCAGTTCTTTTTTCAGTTCAGGGCAATTGTCTTCTGTTTGTTATTTAATTATTGGCTGTCCTCTCTCAGTTTGTTTTTCTACTTCTAGAACTCCCAATATTTTTAAGTTAGATCCCCCTGGATCTGTCCTCCATGTCTGTTATCTTTTCCCTTATAAATTATATATCTATATTTTTACTGTATATTTGGAGATAGGTTTTCCATTTTGTCTTCCAGACCACCAATTCACATCTCAACAGGGACTCACCTGCAATAGTTGGGAAGACATTGTTTTAATATGTGAGAAATCTTTTAAGTCTGCCCTGAGTTGCTGTAGGGCTCATGTGATGTTCTGCTTGAGTTTTCATTTGTCTCTTGGAGCAGCTGCACTTCACTGGGCTTGTGCACTGTTCGTTCTGACAGATCTTCTTCTGCCAGGACTTTGAAGCATGTTGTGAGTGTTCTTTGTTCTTTGTACCTCTGGTTATGGAGCCCAGAGTGGCAGCAGTCCACAGCTGGTGGGAGTGGAGCTGTCCTTACCCTTGGAGCCAGTGGTATTGAGGCAGGTGAGCCACCAGTCTACTCCTGAGACATCTGTCTCCCTTACTTCCCATTCCCCTTTGGCTACAGGGCAGGGGGTTGCAGCCCACTGGTTCAGCCACTTCTTGGTCTGACCTGGGTCAATCAGGCAAAGCCAGTTTCTACCTGCGCTCCATTACGTGCCAAATTCCACCCACATACACACACACACTAGGGATCCACTGGTCTTCCTTGGCCAAGTTCTTTCCGGCATCCATGGCTTTTGATCCTTGCTCCAAAGCTCTCTGAAGCTGGTCTCTAATAAGGGAGATCCCCACACCAGTTTTTCAGCCTTGTTTCCCGCATGTACCCCCATCTGCCCAAAGGCCTCAGCAGTTCTCTAATTTAGGATTGAACAGATAGGTTAGAGATGATAATCTCTTTCAGGTTGCCATGTTCTCAGGATCTGTTGTCTTTTCTCAGTTACTGATGGATCAACTGAGACTGGAGGTCAGTCTCTTTCTCTCTGTCTCTCTCTCTCTCTCTCTCTCTCTCTCTCTCTGTGTGTGTGTGTGTGTGTGTGTGTGTGTGTGTGTGTGTGTTTGTCTTTTTTTCTGGATAGGCTATCCCTATGGCTGCACTCAGGGGCCACTAACACTCCCCATTACTCTTTGTCTAGTTGAATCTGATTAGACACTGGACTAGCTTCCAGAATCATATACTCCAGAGTGCCTCAAATTACAGGACGGACACTGCCAGTGGCCCAAGATGAGTTGCAGTGGTGCAAGGACAGTGTTTGAGAATGTTGAATCCCGTGGTGGGAAAGTTGTTTGTTCAGTTCTCTTTTAGTTCTTCTAATTATGGCAAATAGTCTCGCGTTTGGCATTACTATGCCTTTGACACATCTCTAGCACTCATTAAATTCCCTTTTAATAAAACAGAGATCAAATGTCATGCCCAGTCTTCAGTAGGCAACAGTATTTTCTGTGGTGGGGAAGGCTGAAAGGGGACTGGGTTTGGGGGGGGGAAATTAGAAGTTCAGTTAGGAGCCCATTTATTCTGCCCTGCCTAGTACATATTTAAGTGGAGATGTTGAGTCGGCAATCCATGGTCTTAGCCCTGGGGCACTCCAGTGTTTAGATATTGGATTCCTTCCCCTTTGCCAACCAATGCAGAAGGTGCCTTTCCTACTTGTTGGCTGAATGTCTTTGCATCGGCTAGCTCAGGAGGTTTGTTTCCCATCACTCTGGGCCACTTCTTGGCAGCCAAGGCCACGTGATTGTCATTAGTGTTCCGTGTGTCTGACCAAGCAGCCCTTAAGTGCAAACATGGACCGTGGCCAACCTTCCAGCTGTGTAGAGCCTTCTGGCTGTGCATCTTGTTGGGTCCTTGGGGGGGTGTGGTATCCCCCAGTGAGGCTTCATAAAAAGGTGGAAGCAAGCTGAACCGTTTTCACAAGTTTGAACATGGTTCACACTAATGATTCACTGGACCTGTCAAATTTCTGACTACAGCCCGTATTTATTAGGATGAAAAAAAAATCTTCCATTAGTTTAGCACTTTTCCTTCTTACCAACATGCAGGAAACATTTATTCTACCTGAAACGTGAGGCTGATGCCATTAACTGACTCTGTGAAGGAGTCCTAATGCCAACAGGGCCAGCAGGCTGGTAGACTGAGGGCTGTGGGCGTAGACTGACACCTGATGGGGCGTGTGGATCACGAGAGCACCAGCCTAGCCCACGGCAGGCAGCCAAACTCAGGCCTCACCTAAGGAGGCAGACCAGCATGTCCGATTCTTCAGGAGAACCAGAAATCAGTGTCCTTTTGTGACAATTCTTCTGATTTATAAATGTTTGCTTAAAGGAAAAAAATAAAAAGAAAAGAAAAACTCAAAACTACTGCAGGCCAAACAAAATACATCTCCCTGGCCCAAATCCAGGCTGCAGATGGCCAGTTTGAGACCTCTGCTACGTGACTGCAGGCCAGCCAATCACTCTGATTCTTATACTTCCCACCATTACTGTGAAACAGAGCCACTACCAGGCTTGCTGAGGTGGAGATTATGAGTGGGGTTCTGTTTTAGCTCCCAGCTCTGCTGCTTACTGGCTCTGAGATGGTGGCCAAGTAGTCAGTTAACCTCCCTAAGCCTCAGTCTCCTTATTTGTAAAATGAGGATAACTGGGTTATTCATTCCTATCATGAGGACTTCATGAGAAAATATATAAAAATGTCCAGCACAAAGTTGGTGTTTTGTCAAGAGGAACTGTTGTTACTGTTCAGTAACACGTGAAATGTTTGGAAAACCTGAAAGGGAGTGTTGGGCATTTGACAGTTATGGGTAGTGGCACACCACCCAGAGCAGAAAACCCCTTGCCCATGGTTCTGTCATAGTGAGGGGCAACAGGGCCTGATGATGGTGGATATATTCCTAGAGTCCTGGAACTTGCCATTCAGGAAGAGCCCTGTTCCCCAGCAGCTTCCCTGTGGGGTGGTGTCAGAAGCAGGCCTAGCTGTTCTCCCACAAATCGGTCTGGACAGACTTGCAGCCTCTGGGCAGCCCCTGCCTGTTACAGAGCGCTTCCCAAGATTGAAAGGTGCTGAGAAGGCAGGGGAGAGTTTCCTGCAGCTCCTCTGGGAGAGACAGGGGATTGGGGCAGGCAATAGCTCTTGGGTGGGAGTAGGCAGGAGAACTTTCAGTCTGAAGTTAGACAGGGAAGCCCTGTGCATTTCTGACCTCAAGAGCCCCATTGTTATTGCTTCTCATTTTGACACAGATGTCCCAGTCAAGGCCACTCCTGTGCACAGCCCTTTGTTCTTTATGGAAAGTGCTGCCAGGCACACATACGCGTGGCTTTAGATGGCGTATACATTCTTACATGACCAGCTGAAGAGCCTTAGGGACATTTTGTGATCAGTGGGCGTCAGCAAGTCCATGTTGGAGCTGGGGACATGCAGGAGCCAGTGCAGGAAGAAAGCCTTGTTTCAGAGGGTGTGGATAGCACCACTTTAGGAAGCCCCTCAGGAATGAGAGCAACACACTTGAAATAGGACCAAATGCATCTTCAGCCTCACATGCTGTGTGAATGCCGCCTCCTTGTCAGGGAACGTGATCTGCACCAGTCAAAGAGGCAAATGCCAGGCCTTGCACTCAGGAGGTGTTGGGTAAATGTTTACTGAACTGAATTCCATTCTTGGGAGCCCTATTTGTGCCACATCTAATGCTGGAAATTATGTGTATTCTACCCCTTCTCACCATCCTTCCTGGTTTCCAACTGCCCTGTTCCATACCAGCCTGACCCACATGCATGTTGGAGCTTGAAGCTCAGTGGATACAGAAGTGTCTTGGGACAGTTGTCTCAGCATTGCTGGCCGTGGTGATAATAAGCAGATGTGACTGTGATGGTGATCCCGACAGTGTCAGAGCTCTCCCTAGACAGTCTTCATCCATGCATCCATTGTTCATTCCTTCAGTAGCCATGCGTCTGGCACTGGCCAGGGCTGAGCAGACAGTGCTGGGAGTGGTCTGCAGAAGGGGCAGGGCGGGGGTTCATGTGGTAAGGATTAAGCTAGAAAACTGGAAAGGCCTTTAAAGAGGGGTAAGAGTTTATGACTCAGGGCCAGTGTGACAACAGAAATCTTCTGATTGTTGGGACCCCTTCTTAATGTGGACATTGTTTAATGCCTTTACCCTTTTTCACAGTTGGTCAGAAGTCTTGACTCTCACCAGCCTGGTCTGCTTCCTCTGAATGTGCCTGAAGTCATCAGTATTCCTTGGATATTTAGTCTGAGGGCTGTCCATAAAGTGGAGAGCTCTTGAGAACACCCATGTTTGATAGCCACATAACCTTGGGAAAGCTCATTAACTTTCTTATTAACCAGTTTCTTCATCTTCAAAGTGGAGCTAGCACTAACACTTGCATAGCTTTGACTACAGCTGATGTCAGGAGGCAGGGGTTATTGGGAGGATTCAGTGTGGCAGTGTCCATGAAGCCCTTAGCACAGTGCCTGCACCTGAAGGGATTCAACAGAGGCTGCCGCTACTCTGTTCTCCCAGGCCCAGCTCTCGCTACTGTGGCGTGGCTAAGTGACAATGGGCAGTGTGGGCTGTGGGCCTTTTTTCTTTTTGTCTCTACCTGAAATCCAGATGAGAGTCTGAGAGAGTGGACAGAGTCTCAGGATGGCAGCTTGAGGGGCCTGTTCTCCTTAGCCTGCTTGTCTTCAACGTGCACCAATTTTAGGCTTGATTCACACTGAAAATTCCTCAGCTGCCGGCTGCTGGGCCAGAAGCAGGCCTTTGTCTCAGAGAGACCCAGAGACCATGATGAAGGCTGAGCATACCTGCCCTCCTGCTGGCCTCTCAGACTGCAGCAGAGCCTCTACTGAGCCCGACTCTGAGAGGGAACAGCTGGGCTCTCCACAGGGTCTGCCACCCCTACAGCCAAGTATGTGCTTTGGCTTTGGCATCCAGAACACACTGCCCCACCCAAACATCCCTAGAGAGGGGATCGATGTGGAAGCCCACAAAGTGATCTTTGTGGACTCTTTTTTTGGGGGCATGACCCGCTATCATGGTTATTAATGAGGAACTTCCATATGCTTGAGAAGGCCTGGAGTGGGAAGCCTGGGAGCCGCGGCGGGGCTATTTAAATCCACCACACAGAGAGTGGCATCCTTTCTGGGCCACGTCTACCACCAGAAAAGGAAGACTGGCTGGGCTGGGTTTTGCTGTGTCTCTCTGTGAATGTATTTCTCTGGCAAGACATGCTGTCACCTGGAATTCTCCCCTACTCTTGTTCAAAGGCCCAACAAAGGGGTGGCGCAGAGGGAACCAGAAGGATGTGGCTCACGTCCATGTAGTCAGAGATGTTTGGGGACCTGACCCAATGCAGACATAGCCATCTTTGTCCAGCAAAAGTTGGCGTGGCAACTGACCACTGCCGTTTCATTTGAGGAGACATGAGTTACCCTGGAGAGGAATGTGCATTCAGACTTGCTTTTGGCAGACTTTACCATAAGCAGTCCTCTCAGAGGACATGAGAAATCATGATTTCCCTGAGGAGCCCCCATTTGGGGTGATCTGTACCTTTTGCCTTGAACTCTCCTAGGCAGGGAGCTGAGAAGGGCGTCTTTTGTCTGTTTCAGAACACTCACCTAAAATGGTCCACCATCTGGGGCAACGCTTAGGAGGCTCTGTGGCAAATCTCAAAGGCACGTGTGCCAAGCAGCCTGCACTGGAGAATGAGGGATTCTGTCCATGCCCCTTTGTCTCTTCAGGTTGCTGGTGGTGTATTGGTGTCCTTCTCTGCCCAATCACATGGCAAGGAGAAGAAAAACAAGTCTTCATTTAAAAAGAACAGGAAGGGAAAAATCAAGAGCCTATGAAAAGCATTTTCCAGGCTGGCTAGGTCTGTAATGTAGAAGAGACACAAGGGAGTGAAATTCCTCATGTTTTGGGGTTAGGTGGAGTCGGGGGAGGAGTGGACAGTCCTTTGGGATCAGCTGATCCCCGAAATGCCCAAAAGAGAAAATGACCTCCAGTATGGCTTGCTTGGCTCAGCCGCTGCAAAATGGGATGGGGGCAGCTGCTGTCCTATGGTGGTGTAACCCTCAGAGCCCTCAGAACCTGTTCAGTAACCAGGCACCCCCTTTCAGATCAGCAAGTCTGTGTGACCGTCCGATGCCCTGCTGCCATCTTTCCAAACAAACGTCCAAGGGCTATGCAGCTTCAATGCCGTCAAGACTCCTGACTGCTAAGAACAGAAACCTGCCCTAGAGTGACTGAAACGTGTTGTCTCATGTCACTGACTAGCCTAGGGGTACACTAGCTTCAGGCATGGCTGGATCCACATGTGTGTGATACTAACTGACAGGTGTGGATCAGGAACTCACTCAGCCCTGGGACTTAGGCTAGAAGTGGGGAGAATCCTCAAAGTGTGAGAAAGGATGGTTCCCCCAAGGAAAGTTGAGCTCCTATCTCTCAAGGAAGGGAGGAGTTGCACAGGCAGCCAGCAGATGTCCACTACAGCCCTCATTTGCCATTTGCAGAGCTCAGGCTCCCTCAGGTATATTCTGCAGTGAGTCACCACCGCGCCCCACAGCAAGTCGCAAGGGAGCCAGGAGGAACCCAGATAGGAGCCCTCCCACAGGCTGTCAGAGCCCCACCTGGTCTGTTTGGATGACAGAGCCTTTTGGACTTGCCTGGTGTCAGAAAGGACAATGTCTTAGGTAACCTGGGTTTGTAAAAGCCTTGTCTGTGAGCTGTCAGCCAAAGACAGCAGCTTTTGTGGTCTTTTCTCTTTCCTGTGGTTCATGAGAACACATCTAGGCGCTAATGAGCAGGAACATAAATAATGAACAAACATACCGTCAACAGGAAGGCAGGAAGTTTTTTTTTTTCCCCAAAGACTGAACAAGATGAGCAAAGCTCTGCAGCCGTACTTGCGCATTCTCCACAAAATATAATTAAAAAGCTATGCAGACTGCTCCCAATGTACAGTATTGTTTATATACTAAACATAATGTACTAATAGGAATACCTCACTTCATTATGTCAGCAGAATACGAAAGGGAGATCTAGCAGCTGCCCTTATCAGGCAGATGGGAGACCAGAAATGTTACTTAGATCTAGGCAGTAAAATTGACATTGAACCAATTTGCCTCACTCGTGCCGCTTTTACTGTGTTTAACAAAAGCTCATGTCTGCACATAAGGCATTGTGAGGAGGACTCAGCAGCCATAAAGCTCTCTGTCATGTCTCTGCAACATAACCAGTGAATTTAACCGTTGGGTTTCAAAGAACAGTTTTGGATTTTCCTGGAAATAAGCCTACAGAGGACAGCATAAGGCAGCTGTGTGTCCTGACCCTTAGAAACCTGTGAGAACCAAGACATCAGGGTTGAAGGAGGGGAACCCATGCCAGTGAATGAGGGAGCGAGTCTAGTTACAATCACAAGGAAAGGGCCACAGACTCCGGGCCCAAGGGGGAAGACTATTCAGTCCGCAAGGTGGAGATGGGATTGGCAGCCAGGGCTATGAGTGGGGGATGGTGGAGAGAGATATGTCCATCTGGGGCCACTGTTTACAGGCTACCCACCTTCACAGAAAGGAGTTATATGTGGAGCCCTCATTTTAGAGCCAGAGGTCCCAAGCAATCACCTGTTTCATTCAGCCATTCATCCAGCATTGATTGATCATTCGCCATGTACCAAGCTCTGCCCTGGGCACTACAGTCTGTGAACTCAGTCCTCATGGAGCTCACGTCGATATGTGGGGAAACAGATGGTATACAAATAAAAATATACATACCAGGTGGTGATACATGTGATGAAGGAAAATAAGGAAGAATAAAGGCACAGAATAATGTAGGGAAGGGGCCGTAGTCAGACTGGTCTGAGGAGGTGACATCCGAGCAGAGCCCTGAATGCAATGAGGTATGCAGGTCTCTATTTCAGAGCTCCTCAATCTTTTGTCCAACAAGAACCCCTTTGATTATTTGCCCCCCATGAGTCACTATGTTTTGTGAGCTGGTGTATCCCAGAAAGGATGCATTTGGCAAAGATGTAGACGTAGACATAGACATAGATATGACCGTGACCCTTGGTCAACCTGAGAAACGGGGCAACCACAGGAAGTTGATGCAACCCAGCCCCAAAGCCAACACCTGACCTGTCCAAGAGGCTGGGCAATATACATAGAAAATGAGTCCAGAGTCCCAGTGGCTTGTCCAAGCTTATGCCAGCTGGTCAGCAGCAGAGCTAAGACTTAGACCCCGGGTCTCCTGAGTGATGAAATTGGGGTGGAAGCTGCCACAGTCAGTGGCAGTATTTCCCAAACACACAGGCATGAAAAAGGCAGTGGCTGGAATCTGAGGGTGGGTCAGGAGGCCTGAGGTCTTCCCAAGAGGAGGCCGACAGAGCTGCCTTGAAGGACTTCCTCCACCACCAAGGGGGAGCCCCAGGCCAGGGCCGATGATGCAGGCCTGAGAAGGATTCTTCTGCCCTCATCACCTGGGGTTGCAGTGTTGATGGCCAATCTGCATAAGAATCTGAGTCTTATATCTCCAAAGTTCAAGTCACGATATCTGTAATCTAGGGCCAGGGGCCCCAGACCAGCAATGCTACCCAGAAGGCGAGAAGGAACAGAGCTCTAGCAGGCAGTTCTCTGAGCATTACGCTGCCGCTGCCGTGGACTGACAGCTGGCCTGTGCAGCCCCCACCTCCACCCACCCCAGCACTGTGAGCTGAGGGAAAGGGCAGGGTTCATGTTGTTTTTCAGATAATGACAGCAGAGGCTCTGCACTGGAATCACAAGTCCTGGCCTTGCCCCTGGCTCTGTCTGGTGACAATTGGCAGCTGACATCTTTGCTTCTGGCCAGAGCTACCCCTTATTAAAAATGGCATCTTTATAATAGATTTCTGCAAGTCATTGTCAACAGGACATCCTTCTTGTTTTGTACCAATCATTCCTCTGGGGGACTGATTTTGCCTGTTACTATTATTTTAGAACTCTTTAGAATACCCTTTTATTCTATATTATTCTGATATTAGAATATCAAGTTTTAATATAGTATTAAAAATATAGTATTAAATATAGTATTTTAATATAGTATTATTACTAATTAATATATTTTTATCGTATAGTATATAGTATTAATATAGTATATAGTATAGTATACTAATTATATAGTATTAATTAATAATTAATAATTACTAAAGTGGTCATAATTATTTTTTAAATAAATGTTCGCATACCATACAGCTTCACCCCACAATTAAACAGCTGGATTTTTAGCTGAGTCTTCTCTTCTTTCCAAATAGCCAAGGGATCCATTTGTGCCCAAGTTATTCATCCTCACTTTGTAAGGCCTAGGTGTCACCCAGCCTCTATCTTGTCCCATCTAGGTTTTGTGGTTTTCTGCCTCCCTTGGGAGAAGCACCCTCGTGGTCAGACAAGCCCCCCAGCCCGAGCAGCTGAATCTGAAGCTGGAAAGAGCTCTCATTCGTGAGCAGCCCAAATGTCCACCGTGAGGGGTTTGGTTGAATAGCTCATGGCCCATTCAGATGATGAGACTAAGCAGCTAATAGAACCCCAGGGTCACATGGAGCCACATCAATGACTTCTTCCTGAAGTCATCTCTGGCCATGCTGGATGGAGCCTGGTGCCCCTCTTATGCATGTCCACAGCTCCTGGGCTAGACAGCAGCTCCAGAAGGCAGGCCTGGCCATGCAGGTCGGGCTCACTGCCCTGTATCCAGTGCCTGGAATGAAGAAAGCACTTCATAAACAGCTGTTAAAATGAATATACAGTTCAGTGTAGAAAACAACATGTACAGTGGGATTCCATTTTAGGGAAAATAATACTCGTGCGGACTCCCAGGTAAAAGGACTGAAATATACCCCAACATGTGGACGGTGGTTCCCTCCAGCTGGTGGGTTGATGGCTGAAATTTTTTTCTTCTTTTTTGCTTAGCTGTGTGGGCTATAATCTATAAGTGTTCCAAGAACAGGCCTTTCAGTCAGGGCTGGAGAAGTCAGGGAAAGAGGAGGGAAAGCTGCCATTTAAAAGTGATCCACAATTAGAGCAGAACCACTGGTGGGAGGCAAGATGGTTTGGGGACGAATGTGTTTTTTTTTAACAGGTGAGCATTTGTTTTAATGTGTAGCTGAGAAAAAATTTTGAGTAGTACATTAGCCATAGTACTGGTCCCTGCTGCTCCTCTGGCCTCATCCCCCACTTTCCCTATCACTCACTAGGTTCAAGCCCTGCTGGTTCCTCATCATTAGAACACTAAAGGTGCCCCGGGGCCTTTGCTCTTGCTGCTCCCTCTGCCTGTTGCGTTCTTCCTCACCAATATGCAAGGCCCACTTCTTATCACTGAGGCCTCAGCTTCATGCCACCTCATGGCTCTTAACTCTACCCTTCCCCACTAACTACTAGTTTTGTGTTTATTACTCTGTAATATTTGTTTACTTCTTTATGCTTTCCCCTATTGAGCTGTGAGTCCTTTGAAGGCAGGGCCTCTGTCTGTCCTGTTCGCCAGTCTCCTGGGTGCTGTGTGAACTGCACCTGGTACATAGCAGTCAGTTCTGTTAGATGAGAAGAGGAGGATGCCGTCAGTGGGGGGATTGAAGGAGGCCATAATCTCAGGGATGGCTGAGCTCTGCCAGTCAAGGAAGCAGCCTTTATGCCTGGTAAAGAGCAAAGCTTCTGACTTCCCATCAGGGGCCTCTACACTCTTGGAATTCTGGGAAATCAGAAATTAAGACCCAGAATAATTGCTTTGCAAAACATACACATCTTACTTCTGCCCAACCAGTGGTCCCTCTGAGCCAGTCATTCAAAACATGGATACTGTCTGGCCCCCCAGCACCACATTCAGTTGAGTCAAGGCACTGCTGCACCAGATGGAAGGAGGGCCCGTGGCTTGGGAAACAAGACTAGTGGTCTAGCCCTGCTTTGGCACTGAATTGCCTGAGACTTTTAAATAATATTAGCAGCTGACATTTATTGGGCCCTACTGAGTGCCAGACCCTCCCCACACATTAATACTGCCAGTGACCCTGTGAAGGACAAGATCATTGTCCCCATTTTACAGGGGAGAGACCTAGACTCAGGGAGGTTGAGAACTTGCCCACAGTCCAACTGTCAGTGAATAGGAGACTCAGGGTGTGCCCCACTCTTAACACGTGCTCAGTATATATATATTCATGGAGGGAATGAATAAACAAAGGAAAGAGTGGTGTTCTCTAGGGGATTTGGGCTGCTGCAGTTCCTAGAAAGCCCTCCCAGTCCCCAGCCGCCACCGTGTCCACATCGTGTGCCCTCTGGACCACTGCAGACCACTCTGCTTAGTCCTCAGTCTTGATGGTATCCCCTGAGTCAGGAAGCCAGGTCCCTCCTGCAGATCCAGCACCACTGGCCACAAGACCACATTCCAGGGAAAGGAAATACAAGAGCAGAGTTAGTGGGAGCTCCAACAGGTAGAAGAAGAGGGAGGAGGGTCCAGGCGGGGCTCTCTCTCCCCGTTCCCCTGGGGTGCCTGCCCTCTGCTGAGCCCACCTCCAAGTAGGTATGCTGCCAGTGCCTGCCAGTGCCTCTCAACCAGGCGGTGTTGGTGACATTTCCCCCATTGAGTCAGCTTGCTGTTCATGCCTTCTCCTTGAGTCAATGGAAGCCTCCCTCAGGAGGGAACGGCAGACCCGTGCCAGTGCCAGCTCCAGGGAAGCCTGCTGACTGGGGTCTCTGGCTTCCGGTCCCACCGGCCAGCACGTGAGCTGCCTTCATGCATTTCACACACATTTCCCGAGCACTCTGTGGGACAAGGGGGGCTCTGGGAGGTGCGAAGGGACCACACAGCGTTGTCTCCAGGCACCGGTGCTGTTCTCTTGTCTGGATTGTCCTACCTTGTCTGTCCAGCCAGCACCTGCTCCGTGGTCACTGCTGTTTCCTGAGAGGCCGGTCCCACCCTCCACCATGCACCTGTACTGTAGGTGCTCCTTCAGGTCGTATTTTCCCCTTATTCCCATTATGATTTATAGAACCATTTGTGACATTACTTCTTTCATATTGTTCTTCCCTATTAGAATGCAAGCTCCACAAGGGCAGGGATTGTGTCTGTCGCTTTTATCCCAGCCCATGATATGGTGGCTGGCACCTAGTAGGTATGCAAATAATATATGAAAAATGAATTAGGGAATCAATGAATAGAGATGCTTACAGAATATACCCCTGCCCCCCACCCCTACAGGAACACCTCTAAATTATTGGGAGCTGGATCTTTTAAGACAGAAGGTAAAAACATCTTTCCATTTTGCATTTGATTAGATGTTTTTCTCACCTGGTGTCACCCATCACCTCCCCTCTCCCAGGGGAGCATCAAGGGAGGTAAGACGCCTGTAGCACAATGGAAAGGCCTCTGGGGGTTTTGTCCCTGCTCTGCCACAAACTAAATGTGCCTGTAGGCACATCTCTTCCTCTCCATATCACAGTTTTCCATCTGGAAAATGACTATTTCTGTGTGGGCTCTAAGCAGAACCATTTATTTGGCCAGTCTTCGTGGCAAAGGAGGCAGGGAAAGGAACTCTTCATGAGAAGGGAGTGGCTTTCAGGTGGCAGCCAGCACATCCTTCAACTGGCCCTTGGCAGATGCCACTTTTTTGTTGTTAATTTTCATTTCTTGGCACTAGCCTTATCTTACCATCTAGATTGAGAAGCTCTGGAAGGGAGGGACCAGGCCTCATAGGCTTTAAGTCGGAAGAGACCTTCCAGCAGGCTGAACCCAAATGTGTCACTCCAGGAGATTCGTATTGATCAATGACTCTACCCCTTTTACTCAAGTATTCTCTCTAGGTCAAAATGGTCCCTAGTAGGTTAAACACGAAGTGTCTGTCTCCCATTGGAAATGACTTGTTGTTCTTCCAGATAACAAGTATACATTTTTAAACATGAAACAAAACATACAAAGAAGAAAGTTTAAAAAAATCACTGAATGCCACCACCCAAAAGTGATTATTAATACATCTTGTTACACATCCTCACATAATAACTCCCTCTCCCTCCTTCTCCCTCCATACCACACCCTACCTCCTGCCCCCACCCACAAACAGTTTTATGAAAACAGCTGCACAGGACACACACTGTAACCAGCATTTTCACTTTACCGTCCTGTCCAGATCCTGGTCTCGTAGGTTCTGTGGAGCCCCCAATTCCTGGCATGTGGCTTCTTCCCTCACTGACATCTGACAGTTGTTTGATTAAAAATGTGTCATATGAGGCCAGGCAGGTCTGTCCCTACCTCCACTGGGGAGGCAGATGGCTTCAGGGGCCACGTCCCATTACTGCCGAGATCTCCCTGACGGCTGGAAACCATTGGTGCTGTGCATGGGAGTGAAGCACTGGGCCCTGACCCTAACCCAGGCAGCCACAGCACAGCTCTCCGTCAGTGTTCAGAAACATATTTCATGACACGTTAAGACAGCCTCAAATCAGGAAATCCACCTTCTCATCCCACAACCACTCCCAACGTGTTCATTTGGTAAATGGTAAATGAGCAGATTCTCTGCTTTGGTCCGGAGAAACCCCCTCTGCCGCTCTTCTTTTCTCCACTGTGGCTTGTTAACCCTTGCTGCTGTTGTTGCTGCTCCTCCTCCTCCTCCTCCTCCTGACAAGCAGTGGTCCTCCCAGCCTTCCCTCCCCGTGGACCCAGTTCACATCCTCTTCCTCAAGAGGACAGACGCGGGACGCCTGACTGACTGCACGTTCTCCCCCGTCCCTCGTACCAAGTATGGCAACAATAATAATAGCTAGCACTGATTGACTGCCGACTGTGCTGGGCACTCTACATGGATTCATTCTTTTGATCCTAACCATGAACCAGCTCTGTTACCACGCCCATCTCCCAGGAACAGATGCGGAAACAAGCACCCGGTCTCAGCTAGAGTCTGGCTCTAGAAGCCCCCGCTTCCTGTGGATCATTAAAGGGATTGTGATGGAGGAGGAGCGGCAGTCCAGTCCCAGGGCAGGAGCCAGGGCGCTGATAAAGGGAGCAGACGAGGGGCATTTAATCTAGCTGGAGATGTAGTGAAAAACCATGTATCCCAACAGCCTAGGGCCTCTGAGTTTGTGACCCTCCAGAAGTTGGGGGGGAAACTGTATGTGTTGGTACATTGTCACACTGTCAGAGGAGTCTATGATTCAGAGAAGGAGAATGGCTGCTGGGCCAGATGAGCCTCCAAGGTCCCTTCCAGCTCCCAAGCCTGTGGTTCTGTGACCATATAAGGCCAGCATGCCTGGGGAGTCTCACTGCAGCTAAGTGCAGTCCTACACTGCAAGGGGGAAGCAGAGAGCAAAGGGAGCCCAAGTCCAGGCCTCCTGCAGGGTCCCTAAGGCAGCAGAGAGAGAAATGGAGGTGCGGGGAGAACCAGGGTTTCTCCTTGGTTGCCTCTTCCCAGAAAGCTCAGACCTGTGCAGGCGGGCTTGGTTGCCACCCTCTGTCTCTCCCCATACCCACGTGAGATCTCCTCTCAGCAGCGTTGCCAGGTTTCCAGAGTCCAGCTGGCGGTTTCTGTCCAAAGTCAAACACTCCACAGTCAGTCCTTGGTTGTTCAGACCTCCTGTTCCTTATGGTGCTTCTGGTTTGGTGGCCTGGAACACCCCTGAGCGTCCCTGAGTTTTGGGTGGACATGAATTCAGAATCTAGCTTGATCTCCCTTTGATACCCTGGCTTTGCAGTCATAAGAAATCTAGTAGGTCCCCACCCTGACACACACACACACACACACACACACATAACACACACAGGGACACACACGTCTGCCTCCTTTAGTGAGTGCTCTGGAGAGGGACAGGTCTGGTGCATCTGTGTACTCCTGACTCATGTAGTTATGTCCCACTTTATCCAAGCACTGTCTGGAGCTCAACCCTATGCCAGGAGATATGGGAAGAAAGCAGAGATAGGTGAGATGTGGTGCTTTAATTTTAAAAATTAAAAATTAGTAAACAAGTCTTCTGGGAGATGATCTCTGATTATTATTGTTATCAGGGTACAAAATATGTACCTTTTAGTCATGTCTCTGTTGGTTCTAAGTGGCAGAAGCCCAAATCAAATTAGCTTATTCAAAATTGAGAGGGAATTATTTGGCTCATATCACTCAAAAGTATGGGGTGGGCTTCAGGCATGGTTGGACCCAGGGGCTCAAATGATGTTTCTGGGACTTGATTCTGCACTCAATCGCTCAGCTATGTAGATGAACAGCCCACCTGGGGCTGCTGCAATGTGAGATGCCACTGACTGTTGCTAAGGTATCTCGTGGAGCCTCGCTCCTGATTTCCAAATCCTGGCCTTGTCACCTCCACAACTCAGACCTGGGCTGTCACATGAGACTGAACTCTCCAGAGCTGTATCTCCAACTCCAACCCAGAGGCCTCCTTTCCTTGCCAGAACATTGGGCAGATACAACAGGGTGAGTTCCAATGCTTGTTTTGTGGGTGAAATCTCTGGATTCTCCTGGATATAGGGACTCAGGGCAGAAGGAGAAGCCCTGCCTTTCAGCATTTGCCATTTACCAGCTGTATGTCGAGTAAGTGGCCTAACCTATCTGAGCCTCAGTTTCCTCATCTGTAAAGAGGAGATAATTTATCTCCTAGAATTGTTTTGAAGGTTAAATGAAATGACACATGTAAAGCACTTAGCACAGAGGGTAAACCCTCAAACATGAGCTGCAATTATTCTGCTTATCTTATACTGCAAATGAAAGAAATTATGTTTGCAGGATTTTAACTTTAGAATGAAAATGCTATTATTTTTTTTGGTTGAGACAGAGTCTCGCTCTGTCGCCCAGGCTGGAGTGCAGTGGCGTGATCTTGGTTCACTGCCACGTCCTCCTCCTGGGTTGCAGTGATTCTCCTGCCTCAGCCTCCCAAGTAGCTGGGACTACAGGTGCATGCCACCACACCAGGCTAATTTTTGTATTTTTCAGTAGAGACGGGGTTTCACCATGTTAGCCAGGCTGGTCTCAAACTCCTGACCTCGTGATCTGCCTGCCTCAGCCTCCGAAAGTGCTGGGATTACAGGCATGAGCCACTGCGTCCGGTGGAAAATATTAATAGCTACCATTTGTTTTATACTTACTATATGGTAGGCACTTTACATTTATTCCTCCCAACTCTTTTGCTTATGAGGAAACCGAGGCTCAGGAGATTAAATTGTTTACCAGGGACACACAGCTCATCCTGTCCAATGCCCAACCTCTAACCACTGCTCTACTCGGCCTTTCTAAAATGGTGTGGGGAAATAGAAAATAAAGAGGGTCTTTATTGATACATTTAAGGATATTTGCCTCAAATCAATGCTAGCAAGAAAAAAAGAAGAGGAATGTGGCATTTAAAAAAGCCAGAGGGATGACTTAACATTTAAAAATTCAGTGTTCTTCTGAGTTTTGGGAGTATGAATAATATTTCCTGTTGTCGGTGAAACCCCGTCTCTACTAAAAATACAAAAAATTAGCCAGGCATGGTGGCGGGCGCCTGTAGTCCCAGCTACTTGGGAGGCTGAGGCAGGAGAATGGCATGAACCAAGGAGGCAGAGCTTGCAGTGAGCCGAGATTGCGCCGCTGCACTCCAGCCTGGGCGACAGACAGAGCGAGACTCCATCTGAAAAAAAAAAGGATATTTCTTGTTGTTCTGTATGGACCAAATTTTCTAGTCTTAAGTATTTATTACATTGTAGTAGAAGGGGATATAAAATTCTACCCAGAAACAGGAAGCCTATTTTTAACCTAATATAAGCCAGTTTGAACAACTTATAGGGCTAATCATGATTTGAGCAATTTCCCCCAAATTGCAACATTTCTGCAAACTGCAAATGAAGCTTCTTTATCTTGGGACACCCCAGGCAACAGATTGAGACCTGCCAGGCAGTATTTTCAGCCCATGAATTGAAGTGTGATAGAAAGTACTGTGAGCTTGGAGACCTGTATCCTGTTCTTGGCCCAGGCTCTTACCTGCTGAGAGATATTGGGGCAATTACTTATTCTCTCTCAGCCTCAGTTTTCTCTTCTGTCAAATGGGTATAATAAAATCCCACCCTTTCCACCTGATCAAGTGCATATAAAGATTAATGATATCAATAGGTGTGAAATAGGTTGAAGGAAGTCCCAGAGCCAGCCATAGGTCTAGAGAACATTCCCAGGAGAGTGGTAGGGTCTGCTGGTCCCAAATGAAGCATGAGAAACTCAATGCACTGGCTTCTGGGGAAGCATATCATAGCATGGGGACCAGCAAATCCTGCCTGCACCACTCAGGTCACCCAAAGGGTCCCACCCTCTTAGGGGAATCTAGGTACCAGTTGCCTTTCTTTTCTGTTTTTTAGTATTTACGCTAGAGTTTACAATGTGTATCTTGACTTATTACACTTTACTTTCAAATAATATTATATTAATACTACTTTTTTCACATACAAGAATCTTTCTACAGTATAGAGTATACTTTCATTTTATCCCTCCCATCCTTTGTGCTATGGTTGAAGTTTTATTTCTATGTATGTTATAAACATAATACATTTTTCAGCTTCTTCCCTCTCTTTGTTTCAATTTAGATAGTTTTTATTGCCATGTTTTCAAGTTCACTCATCTTCTGTATGTCTAATCTGCTGTTAATCCCATCCAGTGAAATTTTTATTTTAGATATTATATTTTCATCAGTTGATATTCCCTTTTGTTCTTTTTAATGTCTTCCATTTCTTTCCTCATTATGTTCATAATTCCCTTCAATTTCTTAGAAATATTTAAAATAGATGTTTTAAAATTCTTATTAATTCCATGATCTCTGTCACTGCTGGGTCTGTTTCTGTTGACTGCATTTTATCATAGTTATGGGTCATGCTTTTCTGCTTCTTTGCATATTCAGGAATTATTTGTGTGATGCTGATACTATGAATATTATATTGTTGAATGTCTAGATTTTGTTGTTCTCATGTAAAGACTGTTGGACTTTATTCTCCAGGTAGTTAAGTTACTTGTAGATCAGCTTGATTTTTTTTTAACTTTGTTTTTAAGCTTCATGAGGGCAGGTCTAAAGCAGCCTTTACTCTGGAGCTAGCTCAGCCCCGTTGCTATGGCATGAGCCTTCTGGCGTCTCTGCTGAGTGCCCCAGGCGTTCAACAAGGACTCTTCACTCTGGCTGTTTGGAACTTGAATATCTCCCAGCCTTGAATGAGCTCTGGGAAGCGTTCAACTGATAAGCTCCCTGATGCTTGTTCTTTCTTTAGTAATTGTTCCTTGACCAGCTGTGGAATCTTACCCTATCCAGCCACAGACTCCAAGGAGACCCCTGTGCACTCTCTGAAGCATCTGAAGTGCTCTCTCTTCGCAGTTTTCTCCCCTCTGGTACGCTGCCCTTCCAGCTACCTCAGCTTTCCTGAACTCACTTTTTCTCTTCAGCTCAGTGAAATGGCTGTGTTCTGCCTGGGTTCCCTCCTGCACTGTGGTCTAGTAAACACCTAAAGGCGGACGCCCAGGCCATCACCGGACTCTCCTCCTTGGTCTCCCTTCTCTCAGGGATCACAGTCCTGCACTGTCTATTCTCCAGTGTTTGAAGATGCTTGTTTCACATATTTTGTCTGGTTTTCTAGTTGTTTACAGTGGGAGCTAGCAAAGATCCCTTTGAGATCTCTCTGGGGTGGTGCACCAGTGGCCTGTACTGGTTATGTACTCCCTCAAGATACTTTTACAAAACTGGACTTAGGAATAATGAAAGTCGACAGAAAGTTAATAGGGTCATTCTGATCTGCTTTTTAGAGAAATTCAGGGTGAAGACCCGCAAACCAGCACCAAGTGGAATTTGCAGCAGGAATCATTATTGTACGTCAACTGATGACTGGATAAATAAAATGTGGTACATCCATACAGTGGAATACTATTCAGTAATAAAAAGGAATGAGCTACTGATACATGCTACAACATGAATGAATCTTGAAAACATTGTGCTAAGTGAAAGAAACCAGTCACAAAAGACCATACATTGTATGGTTCCATTTATATGAACTGTCCAGAATAGCCGAATTTATAGAAACAAAATGTAGATCAGTGGTTGCTTAGGGTAGGGGCAGGGCATGGACAGTAACTGCTAATGGATACAAAGTTCCTTTTGGGGAGATTGAAATGTTCTAAAATTAGATTGTGGTGATGATTGACCAACCTTGTGAATATACTAAAAACCATTGAATTGTATACTTTAAGTAGGTAGAGTCTATATATGAACTATATCTCAATAAAACTGTTGTTTTTAAAAAAAGAAGAAGAATCTTTAGCCATTTTCTCCTGCATGAAAGTAATGAAGGAATTGGAAGGAGCCTTGGTATGGTAGAAAGGAGGTCTCAGTTATTATATTGGTGCGTGAACGTGTCACAAGTAGTGTTCTATCTGGGACTGAAAATATGACCACAGAAGAGTTTACATAGTTCATTGAGGGAGGACAAATGTAGGATGTTAATCTTAAAATTCATTTGCTCTTTCTGGATTACTTTAGTTATAAGAGGATTCTTGTGGTTTTGGCGTGAGCCCCTCCTTCTAGCTTTCTCTCCTGCCCGGATCCTTGTCAGCAGTGAGCACATGTTGAGTGGCTAGCAGGCAGTGCCACGTGGCCTCTGAAAGTTGTGATGTCCCCTTTATGTCTTCTTTGTCCCTGTTCAGATCCACCAGAACGAGGGTGGTATGTGGTTAAATCCTAGCCAAGGATGAAAAAGTAGGCAAACCCTTTTATTGACTTTTCTGTTGTCAAAGATAAAGATGGTTATTTGTTTGTCTTAAGTGAATCATTTTACCTTCATTAAAAGCGGTGAGTTTTCTGTGAAAGAAAAATGCATCATCCATTTGCAGACTTTTTACAGGGATTTTCAACAATATGCCTCTGGGTGTACACCTAAGTTGGGACCCCGAACTTTGCTTAAAATA
Source organism: Homo sapiens (assembly GCF_000001405.40). NCBI lineage: Eukaryota > Metazoa > Chordata > Mammalia > Primates > Hominidae > Homo > Homo sapiens. The sequence continues at coordinate 56,275,609 of NC_000016.10, forward strand.
CTCATGACTAACATACATTGAGTGCTTAATGTATGCCCTTCCTGTTCTAAGTACTTTCAAGTATTATCACACCTCATTGACGGATTTTTCTTTCATTATGTAGGGAATGTGAAAAGACTGCATTTCTTTTTTCCAAGATTCTGTTTTCCAGTAATTTAGGTAGCTTTTTCCTTTAGATTTTATGACATTAATGTAGCAACTCAGTAACTCAGCATCTCGGCTGGACCTGGCCCACAGTCAGCCAGTGCGTCTCATGCCTGTGCTCTCTGTGTTGATGAGGACAATGCTCTCATCAGGTGTGGTGTGTGTGGTTTTTCTCTAGGATCATCCATGAAGATGGCTTCTCCGGAGAAGACGTGAAACAGTACAAGCCTGTTGTCTACAGCAACACTATCCAGTCCCTGGCAGCCATCGTCCGGGCCATGGACACTTTGGGCATCGAATATGGTGATAAGGAGAGAAAGGTAGGCCCCTGAGCCCATAAGCACAGCAACAAGAGGTTCTGTCTGTGTTACCCCACTGCCTCCTCTTTATAGTGCTGGGCTGCCTTAAATGAACGAGAAGAGACTCCGCTATGTTTGAAAGATATATGGTGGCACAGTCACCAACCTAAGCCATTGCATCCACCCCTCTGGCAAACTCCCAGCAAACTCACCAACTTTGCAAGTTGCAGGGGCTACAAAACTCCCGGATTTATTTTGCAGATGAGGAAGAGTTGGTGACAGTTCTAAATTGGAGCTGCCACAACACTGTCTAAGTACCTGTCCTTGGGCAATTAACTTGTACAGAAAAAAATATGTATTAAACAAAACAAGCCTTGTCTGGCCACCATCTCCCCTCCTTAGAAGAACTTTCCTTGCCTTGTTGTGGAGTGAGGATAGCCATTTGAATTGACTGCCTTTCCTCTTTTACACCAAGGGCTATGTTTTCTGCCTCCCCTGGGTAAGTATGAGGACCTACAGGGCTCTCCTTCCTGTAGAAAGTCAGTGTCCTAGAACAGGGACTGTTTGGGGGTAACATTTCCAGTCTTCTATTAAGTGGTGAATGGAATAAGTACTATATAAAAGCCTCTAATTTGCAAACATTTATATTAACTGTTAAGACTGAACTATATACAGCTACACTGGCAAGGCTAAATAAAAGGAGGGAGGGAGAGAGGGAGAGGAGAAAATAGCCTCAGAATTCTTTCCAGAAGCAGCTCTTTGTCCCTGTTTGGGACTGAATCTCAGTGATCCTCCCTCTGGGACCTGGAGATTGGAGAAGGGGGCGGAGGGCAGGTACAGCCTCCAAGCACCTGGGCTCTGCATCTGAGCCTCTGGATGGAGAGCATTCATCTCTGATTGCTGTGTGATTTGATTGTCTATTATACACATGTCCTGTCTTTGCTAAAAATCATCTTCCTCACAGAGGAAAACTGTCCTGGTTGTCTCTGTGTCTGATAAATCATCCATGATAGACAGCTTTAAATGTAAAATTTGATATGTAATGCACAAAATCCTAATTCCATGGGGCAGAGTCATCCAGCCCAGGCATTGGCTCCTCCAGGTACTGGGGAATTGGGTGACTGAGGGTATGTCCGAGGCCAGCCTGCGGTGGAGAAGCTGGGCACTAGCAGGGGGACCTGGGCCCATCTGCCGCTCCTCCTGGAGGCCAAGTTGGGAAGTGGATTCTGCAAAGGAAGCACTTCTTCCTGGAAGGCCGGCTTTGGGTTTGGTCACGGAGCCAGGGCCTGTGGAAAGAGGGAATGGGGGAGTGGATGGGTCCATTCACTGCAGGCTTATGATGTGCAAGGCTTTGAGCTAGGTGCTGTGGATACAGGAATGAGCACAGCAGGGAATGGTGTCTGGTTGCAGAAAACACCTATTCAGATCGTTAGAACTAACCCAGATGAGTACAGTGCTTCATTCTTCTTAATAACAATAGTAGGAATAAAAACAGCTACCATCTGTTGAGCACCTACTGGCTGCCAGGCACATACTAAGCACTTTACACATAATGACTCGTTTTATTTAACTCATTTTATTACAGCCCAGAGCAAGGAGTGCCTCATCTTCAGGCATGGCACAAGCCACAGGCCTCTGGTCTGTCTGTCTCCCTTTGACTAAGTGGGGAGCGTGATATCTGAATCTCAGCCAGATAGCAGACACAGTACAAAAGGCACACCCCCTACACACACACACACACACACACACACACACACACACACACACACACACACACACACACACACACACGGTGTGTGAGATCTTCCAGGAGCAAATGTATTCATCTCCCAGCCAGCTCTTCCTAAAAATCTCCTATACTGATTATAACCCAGCAAAGTCAGTGTGGCTTTGGAATACTTTTCTCCTTCCATTTTGGAAAACATTCATTGTTCCCATGGGATTTTTTTTTCCATTTTATTATCCTGAATGGAGAGATGATTGCTTGGGAATCGCTAGGACTATGATACGTTAAGGACTGTACTGCAGGCCCCTGGGAAACAGGGTCCCTTCTCTGGCTATTTCTCCTCCATGGAATTTCCCAGTCAAGTCAGCCTTCAAGTAGGAAGGAGGGGAAGGCTCCAATGGAAGGAGAGACTGAGAGCTAAGCGGGACTCCCTGGAGAGTCCACTGGACACAGTCGAGTCCAAGCACAGTTCCGTTATGGCAGGTGGCACCATGGCCAGCACCTGGCCCATCCCTAGGGCAACACAGCCTTGTCTGGTGTGAGCTTCCTGGTGGGCAAAGGCCTCCCTGGCACTCAGGCACCCCCTTCCTGTATTCTTACACCTGTGAGGAGCAGGAAAGGAGTGAACCCGAGACCCAGGCCACAGCAAGCCAGACAACTGGAAAAGGCGTTCCCGGGAGTGGGCTGGTGTGGATTCGCAGCCTGTGGAGCTGGGCAGAAGAGAGTGGAAGCCACCACTTGGCATGAGGAGACATGCCAGGCCAGAAAGGGCTGCAGTACCTGCTGGTGTGGGGGCAGCTCAGAGCCAACATCCTTCCCTTTCCATGTTCTCATGGAGCTTCCTATCTAGCAGTACAGGCAGCAAACAAGCCCACAAGTAGGTGACTGCATAATGTCAGATAATGCTAAGGGCTGCAAGGAAAACAAAATAAGGTGATGTGAGAGCCTGATCTGGGGGTAGGAGGAGCAGATAATTCAGAGTGGGAGGACGAGGGGACAGAAAGTTCCAGACAAGCACCCAGGCCCTGAGGGAGGAATGAGCCTGGCGCAGAGGAATATAAAGCTCTGTTCAGCTGGAGCTACCTGCAGCCAGGCAGCTCCTGATGTCCAGATGCCCTGAGCCCAGTGCTGGGTCCCCATATTTTTCTGTCTCTAGGGTCCCCAGCCACTCTCCACCTAGGGGATCTGCCATTTGGATGCTGGGGAAACCACCTTATGCTGCAGGAGTCCAGATCCGTGTTTTGGTCTCTGAAGAAGAGACCTCCTTCCCTCTCATGTTTTTTTCACCTCTGCCACCCACCACCACTCATCAGGGGATGTCTGGAGGAAGACAACCCCACTCCCAGCACCTGCCGGGGCCAGCCAGCCTTGCACTCTCCACACAGAAAAGCGCCTAAGAGCTTCCTTGCTGTACCTCAGTGTCAGCCCCTAGAACAGGTAGGTGTCCCTGAGTTCCCCCGGCAGCTGACTCACCACCTGTCCTGTCTGTTTCCCCCAGAGGAAAGAGGACTGGCTGGTTTTTCCTTCAGCCTCTCTGGTGTGGAGTCACTTGGGGCCCCGTGACTGTGCGTGAGCCTGAACCTGAAAGAGCCTCCGTGCAGAGCAAACAGCAGGGACCTCCTTACATCCGTCTGTGGTTTCCACACCCCAGGCCCCAGCCTCAGACTACAGACCTCTCCCAGGGGCCCCATGTACTCTCACTCCTCTGGGCCTTCGCTGGGGTGTGCTCTCTGCCTCTAGTGCCGTCCTCTTTTCTTCCCCTCTTCCACGTGGAACTGCCCCACTCAGTAAGGGCCCACTATGCTTCATCTTGTCCATGAAGCCTCCTTCCCTTTTCCTTCCCTGAGGAAGAAACTCAGCTCAGGGCTTTCTCCATGAAGCTCTTATCTCACACACTGGCATGAAGATGAATTGTTTATGCTTCTTTCCATAGAGCAGTGGGCCCTAAAGTGTAGTCAGAGTCCTTTGAGCAGCTCATGAAAGCCGCGAGCCTTCCCTCCAGAACAGGGGACACAGCACACATCTAGGAGATTCTGCATGCAATTTCAAGGGGGCCTGGCCCACCAATGGAGTCCAGCCTAAGAACCCCTTCATCATTTAAGGTCTTCTGATCAAGGCGTATGTCGTTTATCTTTGGGTCACCTCCTCACTCCAGCAGCCAACACAGTGCTCAGCACTTAGTAGGACTTCAAGACCCATCCCATTAATGGAATGACATTTCTAACTTTCCCAGTTTTCAGAGAAAAAAAGGCAAAGTGCCTGTAACTTTGTCACTACATCAACAGCTGTTGATTGAGTACCTACCATGTGTCGGGCTGGTACTAAGCCACGTGTGAAGATTCAAAGGCATGTGAGTTGGAGCCTTTAAGGAGCTGGTCATCTTCTTGGGAAGATGGAGCTCACAGGCAGAGTGAGCACAGCCCTTGCACATGGTGGGCAGGAAGAGCTGCTTAGTGGGAGTGAAGATGGAACTGTCCCTGAAGCACAGGTACAGTTTGACAGGTGCAGTATAGGTGAGCAAAGGCCCTTGAAGCCAGGAAAAAAACATGGTTGGTAATGAGGGAAAGGAGAGTTAATTGGCAGAGGAGGCCAGTGGGCAGAACAGAGGACTGGGGTCTGAGCAAGATGTGGGAAAACTAGAAGGTCCAGTTGGGTCCAGATTTGGTGGGCCCTGGAAGGTAGGCCATGGAGTTTGGGTTTTATCCTGTTAGCAGTAGGCAGCCGTGGAGAGATTTTGAGCTGGGATGGGATGAAAGTGAAATTTTAGGAAATTATGATGATGGCATGTGCAGAGTGGACAGGGCAGGGAGGGGGATGGCAGGGGGAGACTAAAGATGGGAGGCAGGTGAAGAAGCTGCAGCAACAGACCACGAATAAGGTGCAAGGGGCTAGGTGAGGGGTCAGAAAGGCAGTAGAGTGATGCGTAGCAACAAAGGAAATACAGGGGCCTGGTGATTAATTGGCTGTTGGAAAAGGATGGGCACAAGGTAGAACCTCAGCCAGAAAGCCAGGAGGCCGGGTGGGGCCGGACCACAGAGGGTGAGTCCCCTTCCAAACCTAAGGGGTTTCCAGGTGGGGGAGGTCCGCACATATCAGATGGATGGATTCAGAGAACTGAAGCTCTGGGAATTACTGACTCCAGGATAATAACGGCTTTCTATTTTTATGTTTCAGAGCCTTTATTGGAAAAGGGTGGGCCTAATTTGTCCTGTTATTTAAAAAATATTCCTTAATGCTTAAATTATTTAATCCTAACAGCTACCTGTGCTGTGGGTGCTATTGTTGTCCTCATTTTATAGGTTAAAAAAAAATGAGGCATGGAGAGGCTAAGTGACTTGCCCAGGGTCATGCAATACAAATTATATATGTATACAGTGTAGACATGGAAGCCTAACAAGACTAGAACCTGTGTGGCCTGGGTCCAGAGCAGAGTCCCATTTAGATAGGCACAGTATGATGAGGTAAAACAAATCATTCAAAGAATCCCATCCTTCATCCTAAGTCTCTCTAAGAATATGAAAAGGGACCAGAGACAGCTCCCCCTGCTGTTCTCAAACATCCTCTCCTGCCTCCCACATCTGTCCCACCCCACTCCCTTGAGCTGCCTTACCCCCCTGGGTTCTCCATGGACCCTCTTCTCCACCCCAGCGAGCAAGGCTGGTCCTCTCTTTCCCACTAAAGGGGTTCCTGCTCTGCCTCTCCTTCACTCCTCCCTTTTTCTTCATCTCCCTTTCCCCTCCCCTTCTATCTCTCCCTTTCCCGCCTTCCCTTTTTCCCTTTTCCTCTGTCCTCCTCCCTCCTTCTCAGTCCCCTTTTCCTCCTCCCCTTCCCTCTCTCCCTCCCTTCCTCCTCACTCCAGCTCATTATTATGTAAATTGTCTTCACCTTCTGAGCCAAGCTCTCCCCCTCCTCCTTCCTCTAGCCTTAGCCCAGGGCCTACATCTGCATCACAAAAGCAGAGGGCCTTGTTCTGGCTGAGCTGGCCTAAACTCTGACACTGGAAGAAAGGGTTGAGGAGAAACTGAACAATTACAGGATTAGAAGATTCACTGGACCAGTGGGGGGGATGGGGAAAGCTTTGAACAAGCCTGTATTAATATAGTTCATCATACACACACATGTGTCTATATAAACATATGTAAAATATACGTGTGTATGTATGTACATCCTTGCATATGTAAAATATATTGTAAACAAATGGACTAGTAGCAGTCATGCATTGAACTTGTATGAGGCTTTATTCAGTTGAAAATACTCCAGTTTTCATTTTTTCACTATTTGTGCCTATGCCTGTTTCTCTCAACTATAAACTCCTTAAGGGCAGAGTGTAGATCCTGTTCCTCTAGCACAATGCCTAATACAGGAAGTATTGAATACTAAGTTTAAACCCCAATTCTACCACCAGCTATATGGCCCTGGGTAAATTATGTAACCTCTCTAAGCCTCAGCATTTTGGACTGTAAAATAGTAATGATCCTGATACCTCCCTCATTCATATCTGCCGTAAGAGTAAATGAGATAATGCCTGTAGCGTGCATAGGATAGTGCCTGTCACATAGCAACTTCTCAACATGTGTTGGCAATTATTCTCATTTATTTGTCTAAAATCATTATTTTTGATAAAGTGTTGATGAATTCTACTCACAGCAATCTAGTGAGGAATGGGCAAGGTTTTATCTGCACTTTTCAGGTTAGAAACAGAAGCACAAGGTTCTTAACTGGCCACCCAAGGTCATATTACCAAGCCTGGGTCTGCTGAACCTGTGCCATAAAGCCAAACACCAACACTGAAGTTTACAACAAGACAAAAGACTGCGTTTATCTGCAGGAGGCTGAGCAAGGAGAGTCAGGCAGCTCATGCTTAACATCTCACTTCCTCAATGGCCCTACAAGCAAGGGCTTTTAAAGGCAAGGGTACATTTTAGGAAAGCAGAAGCTACAGGCAAAACCGTAAACCTATACATGGAGGTTATACATTGGTTTGGCCCAAAAAAGCAGGATATCTTGTGGGGCAGGCTTTGAGGTCATACGTAGATCCAGAGATTCTGTGATATGCAGTTGATTAAGGAGCAAGCCTTTGTCTAAAACCTTGGGGACAGCCAAAATGAATGTTAAGGTCTGGCCTGTAGGTATGAGTCTCTCCAGGCCCCTCAGGAAGAAATTGAGAAGAAAGACCGGCGATCAGTGTTCTGTCCTTAGTTACCACTCTTCTGAGGTCTACTTGACTGCAATGGGCATTTTCCATCTGGTGGGGGTCCAGGTTTCTGAAAAACAACTCAGGGACATATGTTAAGATGTTATCTTTAGTTTCCATAGGGAACCAAACATCTTGTGGCTCTGACTTACTTGTGTGGCTATTATTTTAAGCTATTACAACCTCCTTGCTTCTCAAGTTGCTCATTTACTTCTCAAGGCTACCTAGGTGCCTGGAATTTCCCTTGAAGAGACTCAAGATTTTTCTGTTTCCATGCTTTTTCAGGGTGTGGGGGGCAGCACGACCCTAACAGGGGGCTCCCTGCTCTATCTCAGTCACCTACCTAAGCAGGAGGAAAGATGGGTGCCAGCTGGGCTTGCCGCCCATGCTCTTGTTCCACCAGGGGCCTTCACTGGAGCTGTATCCCCTAGAGATAATGGTAGCTCTTTGGGAGGCAGAATCAGATTTCACATTTAGTTTTCAGAATGTCATTGGATCTCCTCTGGTAAAAGAAATCTTGACATTTAAGTCACACAATGGAGCTCAGGACACTATGTTTTTTAATAATCATGGAAATATTGTGGTGCCACCTCTACAGTGCAGTGCGGTTCACCTTGTGGTTTGCATGAATTCTGAAACAGATAAAAACAAGGATGCTATCTGGCCTGTGTCTCCCTGAGTCCCCTGGGGCTTAGAGATACTTTAGTGGTAGTTGTTAGATCTGACGAGGGCTGGAGGATGTAATAGATGAAGGCTTCATACTCCCATAGCCCAAACACGAGGCCAGGAAGAGGATGTAGATGTGTCCCATGCTGGGTGCTGAGGCTCTCCACCTACAACAGCCCCAGAGCCTGCCCTGACCCTTTGCCAGCCAGGTGAATAGAGCTTGAAACTGCTCCATTCAAGCCCATCTCATTCTGCTGCTCCATTTTGCAGATGGAACATAGGTTTCATCTGGTCCAAACTGGAAAGAGACTTACCCAGGGGAATATGTGGCAGATCCAGGACTAGAGCATTCAGCTTCCTGCATCACAGCTCAGTCCTCTTTCCATCTCAGCAGGCTGCTTCCAGTTACCCAGCCAATTTGGGGACTCATTTTCTTTCATTCAGTTGGTCAATCAATCATTCCACAAATACTTATCACTCAATTACTTATTACTTACAAATGCTTACTTCCTGGGGAAGTGCACAAGATGGCAGAGGTGGGTACAAAGATGCAAAGATCAAGAGGCTCCCGGTCTTGGGCAGAGATGCCAGCCCCAGAATGAGAAGGTAAACGCCTTGGTTTCCAGGGCTTCTCCCAGCTCTGAAATTCTAGCTCTCCAGGGCTCAGTGCAGCATCAGCACAGCTCCCTGATCCAAGGCTGGATCGGGCCGCAAGCTCCTGGTTTGAGGGAAGGCATCCACCATCTAAGCCCTGCCACAAGGAGCCTGAGACCCGGCTACTGGTACTTTGGCCCAGGATGGCAGCATCAGTGGCTTTCCTTGACCATCATCTAAAAGGAAGAACCAACCCAAAGGAACTGCAGTTTTCAGTATGGGAAAGAAAGAAGGACTAAAGTGTCAGATTTTTGAAATGTCTCTTAGCTGCTCCTCCTCATTAGAGTCTTGGGTTTCCTTAGCTAAAAGTGGTGCCCTCCCCCAAGCCCCTCCCAGCTGCCCCCCAGCAGCACACTCTACTTCATGGTTGTCTTACCCTTGGGGCCAGACAGCAGGTCTGGAAGAACAGGTCAGTCTTGTTCATCATGCCCAGTGCTAGCAGGGGTCAGTGAATCCTGTGCCTGAGTGATTCCATTCATCCAATGGGTGTGTGCTTCTGGGTCAAGTGCTGGCTTGGTACTAGGGATATGCATGGCCTGAACAGATGTGTCCAGGGAAGAAAGGATGAAAGATGCAGAATATGCTTCTTTCCATGCCTTCCTGATCCCTCCACAGCGTTTGCCATGCGTGCTTCCATTCATGTGTTCCCACAGCGGTGGCTCAGCCTGGAGCAGGCACTCAGCCTCCAGGGCTCCAGCACATTGGCCCCTGCAGAGGCCCCAGCCAGCACCTAGCCTTCATCTGGCCTGGCCTGCCTTCTCTTCCGTGGCGTGCAGAGTTGAGTGGATGCTCAAGGCTGGGCTGCCATCAGTCTCTACATGTTCATTGCCTGTAGAAAAGGGCATGGAATTTTAAAAAGGAAATTTAAATGAAAGACTTCAACAAACAGTAAACGAAAACTGCAAGCGGTGATGCCTTGCGCTTGTGTGCTCTCTTTCTGTCTTTCACACTCCAACCCCGCCCCCCACCGCCACCATAAGCCCTAATGACTCTGCTCTGATGGTGGGAAAATGTTATAACCACGTAAATAAATATTCCTCGGCATCAGGACTGAAGTGGCCCCCACCAATCTTGGATGTCCAAGAGCCACCCCATTGCAGCCCCTCTTCTACCCCCACCAAACCCCCACCTGGCAGCTACACAGGGGGAACTGACCGCCTCCCCTCTGGAGAGGGGCCATTGTGTGAGCATCCTTTGGGCTTGTGGTACCTGTTTCAAGGTGGCAAACCAGCTGCCAAGCAGACTTCAGCCTTAGAAGCCATAGGCCACAGCAGAGAGGGGCCTGCCTGGCCAGTGCCCTGTATTTTGGGACTCCTGGAATATTGAAAATTGAAGAATTCCCAAAACAAGGTCACAAAATCGTGTTGTATTTTAAATGCATCTACTTAACAAATCAGTACTTTGGGCCTACCACAAATGCAATGGAATATAATTGTGCTCCCTAAAAAGACAATTATAGGATTTACAAAAATATTAATTGACAGTGCAGTGCTGGCCCTGTGGTCCTGTAGTGGGACACAAGTCAGAGCCCTGTGCTGAGCACTGTAGCTTTCACTGTGAGAGATCTCTCTCCCGACTATGTCTGGGACCTCATTTGGTCCAAGCCCCAGAATTGAGCCCTTTGTGGATGTATAATCCCTTTCTGGCCACCAGATATACCGTGGAGTAGCCTAGGAAACCAGGAAGGTAGATTTTAGTTTGCTGAAGGAAGAGGCGCCAGGGACTGAGAAAGGGTTAGGTTTGAGGCAGCAGCACCACGTGGGGAAGGCTGTGTGGGGTGGGGACAGCCAAGGTGGTATCTGCCCCTGCCCTGCTGGGAGTGTAGTGGGGGTCACAGTCCCACACATGTGAGATGGAGATGGCTTCCCTAGGAAAACCAGAGCCACTTTCCATCCTCCCGCTACACACATCTGCACACACGCTCATCAGCTTCTGCTTTACTCAGCTCCGTTCCCTCTTCTTTCTTTGCCGGGCAACCAACAGTGGTCTTATGTCACTGCTGAAGCCCCCACTCTGAGTAAGTTAGGACATGTTGGTTGCAAGTGATGGAAGATACAACCACACTGGCAAACTGGCTTATTCAAACAAAATAAAACACAAAACAGCCACAGGCCCAGAGAGTCAGAAATTCAGACACACATGTGGGGAGTGGGGGCTTGATCAGCAGCTCAGGGGACGTCCCTGGCTTCCCCCATCTCTCCACTCTGCCGCACTGTGTGGTTTTCACCCTCGACTCCACAGCATCACTCCTGCACCAAGGAGGAAAATGGCTCCAGCAGCTAAGTCATCACTTGTAACCTTGTGTGCATCCTAGGACATCACCAAGCACAAGGTGCATCTGAGCAACCACCAAGTCCTGCAAGTCTCTCTCTCTCTCTCAGTCTCTTTCTGTCTCTGTCGCCTCTGTGTGTGTGTGTGTGTGTGTGTGTGTGTGTGTGTGTATGTGTGTATCTGTCTGTCTGTCTGTCTCTCTCTCTCATTGCCCCTCCTTGACCCAATCACCATGACCAAGGGGGCTGAGGGGTTCCTGGGATAAGAGTGAATCCCCCAGAGGAAAACCAGAAGCTCCTGAAAAAGGAAATAGAATAGGAGGAAATGGGTGCTGGGGAGGCCACCAGCCGCCCACAGATCTCTCCTTGCCATTGGGGCTACCAGCTGTGCTGCCCCGTGCAGGAGATGACTCATGTCGTAGGGTGGAGGGCCGGCCAGGCTGAGTCCACTGCAGCAGGACCATGAGATGGCTGAGCTCGGCAGCAAGCCAGCACTGCTGCTCCCATGGCAGCCTCTCCCCTGAGGTCCCAGGTGGCAGGACACATGGGTGCACAGCCCCCAGCCCACCACTGACCAATGGTCTCGCCTTTCCACTGTGGCCGCAGCAGGGGGCCAGGGAAGAGTGGGAGGTGAAGAGGGGAGATAGGCTGGTAACAGAAGAGGCCTCCACTAGAAGTCAGGTCCCTTGGAGCCTGCCCCAGCCAGCAACAGCCTTAGAGCTAGTCAACACCTCGCTTCAAAGCTGGGGAGGCACTGCCCCAGAGGGCGGGCAGCAGGAGTCAGAGATGTGACTTTGAATCCTGGCCCTGCCCTCTGCCAGGCAGTGGACTTAGCACTAGTCACCTGACTGACTGACCCTCAGGTTCCTCATCTGAAAACTGGAGATCATAATAATACCTACTCACAGGGTTGTTGTGGCTAAAAGAAATGATGCATGTTAACAGCTAAGCAAGGTGCCTGGCACCAAGTAAGTGCTCAGGAAACAGCTACTGCCATCTCCCTCCTCTTGCCCATACCTCACTGCCTGTTAGTGAAGGGCCAGGACAGGAGCCTGGGTGTGACAATTGTTTCAGAACCAGAGCAAAGGGTTGGTGTCAAGGCCTCTTAGCTATTACAGGTCAAAGAGGTGGTGTCATCCCCTCCCAGAATCAGCTGTCCCTTCTGATTTCAGGCTGGAAGACAGTATGCCTCAGCACCTGCCCTCTTGCTGGCTTTGCAGGAGTGGAGCTGAGGAGAGCTGCTTCTGACTCAGGGCCCAGCATGGCCTGAGAGAGAAACCCAAAGAGATAGAGACAAGGAGAGAGCAGGAGAGATCACAGAGAGGGAGGAGAGTGGCAGACACTGTGTGACTGAGAAACACTGAGATGGCGCGCTGCATAGACCGTGCACCAGTGTCCAGTGTCGATGGTGCACTCAGCATAGCATCTGCGCAGAGTAAATGCTGCTGAAATGGCTACTGCTCCATTCCTTTTCATTAGGGCCGCCTATGACTCTGTGAATGTCATTCCACAGCCCCTCCAGCCAGACGTGTCTTCTTTCTCCCCCTGGATGCCCTCAGCACCTGGCTGTCTCATTCACTCACTGGTTTATTTACTTGAGAAATATGGACGTGGCCTTCTCTGTGCCAGCAGCATGCTGAGTGCTTTGTGCACCATGGTGAACTAATGCAAGCAGGTGTACTGCTGCTCAGAGCTCAGCTGGCGAGCAGGTGGACAGCCTCAGTGATTCCAGAGAGCAGAGTGTCCTGACAGTCGGCCTGTCCTAGCCTGTGCTGAGGACGGGGTATCTGACAAAGAGCTGAAGGGATTGGCACCGGTGGGGTCTCACCAGCCACCAGGATAGGAGGGTAAAAAGACTGCTCCCAAGTGTCCCCATATGGGGCACGCCAGGAAGTAAGACCAGAGCACATACTTGGGCTCCTGGCTGTAGAAGTTCCCAAGCTATATAAGGAGAGGAGAATCAGGCCTGGCCTCTAAAAGGAGGCTGCTTCCTCTTGGGGAAAAGTCAGGGAGGTGGGAAAATGCAGCCTTCACAGCCCTGTGTCTTAAGTCACTCAGCTCTGATAGCAAGAGTGGCCAGCGTGGGGGCCGGTCTTCCCTTTGCGTTACTTTCTGGCCTCTGGAGAGTCAGGAGCTCAGGTAGCCTGGAGTCCCCTGGAACTCAGCAGCAGGGGTGGAGGCGGGTAGGGTCTTTGTCATGAACCGGAAGCATACCAGGCCTTCACTTAGAACACTGACCCCTCACAGAAAGACCAGCCCCTAGGCCCTGCCTCGGCTGGCAGGGTGACCTCAGGCCCATCCCTTACCCTACAGGGTCTCCATTTTTTCATCCATTAGATCTGAGGAACGACACCGAAGATCGCCCCTCCCCCACCCTACCTCCTTTTTAGTTCTATAAATTCCCCTGGCAGAACTTAATTGCTAAGTTTAGGTGATTGCCAAGCACAAGGTTCTTCCTTTGTATCCAAAAAAGGGGGGGGGAGCGGAAAAAAGAGAAAAAAACACAGTTTCAAAGTTAGGGCACCTGTGTTCAATTGAAGACTGACTTTCTCTTAAGGAGGGAGTTGATGTTCCCACAGCCGCTGGGCTGTTAGCAGCAAAAGCAGCCTAGCAGGAGGGGCAGCCTTGGTGAGCCCCCAGTGCAGGCCACTTGGGCCACTTGCCCCACAGTATCCAGCGCACTGGGGGGCAGATCAGCCTGTCACTGAGAATGACACACTCAAGTTTGGAGCCGGGACCTCTTTTTTGCCATCCATCAATGAGAGTGGTTCAGGGTTGTCAGTCTAAGACGGGAGTATAGCCCAGGGCTGGGGACTGTAGAAATGGGCATGGTCCCCACCCGGTGGGGATGGGGACACCGGTGTGGACTGGCACACATGGGCCACGGAGCCATCGGGGTGAAGACACTAAATCAGGCAGAAAAACACTGTCAAGTGTTAACACTGCAGCATCTGTGTCAAGGGTAACCATGTCTCAGGGACGCAGGAGATGAGCGGCCCCATGCAAAGCTGTCAGTTTTAGTCTGATCAGTCCAAAAGGCTCCCGGTGTGGGGAGAGGAAGGATGGATTTCAGTAGCAGCTTGCTAGATGAGGATGAGATGGCAGAGCATACGGCGCAGGCTTGAGGAGGGGGTACGGAGGCCAGGGAGGCCTTTGGGCAGCTGGCTGACAGCACTGTTACAAACATTTTGCACACATTTTATTGATTGGCCCACTCCTCAAACCCAGAGCACATAAACAAGTGTCCCATGGTACCATTGGGGTACCTGGAACCCAGAGCAGTGGGGAATGTCCCTGCCCCAGTCCCCCAAACAATTGCACCAGCCTCTCCAGCTTCCCACTGCCTCTCTTGCCTCCCACCCCGTAATCTGTGCTCCACACAACAGCCAAAGTGAGCTTTTAAAAATGCATATCTAATCCCCTGCTTAAAAGCGCTCAGTGGCATCTTTGCTCTCAGGATAAAGCCAGCCTTATCTCCTGTAGCTCCTGCCACAGGCTCTGCTGCTGACTCTTTAAATGCCACGACCTCCTGGCCTCAGGGCTTTTTAGTGAGTTATCTCCTCCATAGGGGACTTCTCCACCACTGCTTCCCTCCCCCAGGCCTGGGTTCCACCATCACTTCCCCTCCCTTGGAAGCCTTTCCTGACTCTCCGAATAGGCTGGGCCTCTTGTCCTGACTCTCAGACCCCTGGTATGTGTGCTCACCTGAGTATTTGATCAATGTTTGTGCCCCCTGACCCAACAAGGCTGTAAGGGACAGGGACAGGGCCTATATGACTTCAGTTGGAGTCAGTCTCCAGCACCCAGCACAGTGCCTGGCCCAGAATTGGTGGGTGCTCTATTGAAGTCTGCAGCTAGTCCGTGGTAGAGCTGTTCTTGATCCCAGATGTTTGAACACCTGGCCCATTGCTTTCTGTATGGCCCCTTGTAAAATCAGAGCAGGTAGTTAAAATCAGATCCTGGAGACCCAGAATGAGTTTGGAACCTGAGTTCTAGAACCCACTTGTTCATAGGCCCTCTTGCAGGCCTCAATTTTTTCACCTGCTGAATTGAAACCACACCTGCCCACGCACTGTGCAGGAAGCAAGGAGTAGGGGTCACACACGTGAGGCATGTGAGAGGGGGTGCCTCCTGAAAGCTGGCTCTGTGCATCCACTCCTGGAACCCGGCCCCTCTCCAGGCAAGGCACAGAGGCAAGCACCTCCAAAAGAAACCCTATACCCGTTAGCATTCCCTCCCTACCCCTCTGCCTGCAGCCCCTGGCAACCACTAATCTGCTCTCTGTCTCTATGGATTTGTCTATTCTGGACATTTTATATAAATGGAATCATACACTATGTACTCTTTTGCATCTTGCTTCTTTCACTTGGCATAATGTTTTCAAGGTTTTTCCGTGTTGTAGCTGAATCACATTTCATTGTATGGATATACCAAATTTCATTCATCTATTCATCATTTGATGGACATTGAGGTTGTTTCCACCTTTTGGCTACTATGAATAATGCTGCTGTGAACATTCATGTACAAGTTTTGTACAGACTCATGTTTTCATTTCTCTTGGGTACATAACTAGGGGCAAAACTGATGGTTCATAAGGTAGTTCCATGTTTGACTTTCTGAGGAACCATCAAACTGTTTTCCAAAGTGGCTACACCGTCTTACATTCCCATTTTCCGCATATGGAGGTTCCAGTGTCTCCCCGTTCTCACTAATACATGTTATTGTTCATCGTTTTTATTATAGCCATCCTCGTGGCTATAACTCATTGTGGTTTTCATTTGCATTTCCCCAGTGATTAATGATATTGAGCATCTTTTCATGTGCTTTTGGCCATTGGTGTATTTTCTTCAGAGAAATGTCTATTCAGAATTAGCCCATCTCTAAATGGGGTTATTTGTCTTACGGTTAAGTTGTAAGAGTCCTTTATTCTGGATACGAGTCCTTTATTAGATATGCGATTTGCAAATATTTTCTCCCCTTCTGTGCATTATCTTTCGAATTTTGTGATGGTGCCCTTTGAAGTCTCACCTCATTCTGCCCTTGCCTCTGCCCCCTTGCCAGAGTTCCTCACTCCCCCAGACCTACTCATCTGTCTCTGTTCCTTTATGCTGCTGCAACAAAATACCTTAGAATGGGTAATTTAGAAACAACAGAAATGAATTGCCCACATTTCTGGAGGATGAGAAGTCCAACATCAAGATACCAGCAGATTTGCTGTCTGGTAAGGGTTTCTTCTCTGCTCCATAGATGGTGCCCTATCACTGCATCCTCAGGTGGCAGAAGGGACAAAAGGCTCCCTCAAGCCTGTTTATAAGGGCACTGATCTCATTCGAGATGGCAACACTCTTATGATCTAATTGCTTCCCAAAGGCCCCACCTCTTAATATCATTGCCTTGGGGATTAGGTTTTGAGCACGCGAATTGTGGACGGACACAGATATTCTGACCATAGCACCATTGCCTGCCCTGCCTTCGGGACTTACACTCTTTTGGAGCTGAAGGAACTGGCTCTTTCTTGCTCCACATTGCTCCACATTCCCCATCAGCGTTCCCCAGCAGGCTCTTTCCTAGCAGACAATCTGAACTGCACCCAGGCTGCAGTCATCCCTGAGTTTGGGGGCTTCTAAGGCTGTGTGCTGAGTTGTGCCTGAAGCAGGAGGAGCCTACAATTCACTGAGCATCTCCCTGTGCCCACGTGCTGGATGCCTCGCAGGCATGGATATATCCCACTGCATCCCCAGAACAATCTCAAAAGATACTGGTATTTTTCTACCCTGTGGATAAAATGGAGTCAGAATTTAAATTTGGATTTTTTTTTAAGACAAGGTCTAGCTTTATCACCCAGGTTGGAGTATAATGGCATGATCTTGGCTCACTGCAACCTCTGCCTCCCAGGCTCAAACCATCCTCCCACCTCAGTCTCCTAAGTAGCTGGGACTACAGGCACATATCACCATACCCAGCTAATTTTTGTATTTTTTGTAGAGATAGGGTTACATTATGTTGCCCAGGCTGGTCTCAAACTCGTGAGCTCAAGTGATCCACCCACCTCAGCCTCCCAAAGTGCTGGGATTACAAGCATGAGCCACTATGCCTGGCCAAATTTAGAATTTAAAATGGAGCTGTTCGCTGTCTTCCTACACAGCATGTTCATGGCTTATGAGCTGCACGTTCAGCTCTGCTGTCCTGTTTGATAATTGCCTACTCTGAAAAGTATTTAAAAATACTGGAGAAAGTATTAATACCTCCCTAGGTATAAGCCCTAGTATGGTAGCAACAGAAGTTTCTTGACACTCTGGAAAATGCCCAACTCCACCTGCTGTAACCAGCAGCCCCGAAATCTCAGGGCCTCAACATAGTGAACGTTAGTTCCTTGCTCCCACCACAGTCTAATGTGGAAGTGCTGGGGGTTGCCCTGTCCCACGTAGGCCCGAGCCAACTCCCCTGTGGTCAGTGGTTCAGCCTCAGCTGAGGGTCTTCTGCTGGACTCCTGGTATCAGGCCAGTGGACTGGGGAAGGTCACAAGGGGAGTTTTTGGGGCCGGGCCAGAACTTGGTCCCTGGTCACACCTAACTGCAGGGAAGTCTATGAAATGCCTAGCTGTGACCTTGGAAGAAGAGATGAAATACTTTTGTCAATAGGGAGCCAGTCTCTGGCATAGTGCTCAGGTGTGAATTTTAGCCAAACTGCTGCCAACTGGAAGCAGCACCTCTGCTGGGGTGACAGGTCCATTTTCTTGGCTCTGTTGGCTGTTTTCTGCTCCTCACTTGGGCCCAGCTGAGCAGTTCAACAGCTTTGCTTCTCTGTGACATGACAGAGCCCACCTGAAAATTCATTTCTTGGTGGCTATGGTGGTGGCTTCTCACCCTGTCTCCTGTCCCAGCTCTAAAAATGGATTGCCCTTCTGATATGAACATGCATGACATCTCTGGAACATGAGTCCCATGTTCTGTGTGCAGACAGTGTGCCAGCAGCTTCTCCTGTGTGATGTCAGTGTTTCCCT
The DNA here is from genome assembly GCF_000001405.40 of Homo sapiens. NCBI lineage: Eukaryota > Metazoa > Chordata > Mammalia > Primates > Hominidae > Homo > Homo sapiens. The sequence continues at coordinate 56,293,565 of NC_000016.10, forward strand.
GGCATGGCACACATACTTTGGTGGAATATGAGATTAAATGGTACGTGGATAAACCTTTTATTCCTACTTTTGTAGTTGCATATCGGTTTTAATATGTACTTGAAAAAAGATCACATAACATATCAAACCCATAATTTCATATCTATGACTGAAGATGAGGCTAATTTCAGAGCTGTCCTGATATCAGGTTGGGGAAAGCGATGAATGAATGACTGGGTTTGGGAACGTTGCCTGGGGTGAAAAGGCTCAGATGCCCAGCCGCCTCACCGGACTTGCTAGTGTGTGACCTCTCTGCACCTTTCCTCCTCTGTAGCATGTTCCCACATGAACATAGGGTATAGGAAGGTTGGTGTGTCAAGTGATTAACAGCAGTACCTGGCACATATTTCATGCTTAGTAGGTGATAGCTCCTAATGTTCTTAGGAAACACCAAGTCATATCACTTAACTGTGCCAACAGTGTTGAGACAGGGTTATTACTATACTTTATAGATGAGCTGAGAAAGGTTAAGTCGCTTGCCCAACTGGCAGCAGAGCCATGTGCTGACCCCCAGTGTGCCTGACTCCTACCTAGGCCAGGCTCTGCGAGGGGAGTTTACTTGCAATCCTGGCTCTGGCACTAACTTAGCAGGACACTGCAGGCAGGCCCCGTCGCTCTCTGGGCTTCAAGCTTCCCATAGGCGGGATGGGGGACCAGCATAACTCTTTGTGCAGGATAAGTCTCACAGAATGTGGGGGCTGCTCTCTTTGCTCCAACCACAGCAGAAGGCTTTGCTTTAAAAAAAAAAAAAAAAAAAAGTGGACTGGGTGTGAGCTAGGTGTCTGCATGCAATGCCCCTCCCAGATCCTCTGCTTGTCTCTGGATTCTTTCTGCTGCCTCTCTTGTCACACTTCTTTATGACCAAGCTTCCAACCTACCCCAAGTGTAAACATCATTTGTTTGTCCGTCATCTGGTGATGGACATTTCACTTGTTTCCATTCTGGGACTCTTATGAATAATGCTGCCAGAACATTGATGTACAAGTTTTTGTGGGGACATATGTTTTCATTTCTTGTGGTAACTACCCAGGAATAGAATTGCTGGGTCACGTTGGGAGGGTATGTTAACTGCATAAGAAACTTCCAAACTACTTCCCCAAGTGGTAGTACTGTTGAAAATTCCACCAGCAACATATAAGGATTCCTGTTGTCCTGCACACTCACTGACATTTGGATTGCCAGCCCTTTTCATTAGCTGCTCAAGTTTGTGCACAGTGGTATTTCACTGTGGTTTTAATCTGCCTTTCCATGGTGACTAATAATATTTGGCACCTTTTAACATACTTTTGGGCCATGCGTATATCTTCTCTTGTAAAGTAACTGTTCAGGTCTTTTATTCTTCCCTTTTATTGGGTTGTTTGTCTTCTTATTAATGAGTTTTAAGATTTTTTTAATATCCCTGATACAAGTTCCTTGTCAGTTATATGTACTATTTCATATTTTCTCCCAGTCTTTGGCTTGCCTTTACAATTAGCATTTTTAAATGGTAAATGGTTTGTTTAATGAATGTTGATTTGTCCACCAGCTTCCACGTCTAGTCCATACCTCCCTTTCCAGCATTGGGAGCCCTTTGCTAGTTATTTCTATTTGGCTGTGAGAGGTTTTCGTCTGCAGATAAAGAAGTGATCATGGTATCAGAGGTTGAACTTGTGGACTCTGGGGTCAGACAGTCCTGGGTCCAAGTCCCAGCTCCGTGGCTCGCAGATGGGCAGGTCCTTCTCGTCTGTTCTCTGAGCCTTGCTTTTCTGGTGTGTAATATGAGGATAATAAGTCACCTACCTCCTTGTGCTGCTGGGAAGATTAAATGAGATGATGATCTCAGGGGCCTAGCACCTATCAAGGGCACACAAAGGCTGGGCTGTACCTGTTACCACTCCTGTTGCTAAGGCACGCTAGCACCCCAGGGCCAGCCCATGTGAAACCACTCTGCACAAAGCAGGCTTCTTCTCCCTTCCACCTTTAAATCGAAAGCACCACCTTTCTCCCAGTTATCCAAGCAGAGACCCTGGACTCCTCCTTCCCCTCCATGTCTCGCTTCCTGTTCCAGAATGGCTCTTGAATCAGCCCTTCCTCTCGCTGCCCAGGCCACTGCCCCAGTGAGGCAGCCTTCCCTCTTCCCAGTGTTCGTACGGTGCTCCTCACCAAGGTGGTCTCCCTGCCTCTTCCTCCCAATATTCCACCCTGTTTGCCGCTGACACTGTTGTCAAAGGCTTCCTTTCTGAATCAGAAACCTGGGGCTCCTGGGTAGTTGTTTGGGGGAGACCACCTTGCACAGGCAAGGCTCGGCTGTCACTGGCGTCTTCCTTGGTTATAAATAACAGGCTCTATTCTTAGCCAAACAGCAGTTAATTCTCTTCCCGTACCTTCCAGAGCCTCTATTAGGGACCTTGGCCGTCCTTACTGGAGACAGGCCATTCCTTGGCCTTTGGCAGGACCCATTCCTTTGATACGTGATCAGAAAATTCAATTATAAAGCCAATTACTGATTTCCTGAGCTTTACAAGGGAGACTGGAAAGTTTGATTAAGTTTGAATTTGTGTTTGGCTGATTGCCAGCCAAAACCGAATGGGCTTGTGGGAGAGTTCTGTTGTTGCTGATTCTGTTCCTGTTTTGTGGCAGCTCTCTTGGGGTGGGGGCAGGCACACTGGTGTTGTGTTGTGGGTTTTTTTTAGACCCCCTTACTTGCTGAATGGCTATTCCTCTGTTGTGATGCATGAGATGTAAATCCCCCAAAGACTGGTTGCCAGAGCGACGGGCTGGAATTGAGCTCAGCTAAACAAAGTCCTTCAGCTTTGAAGGGAGAAGCGCTTGTTTCCCATGTGGAGTTGAGTTATAGTGGCCCTCAACAAGGCTGCATTCAAGGATGCCTGCATGAACAGGCATGCAGAGGGGGTCGCTGAGCCTGCTGGAGGATCTTAAGCGGCGTGTCTGGGCTCTAACTGCCTCTAGGACCTACCCAGGGGGACACACAGATGCTGAGCCTGAGGATCAAGGCTATTCAGGGTGCCTCTGCCCAGCTGGTCACCCTCACCCTAGAACCTGCAGGACTGGCCTTCAAACAGTGACAGCCTGCTGGGCTCCAGCTAGAGCCCAGCACAGGTGGGGATTGAAAAGCAACCCTTTGTCTCTAGCCAAAGTACTTGCTTTTTTAGATACTTCTGGGAAACCAAACAGAGCCCGTGATGGGACCAGGTTGGAGTTCCAGGTCAGAATCTGAGTTGTTTCTGGAGACCCAAGTTCCTTCCCTAGCAATAAAATGAGGGAATCCCAGTTCTCTGGAAGCTGTAGCCATCCCACAACTCTTCCTACAAGGTATACATTATTCAGGAGAGATGGTGGGGCCCCACTTCAAAGCGTCTCCCTCATGCCTAAAATCTCCCAGTTAGAGCCCTTTGGGTGTTAAAGGTTTTTAGGTCTCTAAGAATCCTGGTTAAAGTACTAATACTCCTGGAAGGAGAAGCGTCTACCAGTAGGGATTAGCCATCAGCTAACTGAGAAAACCGCCCTTTGGGAGTAGGACACGGGATTCCCTGTACCCAGGGTGGGGTCAGATAAACTCCACCTGCCTCCCAGCTTGCTTGAGGCAAGATCCAAATGTGACCTCTTGCACCAGAAACATTAATATCTCTAACATTCGTATCTGGTGTGATGTACCAGAGCTCACAGAACACTCACGCCCTGCCCTGTACCCTCATCCATACAGCAAGCTCATGAGCCGGCACCACCTTGACCCCCGGTTGCAGACAAGGAAGCCAAGGCTCAGGGAGGCCAACCACCTTGCCCAGCATCACACAGCTGGGAGTACAGATTTTGGACTCAGACCTGGGATTTCTAAATCCAAACCCAAACCTGTTTTCTGTGCGCACAGCCACCCACCCGGTGGATGACATGGACACTGCGCACCTGTTTTGTCTAACTGGTGTGTGTGTGTGTGTGTGTGTGTGTGTGTGTGTGTGTGTGTGTGTGTGTATGCATGTGTTTAAAAGGTGGGAATTTTTTGTTAAGTTTGAATTTCAGTTCTTTTCTTTTCTTTTTTAAATGAAAGTGTTATAGCATCCTGGTGGAGTTGTAATTAGGAAATTCTGGGTTAGTCAGCTAGGCAGAATTGAAAAATAACCCGGCAGTGCTGGTTGGAGTACTTTTTCCCCTCCTTAGAAATTCAGGTTTTGTCAAACTAGGGAGGAGGGAGTTGTGAAGATGGAAAAATGTGTGCAGCTGGGCTGGGTCAGGGAGTGTGTATTCTCTTCTTTATGTAGAACTAGACGATTAAAAAAATAGTTATCGAGTGGGAGTGCTGGCTCACGCCCATAATCCCAGCACTCTGGGAGGCAAAGGTGGGCGGATCACTTGAGCCCAGGAGTTTGAGACCAGCCTGGGAAACACAGCAAGACCCTGTCTCTACAAAATAAAAATAAAAAATTAGCCAGCCATGGTGGTGCGTGCCTGTGGTCCCAGCTACTGGGGAGGCCGAGGTGGGAGGATCACTTGAGCCCAGGAGGTCGAGGCTACGGTAAGCCATGTTCACGCCACTGCACTCCAGCCTGGGCAACAGGGCGAGACCCTGTCTCAAAAAATAAAATAAAATAGTTATCTTTGTGTAGGATGATCTTCCGTATGTGCAGACATGAGGCAGCCTGTGAAAGATGGTAAGGAAACAGGTGAAGAGGAACCCTGGCTGGGTCCCAGGCTTTGGCAGGAAGAGGATGCGAGCCCCAGATGTGGGTTAAGGGCTCTCAAACCAGGCGCATGCAGAGAGACTCCATTGTCACCTCCCTTCCAGCTTGCCCTTATTGATCAGCGACAGTGATGATGACAAGGGCAGTAACAACTTCCCCCACACGTGGGGCATATATGCCAGGCTCTGAGACACTCCGTCATTTCTGTGTTACCCTGACAGTCTTCATTTTAATAGTGATATGCTTATTTTAATAAGAATCCAAAACATAGCCCATCTAGCTCATGACTGCCCAGATATTAGAATGGGGCCAAAGTATGGGTTTAACTTTTTTTAAAAAATGAGTTAATTAGGCTGGGCACGATGGCTCACACCTGTAATCCCAGCACTTTAGGAGGCCGAAGCGGGCAGATCACGAGATCAGGAGATCAAGACCATCCTGGCTAACACGGTGAAACCCCATGTCTACTAAAAAATACAAAAAAAATTAACTGGGCATGGTGGCGGGCACCTGTAGTCCCAGCTACTTAGGAGGCTGAGGCAGGAGAATGGTGTGAACCCGGTAGGCGGAGCTTGCAGTGAGCTGAGATCATGCCACTGCACTCCAGCCTGGGCGAGAGAGTGAGACTCTGTCTCAAAAAAAAAAAAAAAAGGGTTAATTAAATAAAACATATGAATATAAGGACGGGGTGTCATGTGGATTGGGCAGAAATTGTGAAAACAAGACAGAAAGATCTGGAGTTTGGGAAGGCTTGCCTCATCCATATGAGCAGGTAAAATGATTAACCTCATTTTACAGATCAGGAAACCGAGGCTCAGAAAGGTTGAGTAACTTGCCTACAGTCACACAGCTGACAGATGGCAGAGCCAGCAACAAGACCCAGGCTTGCCTAACTCCAAAGGCAAGGCTTGGGGCTGCCATCCAGGTGAACATTCCTACCTTCACTCTCCAGATGAAGCCCTCAGCGCTGGGTTAGCTAGCCTTCCTGGGGCTGTCCAACCCTGGAGAGAGAAGGCCTTTCTCACTGCTTTCTGAAGCATGAACAGAGGCGGATCCCACTCTAGGGAGGTAGGGCCCTGGGGCCTGCTTCCTCCGATCTGCTGCGTCTAACTCTCTCAAATAAAAGCCTTTTCAGAAAGGGCCTGGCATGAGGCTGCATGTGACTGGCAGGGCTGTGACTGCCAAGGCTTCACTGTGCTTCCTCACCCTTGCCCCAGCCCCACCCAGCCCGAGGCAGCCCCCACCTTCCTTTCTTCCCTGATCTCTCTTAGCTCTTCCTTTCTTTCTTTTTTGTCTCTGAATCATTTTTTCCAATAAGCTGTTGATTGTCTGTTGAATAATTCTCTGAATGATTTCTAAAAGCCTCCTGATCACTGAAACCTCAGAGTTGGAAACACATTTATATTTATGTGGAACTGAGCTTTTAGAACATTATTAAATTTGCATGGGGAACTAGCAGAGTAGCCACTTCCACACAATCCAGATGATGAGGAAGCATCATCTTCAGGAGGATGGAAATAGTTCCACAAGCCACTCTGCCTGGCTTATTACTCTGCTGGGAGAAATCAGCACAGTCTACCTGGGGGTCCAGAGGCAGCATTGACCCAGACAATCTGAGCAAATGCTGTGGCTTAGAAACCACTCAGATGCCTGTGTTTTATAATTGGCCAGCTTCCTAACCTGGGATTCTGGAGCTGCCACCTCAGAAATGGAAGGCAGATTGGGGTTCGTGTGTGTGTGTGTGTGTGTGTGTGTGTGCGCGCGCGCGCGCGCACGCACATGTGCTTGTGAGTGTGTCTGTGTCCACGTGTAGCTGGATGTGTAGTTCCTGTGGGTGGTTTAGTGTGTGCATGACTACATGCCTTCTCTCTCTAAGGAGAGAGGCTGTAGCTTTTGTCCCATGTCAAAAGGGCCACTTGCACTAATGACCTACTATGTACCAGCTGTGTAAGCTGCTAGCTGAGGCCTCTGAGCAGGATAATTCTCATAGAATTTAGAGTTGAGAAAAGAGAAACAAACAGGAAAGGCTGTAGATAGTGGTCAGGCGGTACAGAGAATTTAAATAAATGAGTGGCTTCTCTCAGTCAAAGTGGTACCAGCTGGCCCCTGGCTGCAGCTCACCACGGCCAACTGTGTGACATAGTAACAGTTAACCTCCACTGACTGGTCACCGTGCTCCAGGCACTGTCTTAAGTGGCTTGTATTCATTCCTTTAATCCTCATAACACCCTGAGAAGTTGGGACTATTTAAACAGATTAGAATGCTAAGGTTTTGTGAGGTCACACAGAGAGCGAGTGACAGAGTCCAGACTGAATCTGGGGTTACTCACCTCCAAATGCTTCCCTGGGTAAAATACTGGCCTCTCCAGACTTTATTTTTCTCATCTTTAAAATGGGTTGATTCTTATTTGGCCTATCCCTGACCAAAAAAAATAATATTTTTTAAAATATAAACTTTTACACAAATCGATCTGAAAATCAGCATCCTGCTCCCACTTGGCTCTGGTGCCCTTGATGGAGCTGAAGTCTGTCTGGGTGGTTCCTGAGTTTTCTCAGATTCCTTCAGGGCTGCCAGTTGAACCACCAATGTGTGGAGTTTTACTTAAGCCTCATTTTATAAATCAGACCATTTGACTTGTCTCCCACTAACTTGTCAAAGTTCCAGCGAGCAAGTTTTAGTTCCAGAAGCCAGATGCTTGCCACTGCCAGCTCCCTGAGGTGGGCGTTCTCACCAGCCCCATTCCCTGCTGAGCAGCCACGGGCCCATCTCCCAGCCCAGGGCAAGGCCACATTTCCTCAGACCTCTGAGAGCTCTGAAGTCAGCCTGTGTGGCTGGGGTGGATACAGGCCAGCTGAAGTGGACAGAGGATACCGGTGAACAATAAAAATAACAGATAGCTATGGCAGTCAGGTAAACAGAGTTTGGGCTTACGCTAACAATACGATTGATGGGGTGGGTTTGACCTTTTTTTGTTTCAAGCCATACCAAGAATACCAGTGGACCGTGTCACATACCTCAGTCAAAACAAAAGTGACTTGGATTTGCTTTTGAGGGTCAAAGAAAGGCCTTACAGAAGGGATGTGGGGGAGCCGGAAGCACAGACTTCGGGGGTCAGAAAGATCTAGACTCAAACCCCAGCTCTTGCTTCCAGCTCTGAGCCCTGGGCCCCCTTTTTCCTCTGACTTGCTGTCAGTGATTTCTTCAGGGCATGAAGAGGCTGCAAGAAGGGCTTTCTCTGTTTGCCCTCTAAGCGCTTACCACAGAAGCTTGGCATTTTTCCATTATTTTTATGTATGTGCATGTGTGTGGAGGGAGATTGGGTTTTTTTAATTTTTCAGTTGCATTTTTTTTGTTTTGTTTTGGTGAGTTCTTCTTTACCAAAACCCTGACGTGTGCTTGTTTTATTGTGCTTCTCTTCCCAGTGGAACACAGCTAAACCATTCTGCCCGGCGGAGTGGCTCAGTCAGAGTGCCAGATGTGGGTGATTCATAAGCGTAGTGGCCATCATGTTGAATTGTTACTATTGTCACTGAGTGTGCTGAGCACCTGACTGCACTAACTTGTTTAGAACTCAGCCGTCTGTGAGGTGCACACTGTCACCACCCCCAATTTACAGACGAAGATACTGAGACCCTAATAGGCCTGCTCCCAAATGACTGCTCACAGCGTTACTCCCTTGATGTGGAGGTGTGGGCAGAAAGTCCTGGGGCTCTGAACGCCCCCGCCCAGGGGTCCTGCCTGTGGGTCATCCAGCAGCAGCACCTCTGTCCAGTCCCACACTGATGTGAACAGTCTTCTCTGATCTACAGCTCACAATCTACTTCAGCCCCACTGTCACCCTCTCCCCACTTGTGTGCCGTGTTCAGTCCTCAGGGACCCCAGAACCAGCCCAAGCAGACTAAGGTTCCCTGGGTTCTAGAATCTTGATAGCTCAAACCACTGGCCTCTCCCTGAAGGGTTTCGACACACCCCCCCACCACCCACCTCCTCTCTAGCCTCTGCTTCCCAGCCAGCCCTACCTCCTTCCCAGGATCCACCAGCTAAGCCACCAGTGACCCTGGAACAGTGAACTAGCCCCGCCTCTCTGTGCCTCAGTTTCCCAACTTGTATGATGAGGGAGCATAGACAGAAGCAGTTCTATGGGCCCCTCCAGCTCAGACATTCTCCAAACCCCCATCATCTCTCATTTGACAACTGCAGTGGCCTCCTTGGAGTGCTCCCTGGAGCCACTCTTCCAGGCCTCCCAGCCCCATCTGGCTATACACAGCAGCCAGCATGAGCTTTTGAAACAATATTATTTCATTCCCACCTTTAAAACCCTCCGTGACTTCCTACCACACATAGAATAAAAGCCAAACTCCTTCCCATGGCCAACAGTACCCTACATGACTGGGGGTCACGCCCGGGCTCCCTCTTCTCAGAAGGTGCTTTGAACACAGCCAGCCCGCCAGCCCCTGGCTGCTAGGAGCTGCTGCCGTGTTGCCAATACCATCACTGTGTGTATTGATTTCTCACCCAACTGGTGTCCTTAACTTCATATTTATGGCTTGCCCTGACATTTCCCTTCTCTTACATGTTCCAAATTATTAAAAACAGCTGCTTTATAATTAATTGAGCAAATCACAGAAAAACACTTTTTTTCTGTCTATAAATAATTCCACCTTAACTTTTCTGGGAGGATAAAATGCTGTGACAAGGAACCAGCACACACCTGGTATCTACTATCTCCTCCCCAGCCTGGACTTGAATTCATCTGAACCATCTCTGGTTCTCTCCCCGGCCTGAAACGGGACCTCCACGCGCAGCCGAAGTGGGGTCGGTGGAGAAGGGTCGCAGGATTCCTGAGCAGCTTTTGACTGCTCGTTCTGCCTGCCTGTGGACTGCTTCCCATGATTTCACCACTGCCTTTTGTATGCTGAGCTCTGTGCCCTGTCCCATGCTGGGGTGGGGTGTGCCAGGGGAAGACATCACTCCTGCCCCAGAGGAATCACAGTCTTGTTTTCCAGATGGACACTTGGAGACCCAAGCAACCAAGTGGTGTGATGCTGAGCTCAGGGTGGGGTCAGAGGAGAGCCCCATGTGGAGGCTGGCGGGCAGCCTTCCCATAGCAAGACCCCCACCAGCGAGGCTTGCCACACAAAACGGGTGACCAGCTGCCCCAAGAGTCAGCTCTCTGTGTTCCCTGCAAGGGGCTCTGCTGAGGCCAGCATTTTCTGTGTGGACAGACCCTGACATGGGAGAGGCTGGGAAGCACCAGAGCATGAGCTGGCATCTTGGGTGGGCAGTGACTTCACCCTCTGGAGCAGTAGAGCCCCTCGTGACTGTCAGACAGTTTATGGACTTACACCCTTGACAAAGCATCACAAAGCATGATGGCTGACAGCGACCTCAGAGATGATCACATCTAAAGGGTGACACGGATTTGTCTTGTGTGCTTGCTATCATTGACCCCCAGCTCTTGTCCCCGGCAGTCACTGTATTTCATTCATGGCACTGAATCTGCCCTCAGAGTTCTCTCAGGATAGCCATTGCCCCAGGCAGCCACTACCGGTTGGTTGCAGTCAGCCCTCAAGTTGAAGCCAGTTTCCCACCTCTGATCTACCCAATGCGACACCCTCATTTTATAGACGCTGGCAAGGGAAAGGGCACTGAAGAGCCACAGCAGAACACCTATCTTGCACCCCGAGCTTTCTAACCCCCTACTTCATTGCTTTTTAGATCTTTCCCTACCAAGCCCTACCAAGTTCATTCACTTGGCAAATGTTTACTGAGCACCTACTGTTTGCCCAGTTTGTTGGTACATCCTGGATACAAGAGGGCGCCTGGTATAGGAGCCCAGCATCCAGTGGAGAGACTTGTAAACACAGAACACAGAGGCTGGTGGGAGCCACACTCACTGCCACCCTCACCGGGGAGAGCAGAGACCCTGCTGCCCCAGACTTCAGGGAGCCCCCTGCGTCTGCTTTTCTTGATCCTCAGGGCTTTGCCCATGGTACTGAGGGCCTGTGTTCTCTTTAATCCTTCCTGCCATCCCAGGCAGGCAGATTGCAGGTCCCTCTTCAAGCTGGTGCTCTTGAAATATTGTTCATCATTTATTCAGCAGGTCCAGGAAGATGCCATTAATGAAACTTGTTTCTTTATTGTTCAAAATACGGGATATATTAGATGTGCTGGACTTAACATAACACTTTAACATTGTTGGGAGCTGGCTTTCATGTCCATTGTTCCTAACAAGAGAAGACTGGTGCCTCACAGCCCCTGAAAGGACAAGAGCCCATAATTACACAATTAGGCTCAAACATCAGTTTACAACTTTTTTTTTAATGTGGGCAAACTTCACTTTTCTGTCTAGTTCATGTTTTTTCTTGTTTTCATTCACAACATTCCAAACCAGGTAACTTCTTAGGAGGAATATTAGTGGGTTTGAAATTTACATAATAAACAAATGCCTCCACCCCAGAAGACAGCCCTGTATCATCCATGACTCAGTTTCAGAGTTTCACCGACCAACCACTTCGGCTGGCTGAGAGCTGGTGGCCTGGCCCATGCCTACACGTGCAGTCTGCACAGGTGGGGTTGTGTTGATACTCAGCTGAATAGGTGGGTGACAAGGAAGGACACTGTCCACCTCCACTGGAGTGCATCAGCACTCGTTTCTCCAGTTGCTCTGGAAGCATCCAGGACAGGTAGGGTTAGCCGGCCCCTTATTCTGCTCCCCCTGTGACATTGCAGCTACCCTCATGGCTGGTATGCCCCACAGCCTGGCTCTCTTGGATCTCCTGTTGAGGTAAGCAGAGACCTTGAGAACAGGCTCTGGGCCATTTCTCCTCTGCTTCCTGACCCCACTTTCAGCTCACCCCGCCAGACCTTGCAAGGATGAGGAGATGGTACCTAGTGCCCATCTCAACGTATAGCCTGGAGTCCATTTATTCCATGAGCAGCATCTTGTAACTGAACACAATAGTTAATGAAGCAGATGTAGGCCCTGCCCTCACAGAGCTTACAATTCCCCTAGGAAGAGAAACAGTCATCAAGGAAACAAACCTGTCTAATTACACCTTGCAATAAGTGCTGTTAAAGAAAAGAAAATCATGTTAGGATGAGAAAAACTTTTGCTTTAGATTGGGAGATGGGGGTGATCAGGGAAAGCCTTATCTTGGGGGTTAAAGTGAGACTGGAAAAATAAGAAGGAGACAATCTGGCAAAGACTCGAGTCCAGGAGGAGCCAGTGCAGAGGCCCCTAGTGGAAATGAGGCTGGTGTGTGTGCAAAGCCTAGAAAGGGATGGGCGGAGGGCAGTGGGTGAGGCTCAGGGGAGGAACGACCTTGACCCCACATGGCCTTGTAGATAGAGTTTGGAATGATGGAGAGAGAACCCCAACTCCCAGCCCCAGGGAGAGCTCCACCTCAGGGGCTGTATTTGTTTCCCAGGGCCGTCATAACAAAGCATAATCACAGTTCTGAAGGCTGGGAGTCTGAGATCAGGGTGCTGGCAGGGTTGGTTTCTTCTGAGGCCTCTGCTCCTTGGCTTGTAGATGGCTGTTTTCTCCCCATCTTCACATGGCCTTCCCTCCGTGTGAGTCTGTGTCTTAATCTCTATAAGGACGCCAGTCCTATTGGATTAGAACCCATCTAATCATTTTAACAGAATTGCCTTTTTAAAGACCCTGTCTCTAAATACAGTCACATTCTGAGGTCCTGGGGGTTAGAACTTCAACCTGTGAGTTTTGGGGGAACACAGTTCAGCTCCTAACAGGGAGCTTCCCTGCCGTCCTCTGAGATGAAGCTCGTGGATCAGCATATTTTGAATGCTGCAGCAGGCTGAGGAGCCCAGTTCCACTGCTTGCTCCCTGCTCCCTCTTTGTTGAAAGGAATGATTCACAGGTGTTGATGGGTGTCAAAGATAAAAGGGCACCAAGCAGCCTTTCTTACCGAAGGTCAGTCAGAAGCCTTCCTAGCGTGAGTTAGTGGTGTTAATGCAGGGTCCCAGAACAACCTGGAATCTTCAGCGGCCCACACTCTGGGAAATCCCCTTCATCGTTGTGGCGGAATCTGCAGAGTTTAGGCAGGGAAGTGAGTTGACTGGCCAGGGCGCAGGAGAGCTGGCCAAGCTGCCCCCGCTCCTTCAGGGTTTCCTCCCAACCCCTAGCAGAACCCTTTGCTGGAGAGAGGCCCAGAAAGGGTAGTGCTGAATTCAGTGAGGTGGACTTATGACCAGCTGTCCCCAAGACCCCTGAGATCAGTGTTTCTTCAGCCTCCAGGGCTAACCTGCTGAGGGCTGAGGTGCCTGCAGACACACAGACCAGCCTCCAGTCACTGCCTCCACCTTATGTTAAAGATAAAAATAACTACAAGGCGGGAAATGTCCTAGAGAAACTACCTTGAAATTCAGAAAACATGAAGCCAGGCTTCATCTAATTAAGATGACATTTTAAAAGGGGGGACGGGGGGAGGCTTGGGTGGCATTTTAAATTGCAAGCTGATTGTGCAGCCTAATTTTGGTTCTGAGCAAAGATTCCAGTTGGACCAGAAAACAGGACTTCAAAGGCACTGCCTACTGCTGGCCAGGCAAAGGGAGTGAAAAGGGCAGCGTGGGGCCTCGGGCACAATGTGGCCGGGAACTCTGGGCAAAGGCTGGGGGCCGCGGGGGGCTGCAGCCCTTGGGAGCCTGCTGTGCCTCTGAGGAGATCAGTGGAGCCGCTCCTGGGAGGAGAGCTAATTGAGGTAGCGACTTCTCCTTGGAGAGTGAGCTTTGGTCCACCCCAGCCCATCTTGGGGGCAGTCACTGGACAGAACTCTGGCCTGGTGGTCCCAGGCATGCCCCCACCCAAGTCTCCCCCAGGAGCTACAGAAACAGGCCTGGTTCTTATGCAGAGCGCCCAGTGCCCTCCCCAGGAGGGGGCTGCTCCCTTCCGGGGACTTCTCCTGCCAGCCTCTAAGATTCACCAGGCGAAGAAGGCCAGCTCCCTCCTTCCCAGAATCCCGGGAGGGGCAGCCCCAGTCCCTTTCAGATTGGAGGGCAGCGGCTGGGCCTCCGCGTTGGTAGGGAGATATGGCAGCCAGCTAGCCTGGGAGGTGGAGCATCTGCCCCCAGAGGCTCCTGCATGTCTCTCCTTTTTGTGCACCATAGCTTATCTCACAAAGCCAGCTTCACTCAGCAGATTTTGTAGTTATTGTTATTATTACTCATTCTACTGACATAGATCTGGGCACATGCACACACCCCACGATTTAAGTGCTCCACAGTCAGAAAGCCCATTCCCCAGACTCTGGGTTCTCTCACAGGAGCCCTGGGAGGAGAGCATGGCATGAAGAACACCATTTACGGTTGAGGAAACTGAGTCACAAGGTGTCACATGACTAACCCAGATCCTCTGAGGCCACACCCTGACACTTCCCACAAGTGTTGTGACCTTGGTGGAGTCACTGCTTCCCACTTGACATTTCCTGGTGGAGACACCATGGTGTCTGTCTTCCATTCCCTCTGGCCACTGTCTCACTCTCTCTCAGCAGAGGTCTTTCCCCAGCTCCTCCATAGGAAGGATGGTGAGATGAGCATGAGCTAACAGATGGGAAGAGTCGAAGGAGCTGGTGGGCAAGGGACCTTGGTTCTTCCATGGCTGCCAGTGGGGAGCACGGAGGGTTCCACTGTGGCGCCATTGAAAGACTCAGCGGTGGATGAGAGGGAGATTAGGAGGCCAGTCTGGAGTCGCTGCCCTCATCCATGCAGGGAGGCAGGGGTGTCCTTGGAAGGTAAGAAGAAGGGACAGATTCACACCTTCCTGAGGGTAAATGACCTTGGGAATCAGCCAGCTGCAGGAAAGGAGGAAGAGTGGAGCCAACTTTGGGGTCCCCAGCCTGTGTCATGGGAAGCACAGAAATGCCATTGGAAAGAGGCTGTGTGTCCCCAAAGAGTGGTGTGCGCTTTCCTGGGGCACACAAATGACCTGGCAGTTTTTACAGACCAACAGCTTTGGTTTTAGTAGTTTTATTATTTTAGTGTATATTAGAAAAATTAGCACACAAACCTCTGGTTCTGTGGATATTGTGGCCTAGGGTAAGCTGGCTTTTTTAAATGAGTCCAATTTAATAACATTTTCAAAAATATTGAGTCAGCAGTGACGGTGACTTGCTGATAGGGCAGAAAGCTGGAGAATGAGGCAGGAAGGAATGCGATGCTGGAGCCTTGGATGGGAAACCAGGAGGGGAGTCTAACTGGGGACACATTGAGTTGAGTCTGAAAGGCCAGTGACCCAGAGGTTAGGTAGGGGTAATCCAGTTGTTCCCTGCACAGAGGAAAATCAGGCAGGATCTGGCTCAGGGAGAAGGTGGCTCGGGAAAGCAAGAAGGGGTTTGAGGACTGAGTCCTTGGGAACATTGGCACCTAAATGTTGGGTGGAGGAACAGGACCACAGTTGGAGACAGAGGAGGGATCACAGTGGACTGAGGTGAACCGGCACCCACGGGGCTGGGCGCCCAGAGAAGAGGAGAAGTGGGCGTGATGGAGAGGGCACTGCGAGCCCTCATGGAGTGGAGAGGGAGGCAGCAAGACAGAAGGAGGAGGAAGGGGAGGACAGTGGCTTCACGGGGAGGCCAGCTCAGAGGACGGGTTAGGATGGAGGGGCCAGAGACCCCCACCCCCACCTTTTCATCAGGTCAAGTCTAACTTGGGGTGAAGGGTACAGACTTTCCTTTTGGGGTTTCCCTGAAGTTCATGTAGCTGGATGGGGCTTTAGAGGCTTGGGAGGAAGCAGCCCTGGACTTGGTTTCTATGGCTCCCCGCAGGCCCTCTCCCAGTCACAGGAGACAGCCCCCTTCCCACCTGCTTCACTCAAGCTCAAGTGCTCTCCTAGCTGCTGTGGGGACAGACAGGCAGGGTGGGCTCCCTCTTGCTCCTTCCCAGCTCCCTTCTACGAGGACAGTGGCCACTAGGAGACCAGAAGTTACCATGACAACAAAGCTCCTTCACAGAACAGAGCCCCTGGGCTCCCTGCAACTGTGTCCGGGATATTTGAGGTGATCTTCTCTCAAAAAGGATGAGGCCCCAAGTTGGCTTTTAGAGATGGGGAGAGATGATAGGAGGAGGTAGGGACAGATTCATGTTGCCAGCTCTCCCACCCAGCCAAGGAACGTGTGGGTGCCCCTTCCCTTCCCATAGGATGCCACACACTCCTTGGGGAGCCCACCAGTGGGCTCATTCCACCTTGAAACCAAGACCAAGGAACCAAGGGTGGGGACAAGGACAGAGAAGGGAGCAGGAGGTCTGCGGGCTTGGAAGCCTGGACTCAGTGGCATGACCAGATCACTGCCGCCTGCCTGCAAGCACTGTACATTCCCAGCCAATCAGGGTTGTTCTCAGGCCTCACAGGACCAGAAGCCAAGGCCCTTCTGCTAGGAGAAGAGGGAGGTGAAGTGACCTGTTTCCAGTCCCACCACCCAGGGGCCAGACCCGGACCCACTGCTCCTGTGCGTGCCGCTCTGCTCCCTCATAGCTGAGGAATGTGCAGCAGTGCCTGCTGTGCTGGGTGCTGGGGCAGTCCTCCCCAGAGTGGAGAAAGGACATCAGTTTTAGCTGGCATGATGGATTAACATGTTGATTTTTATCTCAATATTTATGAATTCATTTTCATGGATATTAGAAAAAGATAAAAGCTAGCATATTAAATACATCCTTTCCCAGACATTGTTGGTACTAAATTTCCTTTTGCTTGAAATAAATTTAAGTAGAAAAAGTCTGAAGGAAAATATTAGGTCAGATGCAGTGGCTTATACCTATAATCCAAGTGCTTTGGGAGGCCAAGGCAGGAGGATCACTTGAGGCCAAGAAGACCAGCGTGGGCAACATAGTGAGACCCCATTTCTAAAAAACAAAAAAAAGAAAGAAAAAAAAAAGAAAAAATCAGCAGGACATTGTGGTGTGCTCCCGTAGTCCTAGGTACTCGCAGGAGGCTGAGGCAGGAGGATTGCTTGAGCCTGGGGGGTTCGAGGTTGCAGTGAGCTATGATTTTGCCACTGCACTGCAGCTTGAGTAACAGAGCAAGACCCCATCTAAGAAAAATATTAAGTAAATTAAAGTACAAGTTTTATACAAACAGCAGAAATTTAATGATCATTTATTGAGCACCTATTATGTGCTATAGTGTTCTGTGGATACAGTGGTGAACAAAAATTATGCGAGTAACTGAGGCTTGGGAGATGCTGCTGTGGAGCATGACTTTTACCCTTCTTAGGGGGAGTATTGGCACAGCACAGATCTCTAAGACTCCAGAAAACTCACCTGTGCTCTTTCACCAGCTTACAGTCTTATTGAGAGGGCACTCTATTGCTCACTGAAGCATTAGAAGAGGGACCGTACTCAGTAATCCACAATGCAGGATAAACAGAGGTCAGATGTCAAATAGGGAACAAAAGCCAGGAGAAGAAGGACAATGGCAGAATGTGTTAGTAAGGGTGCCCTAGCTGCTATAACAAATACACCCAAAATGTTTCGTGGTTCAGATGCAATAGGTTATTTCTTGCTCATCTACTAGTCTGGGGCAGGTGTTCTTGGTGGGTGGGTGGCTCTCCTCCACACAGTGACTCATGGACCAACACCTTCCATCTTATGGCACCACCACCCCCTAGGATTTTGTCATCATGTGCATACAGGAGACACACTCACATCTTAAGAGCCTTGACCCAGAAGTGGTATGCTTCATTTTCACATTTCATTGATTTCAACTTAGTTACATGGCAGGTTGTGGCCTACAGAAAAGTTCCCGACTAGCAGACCATGAGAGGGCTGAAATCCAGTGCACCTTCCCTTTTCTAAGCCTTACAACCTGCAGAAAGGAACTCCTTTTTTCTAATTGTACCGGCTGGCTTCTATCTACCCTGGCCAGGGTGTGGGGCTTGGGGGTGGAGATGGGGGAGAGAGGCATGGAAGGGGGTAAGAGGAGTGACAGGGATGAAGGAAAGCAAGAAATGCCTTGGAGGGGAGTGGAACCTGAGCCCAGGTGGCATTTGGTGGCCCTGTAGTTTCAGAGAGTGAGTGCCAACCTGAGCTGGTTCCCCCTGCCCCCACTGGGTTAGGAGCTGCAGTGCCAACCTCTCACCCAGTGAGCCCTGTGCAGCTCTTCCCCAGCAGAGGGCAGAGTTGATACCCTTCCCCACCCGGGCCTGACCCCATACCCAGAGTCACCCAGTGTCTGTCAGGGAAGATGAGGATGGCAGGGGCTAAGTAGAGGCCATGCACCCTGATCCCAGACCTCAGAGAAAAACTGTTGGGGTGATGGCGCCTTGGCTGGAGCAGGCCACCCACCTGGCCCTGCGCTGAACTGAGAACCCGAGGAGCGCGTCCCCTCCCTCCTCCCTCCCTGCTGACATAGCTTGGCAGATGAGTCCCCGGAGGCTTGGCTCAGCCCCTGACCCCCTGTACCCCAGGGGCCAGGCTCTGGGAGTCAGAGGAGCTGGCATCCAGCCCTGGCTCCACTGGGCTGTCCACCTCCTGCCCCGCCCAGCACGGCCCGCTGGGACCTCCTTGCCTGGCCCAGCTGCTGCATGGCCATGGGTGCCACTCTGCCTCACCTGTGTTTTAGTTGACAGGAGTATTTGTCACCCTTGTTTTTACACCTGTCACCATCCCACCTGCCGCATGTAAACACTACCAGCATCAACACGGTAATGCCGGTTCCCCTGGGTGGGCACCAGCCAAGCCCTCTGGGAGCTGAGAAGAGCAGGTGATAGCAGCTGGAGAGGTCCCAGGGGCCAGCCTTCCCTGACCCTGCCCTCGGGGAGACAGGGCTGCCGGGCTCTGGGCCAGCTCTGCCCCTGGCTTGCTGATGGCCCCACCTCCTACTCACGGGCCTCCATTTCCTCTCGGAAGACCAGGCCACTAAATCACAGGGAAGCAGGGCTGCACGGGGCTGGCGATGTGGGCTCCGGAGTCAGGCGGCTGGCGTTCAATCCCAGCTCTACCACCTACTGGCTGAGGGACCGTCAGCAAGTCTCATAACCCATCTGATCTTCGGTTTGTCTGAGTATAAAATGGGGGAAACGATAATACTTGTGAACATCAAATGGAGTAAGCCTCCTGGTAAGTGCTCGACAGATACTGGCTGCTGTCATGATCTCTTGGGGCCTCTCTTTGACACCAGGCCCCTGAGTGCATGTGTGGGTGTTTGTCTGTCTATCTGAGTCCCAAGGCTCACAGCAAACACTGAGGCGGCCACAGCCTGGGCTTGCTGTATCCTTCTGGACTGGTTGGCTCAGCCAGCTCTGACCCCTGAACCCAGAGGTCCCTCCTCGACCCCAACTCTGACAACCTTCCTGCCACCACTGACTTTTTGCAAAGACTCATAATTCTGGATTTCCTACCTGAGGTGGTGGCTGTGGCCGAAAGGCCCATTCTCACCCATGAGAAGGTCTCCTGAGAATGAGCCGCACCTCTGCAGGTGGAGGCCTTGCCATCCAGCCCTGGGATGTGCTGCATGGGACGGTCTGCCCAGGGCCTTCCAAGTGGGGCACGTGCCACCGCTCTGTGAGATGAGATGGCTCAGTGGGACAAGGCTCACACATTTAATAGCATGGGCTCACCGAGTCAGAAAGTGGTTCCTTCTCTCTCAGCTTGTCTGAGAGCCTCAAAAAGAAAGTCTCAGGCTGGTGCTTGGACCTTCATAACACCTCTGAACCTATCTCCTAGGTCAACAAAGAGAGCAAGGCCTCAAGCCCAGAGCCTTCTACAGGCAGGGGATCCAGAGAATTTAGCATCCTATTCTGCTCTCATTGTAGTTATTCTTATGGGTGTTTTCTATTTAAAATACTTTATACAAGTTCTTCACTTATCATAGGGATATGATGTTTATAAGGTAAAAAGATGTGTCTAGGAAAAATAGTAAGTATTACTCATTCGGTGATGCAGGACTTTGGCAGAACTTATGAAGATATTAGGGTATGATGCTTGGGAAAGAATGCTCTTGTCCAGCAGCTCTTAAACATTTTGGTTTATACTCCTAAAAATTATCAAGGACCCCAGTAAGCATTTTGTTTATGTAGGTTATATCTATCAATTTTTATTGTATTAGAAATTAAAATTAAGGAAAATTTAAAATATATATTTATTTGAAAATAACTATAAGTCCATTACACATTAATATAAATAAAATTTTTATGGAAAAGTACTGTATTTTTCAAAAATATTTTAGTAAGGAGAATGTCATTGTTTTACATTTTTGCAAATGTCTTTCATGTCCAGCCTGATAGAAAATGGCTCGGTTCTCACACGTCTCTGCCTTCTCTCTGTTGTGATGTGTTGTTTGGTTGAAGAAAAATTTGGCCCCACACGAACAGGGAAGGAGTATTTTACTAGCCTTTTCAGATAATTATTCTTTGAAACTCCCAGGACTTGGCAAATGGTAGTTTATTAAAGGAGAGTTGCAATGTGGAATCTGAAAGTATATCAATGACCCTTCTTTTTTTACTTTTTTTGAGACGGTATCTGTCTCGCCCAGGCTGGAGTGCAGTGGCACGATGACAACTCACTCCAGCCTCAACCTCTGGGCTCAAGCAATCCTCCCACCTCAGCCTCCCCAGTAGCTGGGACTACAAGTACACACCACTCCCAGGGGGCCACCATGCCTGGCTAATTTTTTTTAATTTTTATAGAGACGGGGTCTCACTGTGTTGCCTGTGCTGGTCAATGACCCTTTCCTGTTCTGTTACATTAAAATTCACTGGCCTACCTTGCACTTTGAATGGATCTCTTACTATGAATGATTTTTAACACCATTTTGGTCATTTGGAAAATATTGGTTCATGAGTTACACAGATCTGAATGTTGACACATTTCAGCATATTATATCAAAAACTCACATTTGTTAATATCAACACTGATCTTTGAGAAAAGCTTTAGGTATTGGGAAGTTACCAAGTTTACAGTGGTAAACACAAGTCTTCCACAATTCTGCATTTTCACTTGAAAGCCAGAATTTTATAATTTTGGTAACAAATATGTCAGTGGTTTTCTTTGAAATCGTGGCTCACTGGTTCATTTTTGGGAGAACTTCTGCCAGAGACCCCAGTCTGAAATCCTACTGCTTGCCGCTCAGGCTTTTCAAGGAAAAGCAGTGTCCCATGAAGGAAGGGATGAGTCCGGCTTGCAACTCAGCCTTTCCCCAGTACAGCCGCCACCCTTACATTTGCAGCACGTGTTTTGTGCTTACTTCCCATGTCATCATCTCACAGAATTCTCAGACGGGTACTCGAGTGGAGTTTTTTATAAGTCGTAATTTTTACTTCTTCACCAACGACATTCTTCAGTCCAGCCAGCATTTGCTTTCTTGGCATGCATGGTGGTAGGGAGTGCAATGGCAGCTCTGCAGCCCGGCGCCGAGTCCAGCGCCGGCGCCTGGCTTCTGGCTAAGGAGACCACGATTGTATCTGCTGCTGCTACTTTTGCACCATCCGTGCAAATGTTAACACTGTTAGGAAGGCAAGTGACATCTTAGTTTTGTTATGAAAATAGTTTTGATTTCATGGACCCCCTTGAAAGGATCTCAGAGACCCCTCGGGGTCCACTGACCACCCTTTGAGAACCGCTGATCTAGCCAATCCCTTCCTTATGCACTAGGGACACTAAGACCCCACAAGGAGAAGAGACTTGCCCAGGGTCCCAAAGCCAGTCAGAGGCAGAGTGACCTGAAGCCCAAAGCTCTGAGATCCTGGAAGCAACGTGATCTGCACCTTTTCTAACAAAACAGTATGTGCCCACTCTGATGAATGGCACAGGAGCCAGTGTCCCCGGGGAAAGGATGAGGAGGCAAGAGGGATGAACCAGCCTGGGGATAGGCACCAGTTGGCCAACCCTGTCAACTTCAGGACTTGCCTATTCCCACCCTGCACCTTATGTGTAGCGCTGCATCTTCCATCTTTTCTCTTCCATAGCTGTGTTGCTAATGTCTCCCAGCCGAGGCGGCTGTAATTAAACTATTCACCATCGTCACTTCGTGTTCTGAAGAGATGAGGTCGGCCATTATCATTTTTCCTTCCCTTTGACTGAGCTCTGTGTGGGTAATTTCATTCTGCCTTGTTCATTTCTTAGAAATTTTGTCTATCCAATTTTAGTTCTTTTTTCCTCTTAGAACACTGGGCTCAGGGGAAAGGAGGTGGAGGATGAGGGCATCATGGATTTGGAAATTTCTGTCCCATTCACCTTAAAGCTTTTTTGGGACAGGATAGTGCCTGCTTGGTGGTGCAGCTATCCAGAGAGCCCCCATCCAGGAGAGATACCCAGGAGGTGTAGAACAGGGGTCTGGACCCACTGAGGGGAGAAGGGCACCAAGACAAAGAGGCACCACGTAAGGCTGTCCCAGAGGGGCAGTGGTTGGAGCTTTGGACAGACAGCGTCCCCACCCCTTTCCTGGTGGTCAGAAGCCTTGCTGACATAAAAACCCCCCTGCCTCTGGGGGCCCAGGACAGGCTTCTGTTGCTAATGAAAGTGAGCAGGGGCCAGGCACAGTGGATCACACCTGTAATCCCAGCACTTTGAGAGGCCAAGGCGGGCAGATCACGAGGTCAGGAGTTCGAGACCAGCCTGGCCAAGAGACCAGCCTGGCCAACATGGAGAAACCCCATCTCTACTAAAAATACAAAAATTAGCCGGGCATGGTGGCGGGCACCTGTAATCCCAGCTACTCGGGAGGCTGAGGCAGGAGAATTGCTTGAACCCGGGAGGCGGAGGTTGCAGTAGGCCAAAGATCTTGCCACTGCACTCCAGCCTGGGCAACAAAGTGAGACTCTGACTCAAAAAAAAAAAGAGTGAGCAGGGCCTCCATCCTGCGTTTCCTCTCCCCGGCGTGCCCTGCCAGGCCTCCACTAGCTCCCCTAGGGCCCCCATGCCCACTCTACACAGATGCTGGCAGGGCTGACAGCTCCCCTGCTCCTGCAGGAAGAGGCCAGGAGCCCACGCCACACAGAAAACGTGAATGTCCCAGGCCCCAACACATGGAAGGCCTGGCATTTCCTCTGCCAGGCTCTATGGGGAAGCATTTTCTCTCCATCAGGGCTGCCCCAGGATGGACACTGGCCTGCCCACCAGGGGTAGGGCACCCCCTCATAGGCATGACCAGCAACCTGGCCGAGAGGCTGTCTGTGCTTGAGCCCCTGAGCCATCTGTGTGCCCACAGGTGGCTGTCCTAAGTTTAACCTTCTAGGGCTGCATGACCCCACTGCTGTCCTCAGGCCCTGCTGATGGCTGCCAGAGCATCTGGTGCCTCCAGGACCCACTCTTGCCCGTCAAGGCCCTCAGTGTTGCCTGGGTCTCGCCTCACCTCTCTTTAATTCCCTCCTCACCTCCCGAGAAGCCCCATGTCTCCCACCATCCACAAACCTGTTCCTCCTGAGGCCCAGACCCTGCCTCCCTGGGGTGGCCTCCCCACTCCCCAGCTGGTGCTGATGGATCTGACGCCCCTAGTGGACTGCAGGCACGGGCAGGGCAGGGTCCAGTTCCTGCTGGCAGTTCTGTCCCCAGCACTCAGCCCTGGGCTTCACACAGAGACGTCCTCCAATCTGTGGGGAAGGAAGATTCTTAGGTCTCGCCCTGGCTCCTGCTTAACTGTGGCCAGGGCCAGGAGTGGGAAACTGCACCAGCCACTGACAGGTGGTTTCTGGGTGAAAACTTTCAGGTGTGCGGGAACCAGTGACAGGGCCTCAGAGGACTTGGGCCACAGTCGCCTTCCCACCCCCTGGCCCCTGGTTCTGGAAGGAACATAGTAAGCAGTTTCTGTCTAGGAAAAACCTGCTTCTCAGTCATTGGAAGATCCCTGAGTTCTGAGGCTGAAAAGGAAAGAAAGTTAGGATCAAAAAACCCAAGCCTTCTTTACTCCACAGGAGACATCCTGGGTCCAGGCAGGGAAGGTTCTCAGAAAGGCTTAGGACAAATCCTGGGGCATCCAGAAGGTTTGAACTGCTTTCTGAACCCAGGTGGGGACTTCAGGAACGCCTTGCTTAACACAGTCACAGACCCCTGACACAGAAGGGACCATGGGACAGAGGCAGGGAAAACCTCAGGGGCTGCTCTCCCTCCACCCCGATGTGTTCAAGGCACCAACTACTGAGCTGGGGAGATTCCCTTTGTCAAATGTTAAAGTCCTTAAGGCCCAGACCCCACTCAGTGTCTGCCACCTAGCAGGTGTAAATGGATACATAGTAGATGGGTGAATGGATGAGTGGATCAAGGAGAGAATGAATGGGTGGGAGGCGAGTTGGATCAAACAGGAGTGGATGAGTAACTAAGGGATAGATAGATGCCAGGGAAGAGTGGAGGGGATGGTGGTGGGTTGGAAGGGATGTGAGTGGATGGATGAACTGGGGTGGCTGATGGGTAGATGATGTATAGATGGGTAGGTGCACAAGGTTTGATAGGTAGGTATCCTGGGTAGGTGGTGCAGGATGTGTGGCTGGCTGGCTGGAGAAGGGATGATGGGTGGATTTGAAAGAAGAGAGTGGGAGGATCATCATCCTAAATGGAGAAGGAAAGCAAGATTAGAGATGGCACTGAATCCTTGGTTCTGCTGCAGGATCTTTTTGAGGAACCAGGAAGGTTCCCTTCCCTAAAGCAATGGTGAGCCCATGAGGTCCCCTACCTCCTCAAGAGACCCTGTGAGCTGAGGACGTTCTGTAGGCGCAGGCCTTGCTCAGAATCCTAAGCCCAAGCGAGGAAAGAGCCCCAGCCGCCAAATGCCTGCAGCACCCCAGTTGTTGCCACTACCAAAGACTGGTCACAAATGTCTAACGTGCGCCCGGGGTGGCAATTTGGTACCACTTCCACTGAGAGTCACAGGCAGAGAGCCATCTGCCAGCCCAAGGCCAGGAAAGCAGACCCCCGCCCCGGAAGGGAGTGCTCCCCACTGTTCTGACGCCCAGCTGCAGAGAGGGAGGGGCGGGGGGCTCTCTCCTGTGCCGGAGAGAACGGAGAGAACGTGACGGTGTTTCCTCAGATGTGCAGGCCTGGGTGGGAGCGCTAGTTACTAAGTACCCAGAATTCTTCGCCAGCTGGAATTGTAGTGGCCAGGCTGGGCCCCCCCAGCGGCTGGGGTCTCTCTGCCCCTTCGCGTTGAAGAGCAAGTCGGCAGCCCAAGGAAGGCGCGATGGCCGCCGGGCCCGGCCCTGCAATGCCTGGTCTCTGGCTCGGCGGGTCCAGCTCACGCTCCCTCTCCCATTGGCCTGTGCACTCCTGCCCCCTGGTGGGTACAGGGACAACTACAGTACATGGGGCAGGGTGGGGCCAGATGGAGGTTTTTCCCTGCAACTGGAGGACTGGGTTTGTGTGTGTGTGTGCGTGCGCGTGCATGTCTGCAGACTCACACTTCACTTGGCCTAAAAGATTAGAGATGGAGGAAAGCTCTGAATGATCCAAAGCAGCTCCTCAAATGGAAGGGGTTATTATTATAATTACTATGATTATTGTTATCAAGATTATCATGCTTGCCTAGAAAGTCTTGTACAAAGCAGGCTTATTTTGTGTCAGCTTGTTGTTTGTGTCTGAGGCATTTCATCTTTGCTTATAATAACTAACATTGGCAGGCTTCTTTCATGTTGCAAAGCTGTGTCACATCCTCACCCCGTTTTATCTGCACAAACAGCCCTGTGCAGTGGGGAGTAGTGAGAGAACAGAGGCTCAGAGGTTCAGTGTTCTGTCCAAGGTCACATGGCTAAAAAGATGCAGAAGCCAGGATTTGAACTTGGGTCACACAATGAAAATCCCTGTTCATTTCCCCATCATATCCTTGGCACCTCATCCCTTGAGAGGGAAGAGGCCTTTTATTAAGCTTTAGCTCCAAGCCTCTTTGCCACTGATATTTGCTGAAAAGCTTACATTGCCATGAAGAGAAGGGAAGGGTTTTGAAGACTCAAGTGTTAAAAGTGCAGTTTACCATCCCAGTTTCACACAAAGAATATACCTGGGCTTTTCCAAGTCCCTGCAGTACCTGGGGTGTGAGTGGAGAATGAGGTCTTCTATCCTTTTCGCTCAGGTTCTCTTGGTCACCACCACCACCCCTGGGGTGTGGCACAGGACAGACAGGCATCTGCTACATCTCTGAGAAGCGCGGAAGAAGGTGCTATGACAGGAGAAGCTGGTGCAGGGGGACTGTCTGTGTCCTGGTGGGTAGGAGCTGGGTACACAGGGGGCAGGGCCCTGACTGGGCTCTGGGAGCCTACGCCCCTCCTTGGAGCATGGGTTCTATCTCCAGGGACCAGCTGGCTGACTGGAGAGAGCTTTCTGGAAGCAGCACCCCTACCTGCTGCGCACCATGGGCTGTTATACTGATTGTCACCAGGGTGCTGCTTCCCCAGCACACTCGTGACCAGCCGCCAGCAGCACATGTCCTCGTGGCAGGACACAGGGCCTGTGTGCCAGGATAAGGGACCCCCTGTGTAATGCCAGTTCCGGAGCATCACTACCCTACCACCTCCCAGGCATCCTGCTCCCCAGCAACAGCCCAAAGCAACCCACTTCTGGGGGGTACCTGTACCATGCTCCCCACCCCTCTCAATGCTGGAATGTCCCCTGGGCCCTGTCTCCACAGGCCTCTTCCTCTCCTTGCCCACCCCTTTCTCCAGCTGCTGACAGGTGCCATGCAAAGGTTTACATAGGGGGTTCTCTGGAGCCTTGAGCTTCCCCAAAAGTGCCTCATCTCCACTGTGGCAGCTTTGAGCCATTTATTTGTCAACATTAAGAGTGAGATATCATTTAACCAGAAAGATTGTACTGGTTACTATGATAAAAATATGTTCATGCTGTCTTTAAATCATTGATGTGGAAAAGAGTCCTGTAGGTGGCCTTGAGAAATGACAACCTCTCCTGGCCTCCTGATCCTAAACCCATAAGAATGGCATCTCGCTTACTGTTAGCATTCAGAAATATACAGTCCCAGCCATGCCCCATAGAAGAGTCCCATCCTCCTCCCGTGTGCCCAATCATCATGAGGGTGGGCGGGTTGCTCTTATCTCTATGTGGCAGCCCTGGGCAGCCTATGACGTGGAGCCGTGTATACTCGTCCACTGGGTGGACAGCAGCGCAGCCCACCCCTCAGGGCCATCCCTGTGCTAAGTGCCCTCCGTTTGCTCACACAACAGCCTTGCAGAGAAAATGATGGTGCTGTCATCCCCATTTTGCAGGTGA
Source organism: Homo sapiens (assembly GCF_000001405.40). Classification (NCBI taxonomy): domain Eukaryota; kingdom Metazoa; phylum Chordata; class Mammalia; order Primates; family Hominidae; genus Homo; species Homo sapiens. The sequence goes on from NC_000016.10 coordinate 56,320,439, forward strand.
GAACACTGAGCCTCAGAAAGATGATACCCCTTGCTCAAGCTGGAAGCTAAAGCTGGAGCTCAGGTCTGGGTAGCTCCTGAATTTACAGTCTGAAGCCCGCAGAAAGCTGCATGGAGCAGCACTAAAAGTCCAAGGAGGGAGTGAGCAAAGGAAGCTGGCAGAGGAGGCTCCTCGAAGGGTGTGGGGTGGCAAGAGAATCAGATGTTGGATTCCATGGTGGGTTCCAGCAGGTGCGGAATGATGAGGTGGGGGCATTCTGGGCCCTTAATGATTACAAAACCCATCCCACCTGCACCTATACATCCGAGGAAATGCAGTCAGGTTTTCCCTCACACACACAGCAGAGAGCCCCCTCCCTTCCTCTCTGTAGCTGGGCCTTAGAACCACTGTAACTGGGACAGTGGTGGGAAGAGGGACCCACTCCTTCATGCCTCAGGCAGACATGCATGTCCATGAACTCCTTACAGGACTGCCTGCTACTGAATCCCCCAGACTGCCTTTAGTGTGCAGCATGTATGTGGCCAGTGCTCACAACACAGCTAGTGCCATACCAGTCCCATGGGAGAGAGAGGGGCCACCCACACAGGAAACACCACACGGCATGTGGGCACTGTGCACGGGGTGTGGTCAGATAGTAAGAGAGGAGCGGGCTCAGAAGCCAGGAAAGCCAGTGGCGCTGCAGGAATGGGAGGGGGTCTTCCTGCAGGAGGTAGGCCACACATTAGCCTTGGCCGACTAGGGGGCATAATAGGACTATTTGGGGTACAAGTGCAAAAATAAACCAACCAAACAAACAAACAACATATCCTCCAATGGATTTTTAAAAGCAGGGGATTGATTGACTCAAGTAACTAGAAAGCCCAGAGGTCTCTGTGGCTGCAGGCGCAGCTGGATCCAGGCGTTGACATATTATGACTCAGGTGCCTCCCTCTCAGCTCTGCTTTCCTCAGTGTTGGCTGCACACTCAGAGGGGGCCTCCCTTTGAGAGCCTCTCTTTCCTAATAGCTGCTACAAGTGTCCTGGGGCTGGCTGGGACTAGAGACTGATTGTTAGTCTCATTTGACAAATAGGGATTCTTTGTCCACCCCAGACTCTTCACAGGCCAGTGAGATGGGTTGGCCAAGCCCAGAGCATGTGTCCACCCCTAGAATCAGGGGAGATTTAGCTCAACGCAGACCACTCAGACTGGGCTGGAGAAGGGTGCTTCACTTCTGGGAACTGGGGCTCTGCTGCCGTAAAACAAGAGAAAAAAGCCACAAAGGCAGAGAGGGCAGCTGCCCAGGAGAACAGGACTGGGCAGAGAGGAGCGGGCAGGCCTTCACTGCCACCTGGTAGCGGTCACTGCTGTCTCTCCTGCAGAACTGCCTGGGCGGGAGCACGCAGTGAGTTTTCTAAAGAAGTCAGCTCTAGCCGTCTGCCCCGCGTAAAATACTCACAGGCCAGACCTGGTATCTTCATCCATTCAGGCTACCATAGCAGAATACCATAAGCTGGGTGGCTTATACACAACAGAAATTTATTTCTCACAGTTCTGGAAGCTGGGAAGTTCAAGATGAAGGTGCTGGCAGATCACTATCAGGTGGGGGCTACTTTCTCTTAGACGGCCCCTTCTTGCTGCGTCCTCACGTGGTGGAAGGGGTGTGGGTCTTTGGGGCCTCTCTTATAAGGGCACTAACCCCCTTCCTGAGAGCTCCACCTTTAAGACCTAATCACCTCCCAAAGGCCCCATCTCCGAACGCCAGCATCTTGGGGGTTAGGATTTCAGCATAGGAATCTTAGGGGGACATAAACAATCAGACTACAGCACCTGGTGAGTCTGCCCAGAGAACATGCATGTGTTTTGTCACATCTCATATGGCCTGGGCACCCAGGCACGCTCTGACCAGCAAGAAACAGCAGTGTGATGGGGCCGTAGCAGAAAGAATGGTGCTAGAAAATACCCACCACACACAACCCATAGGCCCAGGAGGAGCCTTGGATGGGAAATTCAGGCTCAGCCTGAGCCCCGTCCCCCAGACCCCTAAAAGCAGGCAGACAAAGGAGCAGGGTCTCCCCTGGCTCTAGTAATTGCTTGTGAAGCCCACCATCCTTTTTTTTGTGCTGGCAAAGCCCTTCCTTCCCCTCAGGCCTGGCCCTTCTATCTTATGCATCTCCCTTCCCTCTGCTTGGGGGCTGGGCTGGGTACCCGTTAGTTCTCAGCTTGGGCCTCAGGTGGCCAGGCCTTGTCTGAGATGTGAAGTCCAGAGCTGCTGGCTGTGGCACAAGAGGAGGTCGACTTTGAGTCCAGGCTCTCCTTACTGGCGATGTGATCTTTAGCAAGCTCCCTCGCCTAAGCAGGATACCCACCTGCCGTAATCATTAAATGAGACACAAACTGACAAGAGCTGGAGGATAGATAGGATTGAGTGAGAAACTGGGGCCAAGCCTCATATTAAAATGCCAAGGATCCATACATCCTGCAGACGTGGCTGAGCACCAACTCTCTACCAAGCACGGTGTGAGGCCCAGGTACCATGAGAAATCAGGAAACGATCCCTGCCCTGAGGACCAGGCTCATACAGCACCAGCTGTACCATGGTGTTGCTGTGCGCTGTGGGAGCAGGGAGGTGGGCTTCCCTAAGGAGGTGACATTTGAGATAGGGTGGGACTGAGACCAGAGTGATCTGGACAGATGGAGCACCCAGCTTATTTGGGGAACAGGAGTAAGGCTGTATGGCTGGAGCCCCGTGAGAGGGGGCAAGTTGGAGGATGTCAGGACAGAGAGGCAGTCAGGGGCTTTGTAGGCCCCAAGGAGTCTGGAATGCGGGAATGATGGGCAGCTGTTGAAAGGAAGAGCTATACCCATTATGATTAAGTTTAACTGAATACCAGAAACTCTGGAAATTATGCCTTAAATAAGATAGAAATTGATTTAAGTATTAAGAAAACACACACTGAAGATAGTGTGAGGATGACTTCAGATAGTGTGGAGTCTGATCCTTGACCTAGGCTGTTTTTGGATCACTATTCCACTATCCCTAGGGTGTTGACCTTGTCTTCATGATCCCATTTAGTTGCTAGAGCTCCAGCCATCACATCCAAGTTCCAGGCATTAGGAAAGAGGGAATGAGAGAAAAAGGGTGCCCCTTACCTTTAAAACAACCTTTCCTGAGGCCTTACTTCACTTCAGCTTACCTTTCTTTGTGCAGAATTTGTCACATGGTCACAACTAGCTGTAAGCAAAAAAAAAAAAAAAATCCAGCCTTTTAGTTGGATATCAGTGTGCCCAACCAAAAATTTCTGGATTCTTTTTGTAAAGAAGAAGGGGAGAATTGATGTTAATAGGAAACTAATGGTCTCCTTCTGTGTGGGGAGCAGGCTGAAGAGGAGAAGGACCGAGGCAGGGAGCCCATGGGAGGGAACCATGGAGGCCTGGACTTAGAAGTCGGGGAGGAGATGAGGAGGAGCAGACAGCTGAAAGCAGATCTGAAAGAAGAACTGCAGGGCACTGGGCATGGGAAGGACTCAGTGAAATCAAGCAGGTCTCCTGGTCTTTGAATTTGAGCAGTTGAGCCAATGTGGAAGACAGGAGAGAGCGGGAAGGGCGGGGGGCCAGGGGGTGTTGCTGCCAGCACAGGACCCCTCCCCGTCCCACAACAGGAAGGCCTAGACCCCTGGGCTATCTGCTGGAGAATCCCAGGAAATCATTTATCCCAGATGTCCCCAAACTGTAGAATGCATCCTACTGGAGTGGGACCCATTAAATTCCAGGCCACACATGGAAGCTCAAACATGGGAGCACAGTAGCTTTGTGGCCTCGGTTTGTAAATCACACCGTCTTGAGTGTCCTCCTACAAAGCCTGTTGTGGCTCCAGGGCCCCCACATTAGCGTGTGATCCTCAGGTCCAGGGAAGGTCTTGCCTCGCAGGCGTCCCCAACCCTGCTCTCAGGTCCTGACTTGTTCTGACTCAGGTGCTCCACAGATCTACAGAAACCATGAAGGTAGGGCCCAAAGAAGGAAGAGTTGGAAAACTCTTGCCAGGTCCACCACCCGCATTCCTCAGATGGGAAAGTACCCCAAGATTGCCCGAGGTCAGCCAGGCGTGAGGAGCAGGATCGCTGCAGGTCCCTGACTCATAGGCCTTGCACTGTTTTTAGCCCCAGGTGGAGGCGCCACCCCTGCTCACCCACCTGCTGCTGCCCTGAGTCATCCCTGCCTGCCTGGGGCACCCAAAGCCCAGGCCCCAGGGCTGGCTTTCCAGGTCACTGCTGCCAGGGGGGCCCGGACAGCCTTCATGCCCAGTGAGGGCGAAGTCAGACCCCACGGGCTGGGTTGTTGGCGATACTGACCCTTGGATGCTGGGTCAGGTCAGCATGGGGACTTGGCCTTCCAGCCTCTGCACCATTGTAGCTTCCTTCCCAGGACAGGCAATGGGAGGGGCACAGCTTCCAGAACTTTCTCACTGCCCTTCTGCAGTGGACAGGCTCTGACATGTAAATAGCACTTTAGCTGGACAGCTCAATTCTGGAAGAGCTTTGGCCTCACACTTCTTTTGTACAGACCTTTCGTTGGCGACAAAACTTCCAGATGCTGACCTCATTTTCTTTGTGTCTCTCCCATCCCCAAGGATGCCTGCAGACTTTCAGTACCTCCCACTCACTTCTAGAGCCACGTGCCATGGGCTGGGCAGTCAGTCTCTCTCCTCCGGCCTAATCAGAGGGTTGGGAGTTGAAGGGGTTTGCGGCAGAAAAATTATCTAATAATAATACTGCATGCAGCTGGGCGCTGTGGCTCACGCCTGTAATCCCAACACTTTGGGAGGCCAAGGCGGGTGGATCACCTGAGGTTGGGAGTTCGAGACCAGCCTGACCAACATGGAGAAACCCCATCTCTACTAAAAGTACAAAATTAGCCGGGCGTGGTGGCACATGCCTGTAATCCCAGCTACTCAGGAGGTTAAGCCAGGAGAATCTCTTGAACCCAGGAGGCGGAGGTTGTGGTGAGCTGAGATCATGCCACTGCATTCCAGCCTGGGCAACAAGAGCAAAACTCCATCTCAAATTAATAATAATAATAATAATGCACACATGAATAAAATATCCCAATTCTGGAGAGCCCGTGAAATCGGGGAGATGGTAGGCCTGGTGTATGCGACTCTCAGACCCCAGTGGGGTCTCAGTCTCTGTTGGGCTCCAGGACTCGTGCGGTCTGAAACCAGGGGGAAGGCGGCTGGAGGAAGGACCCCAGCTCCCTGCCTCCACCTCCTCCAGTGCTGAGCATCTTGTCTTGGGCCTGGTAGTAGTCAGGGTCTCTGTGAGTGCAAGTGGCAGAAACTAACGGGATAGGGCTCACAGGACAGGTCACATGAAGGGTAAAGGGACCCAGCCTTGGGGACCTAAATACCATGACACTTCCCTGCTTCTTTCTGGTAGCTTTATTCTGAGAGTCTTCTTCATGGGTTGGGGGACGCTTGTCTCAGTGATACTAGCGACTCTGGGGCCACATTCTCCTAAGCTTCCCACTTTGAAAAATCCCAGGGAAAGACTACAGGTGGCCCAGCATGGTCACATGCTCACCAGCCACCTCCTCCACTCATCGACCCTCTTCCTTGCCTTGGCATCCCACACCTGGTTCCCAGGGCCTGGCATGGACTGGAAGCTGGCCTGGGCTCCACAGGACTCAGGGTCCAGCACACTCCTGTCCTGGCCCTGTGTTCCCAGCCATGCCTCTTCCTGTCGCTGGGACATCTCGCAGTGCCACTCTGCTGGTGCACACCCTGAGGCGTGGTGCCCCAGGCGGGCAGTAGTCACTAGGCAGGGGTGTTCTCAGGACCTGCTAGGATTCAGCCAGGAATAGAGGGGCCACTCGGATGGTGGTTACCTTGCATTTTGGTTAGGAGAGTGGTCTGAGCAAAGTCCTGTCAGCCACAGAGACATGTGAAGAGCAAGAAGACAGGGTATGTCTGGTGCCTGGGCTGAGACAGGGGCTTGCTGTCCTCAAGACAGCTTCTAGAGGTTTAGGTTCCTTTAGAAGCTTATCTGAGAAAAGGATTTGGGTGAGACAAGGAGTTTATTTGGGAGGTCATTTCAGGAAGCACCGAGGAAGTGGGGAAGCCACACAGGAAGGGAGGGAAGCCATGAAGGGGAGCTCATGGGTGGCCTGCCACGTTGGCTGCTGGGGCTCCATCCCATGGGGATCCTGTCTGAATGTGTAGCTTGTCTCAGAATTGCCTCCCTGGGAGGGCAAGGAAGCCGGGTTATTTGCCCATTCCTGTCTGTCCGGGGCACCGACTCAAACTGCAGCCAGCTATACACCTGAGGCAGTGAGCTCCATGGGCAGAGGCAGGAGGGCGGCCCGGGGCAGCACCTGCTCTGCTCTCACCTACTCTGCGTTGGACATTAAAGGCTGTGGCTGCCTCAGACGGAGCACATATCTTCCTGGGCAAGGCCACTTCAGCTGTGGTCTAGACCCCTCTACCAGGCCCTGTCAGCCGTCCAGGGAGCTCTCGGCACAGGTGGGTCTGATCATAGAGGCTGGGCCTGGAGTCCGAAGGCACCTCATCTTGAGTCCCACCCCTGCCACTCACCATCGGGTTGTTAAGTGAGTGCCTTCCTCTCTGTGGCCCTCAATTTCCCCACTATGAAGTGGAGATGGTAATACTACAGCAACTGCTGTATTAGCTGTGCCACAGCAATGCTGTCTACTGAGCCTCTCCTAAACCCAGCCACTTAGTTCTGCAGATCAGAGACCCAGGGCAGGCTCCACTCTGTACCAGGCTCCCCGAGTCCTCTTCCCAGGATGAATGACAGAGCCCGGGCGTATTCATGGCGATGGCAGGGCCCACGAGGACCAGCAGAAACACGGCCTCTCAAGGAGCTGGCACAGTGCCACTGCTGCACCATTCTGTGGGCCACGGCGAGTCCTGTGCCATACTCAACATCAAGCAGACAGGACATATACTCAGCCTTTAGCAGGAGGAGCTGAAGAGGCGCAGGGCAAAGGGTGTGGGCAGAGGAGGGGTGAAAGGCCCAACGACACAGCTCTTGCCACTCGCTCCTGAGGTGGGGGAGGTTCTGAGGACGGAGTGTGTTCACCAAATCCTTTGTACGCTAAGTACTACTCCCGTGTGCAAGGTGGCGGTGACGGTGCAGTCCTGGGATGTCTGCAGGAGCCTTCTTATCTTCAAAGACCACCACACTCCTGGTTGTGATGTTACATGCATGTGATTGTAGTCTTTGAAAAGGCGACCCCACTTTGGTATCCAGGATGAGGGGAAGGGGAAGAAACCTGTTAATTATGCAGTACTTTTTCTGTAATTTCAAGAAGGCTCAGCCTACACGTGTGCACCTTAAGCAAATTCATCTACACCCACTCAGACAAGGAGGAAGGGAGGAGGCAGAGGAGGAGAGTGCTCCAAGCTCATTACCTGTCCTTTCCCATTTCCATGTTTCACCTGACCTAGGAGCTTCCCCTGCCCCCAGAGAAAGGTAGGCCCCAGGTCACAAACAAATCAAGAAAAATTAATAAAATGGACTTTTGGCTTTGAGCAGTCCAAGGGCCAAAGTTCTTGAGATTTAGTGTTGGCATGAGATATTTTTGCCATCTGCACTAACTTGGCAACCAGCCCCTCCCCTCCCCCAGTCCTGAGGCACAGCCCCGCTGTGGCCCATCCCTCAGCTAACCGGAATTCTCTACCGAAACGTCTGCTCCTCTACATAGCCCAGTTCTAGGGACTGCATTCCACCCTGTGTAAGAAGTATAGAAAATTACAGCTCAGCCAAGAACATTGATTTTTTTCTCCCCCGAACAAAATAACCGAGTTTTCAGGATGAAAGCAGAGCTGCTGGTTGAGTTGGAGGGTGGAGAGCAGAGCCAGGCCCACTCTGCCTTCCTGCTGGTTGAGTTGGAGAGTGGAGAACAGAGCCGGGCCCACTCTCCCTTCCTGCCCCAGAAAACTCTGGGGCCCCATGGGCTGCAGCTTGGAGCTCCTGCTTTAGGACATCCATGTGGTAGAAGGCCCCACGGGCCCCAGGAACCCCAACTGTGCATGCTCAGGTCGTGGCCCTCCCTGGAGCAGGCTGTGGGCTGAGCTGCGGTCCTGCTGCACTGGCTGGGCTCTCATCACAGTCCCCGCTAGGGGAGAGCCCTTGGCTGGCAGAGGTCTTCTGTCCCCACCAAAGCGTCAAAGCCCACCATCCACCTCTCCTCACAGGCTGACGCCAAGATGGTGTGTGATGTGGTGAGTCGGATGGAAGACACCGAGCCCTTCTCTGCAGAGCTGCTTTCTGCCATGATGCGGCTCTGGGGCGACTCAGGAATCCAAGAGTGCTTCAACCGGTCCCGGGAGTATCAGCTCAACGACTCTGCCAAATAGTGAGTGTCCCAGCGGGCGCATGGCCTGGAGCCGGGCAGTGATGCGGGAGTGGAAGGGACTGGTGATGGGGATTGGCAGAGCAAGGAGGATTCTCGGCTGAGGTCACGCCTGCCGGGAGATGTTCTCCCATAGGTAGAGGGTGTCAGGAAGGAATGAGAAGGGGCCTCTCTTCCTGCACCCCAGGAGGAGAAAGAGGCCAGAGGAGGCAGAGGACGCAAGAGACAACCAAACAGTGGAAATTCCCAGAGGGCCGGGACCTTGTCACTGGCTTGTCCTGGAGAGTGCCTGGCACTGCAAAAAGACAGCTTTCAAGTGTAGCAGCTTTGTTTTTTTATAGGGAGCCCCTGACCGCATAAATACAAACCAAAACAACAGCCATATAGGCAGAAAAGAAATGGTGCCATTTTGTTTTATTTTAGAAAAAATAATAAGCTTTCCATTCCCCATCTTTAAAATTAAGAATAAGGAATATGTAAGTCTAATTAATATAATAAATGTATACTTTAATACTATTTATAACTAAATAAGGGGGATGACAGGAGGGCAGGAGGACGGAAGGAAGAAAGGAAGGGGAGAGAGGGAGAAAGAAGAGGACAGAAGAGAAGACGGAGAGGTGGGAAGTGGTAAAAGCTGGAGCTGGTTAGAAGGTGCTCCCGGCTCTTCCCATCACAGCAGGTCACAGGTCCACTGGCTGCAGCTTTATCACTCTAGGCATCTCCAAGGACATCCTCACTGCTTCCGTGCCCTTGGCCTCTAGATTGGAGGCTCCAGAGCCCTGGGATGGTCAGCGTTGGTCAGGGACATGTCTTCTGTCATGGAGATACTGGGATTGCCCCCTTGGCTTTCGGGAAATGCACCCCACCTTTGCAATTGCAATCTGGTACCCATACATTCAGTGGGGGCTTTCTGCAAGGAGCCCTTGAGCTTTATCCCACTAGCTGGGAAGATTCTGACATGATCCAGTCCAGCCATTTTCACCAGGTCTCAGCTGGGGCCTTTTTGCCTCCAGGGGACATTCAGCAACATCGGGAGACATTTTTGATGGCTGCAGCTAGAGTGGTGCTCCCGGCAGCTAGCAGGTAGAGGCCAGAGATGCTGTTAAACACCCCATAGTGTGCAGGACGGCCCCCACAACAAAGAGTTACGTGGCCCCAAACATCCATAGTGCCAAGATTAAGAAACCCTGATCTACGCAATGCCAATGGACAGAGGCTGAGGCCAATGTTCACTCCTGGACATTTCCACGGGCCACATGGCAGCCAACAGACTAGGGACTTGAGCAAGGCCGGGAGCGGCTTCCCATTTCTGCACACCTAGATTGTCCAGAGGGCAAATGCCGAAGTCCTGTGAGTCCCAGGTGATGACTACCTAGGCCCCCGGGCCTGATGAGCTCCCAGGGACACCCTGGTGGTCAGGGCAGTGAGCCCAGAAGCTCAGTGTCCACCATTCCGTATGCACAAATCACAGACCAGAGCTAGGCAGGAGAGAGTGACTTTCAGCTGCCCTCCTCCCTTCTTCCACTCCCTGTCCCTGCCCTGGAGTCCAGGGCCTCCTCCCCGAGGGCCAGCAAGACCCTCAAGGGCCTTTAGGGCCAGCTGGCCCAAATCTGTCTTCTAGTGGCTCAGCAAATTCTGCTCTCCACTTACATTTTTACCCATTTCACTAATTATAACATGAATCCATTACCAAAAAAAAATTAAACAAATGCAGAGGGATGTAAAATGAGAAGTAATCTTCCTACTCCCCCCACCAGCCCTGCCCCTCCCACTTTTACCCACTTCCATTTATTTGTCCCAGTGGCATCCAGAAAAACTTGATCCTCTGACTCAAAATAGTATTTACTGCCACCCACTCTGGAATCGAGGGAGCTCAGCTCACCTTCCTTCCTTCCATCGCTCTCCACCTTCACCTCCGGCTTTTTGCTAGTTACAGGATTATTTTTAGTTCTTCCGGTGCTTACCTTTATAACTTTAAATAAGAAACTTGAGTCAGTATTTGTCAACTCCCCACCAAGTAAGCTGAGGAAATTCTCCTCCCTGCAGCCTCATCTCTGCCTTCTTTCAAATTTTCCACTTCCCAGGTTGATGATGTTACCATTCTCTTCTGTCACTGTGGCTGGGCCTTCCGTGTCTCCCCTCTGGGAGAGGGCAGGAAAGACAGGGGACACACAGGTGGCCAGGGCCGGAAGGGCCTGGCACATTTCCTGTCTTAGCAGTTAGACCTCAGCTTCTGACAAAGTCTTGGGCCCAGTATAGAAAGCAGATCAGAGTAGGTTTGTTGTGCTGGAAAGGAGAGGGAGGACTCACAGGGCTGCCACAGCACGTGCTTCCAGGGGGTGCCATTGACACCCTAATGCCCCAACCACCAAAGCACTTCTCTGCCCAGCCCTTTACAGGGGAGGGACCAGGGCACAGGCTCCTGAGCAGGCTCTTGGTGCACCCCGGCCTCTGTGAACAGGGCTGGCTCTCCCTTCTGGATAACTACCTAGAGGCAGGTCCCAGAAACCCTGGGCACATCCAACCAGGGGCTGTGAAAGGTGCTCTGGGGCCTGGTTGGCATTGGCTTTCCTCAAATCCAGTTCCCCACTGAGTTGTCCATGCTGGCGTCCGACGTTTCCTCTCCTCACCTTCTCTCTTGACCCCACTCCTATCGAGCTCTTGCTCCTCCGCCTGCTGAGATGGCTCATAGCCCAGTCCTATCCTGGGGGCTGCTCCATCAGCCTCCTCCCACTCAGGGTTCAGGGTTCAGTCCCCTAGTACCTGGTACCTCCTTTCACTCCCAGCCCCCGCCTCCTCTCGGGCCGCCCTTTCCAGACTCCCTCGATGCCTCCTGCCCACCCACCCAGGCAACTGGTGATGGGGGAGGTCTGCTGGGGGCTGCTGTATCCCGTCCCCAAGCTCCATCCCAGAAGCACCTCCTCTCAAGGCCTGGTGCCTGGTGACCTTCTCCTGTCTCGTTTTAAACACCTTGTACACTTGGACAACTCTCAAATTCATATCGCCAGCCCAGCCCTCCCTCCTGACTTCTGCCTACTCAGTGCCTGTTTGGACATCAAATGAGTCTCAAGTTAACATGAGCCCGTGGAACCCCTGGCTCCCATCCTCCCACTAGAAGCTGCTCTGTGTGCTCCTCCCTCCCTCTAAATGTGTCTCATTCCACCACGTGGAGGTATCTCTACTTCTGCTCGTCCTCCTGTATCCCACACCGAGGCCACCAGCAGATGCAGCTCCCCTGGCAGGTACATCAGATTCTGACCACTCACACCCTCCACAGCCACCCCCACTGTGCCAGTGCCATCTGGTGACGACAGCAGCTCTGCAGGCCCCACCCGCTGACCTGCTCTCATGGCAGCAACAGGGCCGTTGTCAACATGCTTCTGGCCAGAACCCTCGAGGGGCTCCCATCTCACTCAGAGCAAAAGCTCAAGCCCTGACAATGACCTCAAGGGCCTGCTTGCCCCAGCCGGACTCTGGCCACCCTCACCTCCACCACCTTCCCCAGCCTCACCCACCACCTGGCCCCTCCACGTGTGCTTCCTGCCGCCATGCCTGCCAGTGTTTCCACTGGGCCACTCGAGGCCCACTTGCTCCCTCATTCCCCTCAGTCTCCCCTATCCAGACGCCTTCCCCAACCACCCTGCATCAAATAGCAGCCCCCAGCAGCTCTCCCCCATCACTAATAGCCTGATTCGTTCTCTCACACTACCTCCTGACATATCATCTCTCTGACTCTTCTGTTTACCACCTCACACACGTGTGCACACTCACTTGGAACACAGGCCCTGGGAAGGTGGGGCTGTGTCGACTGCCCCATCCCCAGCTCCTGGAACAGTGGCTAGGTGGGATGGACAGCAGGTGCACAGTCAGCCTTCCCGACTGGGTTGTTAAGCAGTTCTCCCACACCTTGCCCACCCTCCACAGCCGTCTCCTTGCATGAGGCTCGGCCAGCACAGAGAGGCCAGAGGGCCAGGTTGCCCATCTAAAGGAGGTTTGCCCTGGCTGGGAAAGGAAGAGCAGGACCAAACGCTTCCAGGCTGGTGTCCAGCTGCAGATGACAGCAGAGGGCGTCCTCACAGCTTGGAAGCAGAGGTCATGGGCGCCAGGGCGGGGCAGGCACAGAGGCTTGGGAGAGGCTCCTTCTGGCTGAGACCAGAGCCTGCCCAGATGCCACTGGCTGGCGAGGAGGCTGTGAGGCCGGGGGCGTGTACAGGTCTGCTCTGCAGCCTCGGCTCTCTCACCCCATCCCCACACCGTTCCTGTCCACGGAGGGCAGTCAGGCTCAGGAGAGGAGGCCAGGAGTCCTGTTTAAATTTTTTTTCTGGATTTTTAAAATGCTGATGATGTCCAGTTTAAGAGCGTGGGGTCTGGAGCCAGTCAGAACTGGGCTGGAATCCCAGCCAAGTGCATTTTCTTTTTTTCTTTTTTTTTTTTTTCTCCCCGAGACAGAGTCTTGCTCTGTCACCCAGGCTGGAGTACAGTGGCACGATCTCAACTCACTGCAACCTCCGCCTCCTGGGTTGAAGCGATTCTCCTGCCTCAGCCTCCTGAGTGCTGGGATTATAGGCACCTGCCACCAGGCCCAGCTAATTTTTGCATTTTTAGTAGAGATGGGGTTTCACCATGTTGGCCAGGATGGTCTCAAAATCCTGACCTCATGATCCGCCCACCTTGGCCTCCCAAAGTGCTGGGATTACAGGCGTGAGCCACCGCACCCGGCTGCCAAGTTCATTTTCTCGCAGTGTGACTTCAAGCTTACCTCCCTGAGCCTTGGAAGCCACCCTTCTGTTTTCTTTTCTTAGGGGCATTCTCACAAGGATTGTCACTGGGTTCTATCAGTGAACACCCTAGCTGGCGAAGTCATCTGCCCTTTCCAGCCCTGTGGACATCCATGAGCTGGTCAGCATGCCCATCTCTCATGCAGTGGTAACTGCAGGTCCAGCCAGCAAGCTGGCCCCCAGCAGGTCCTGGAGCAGATGCAGCCTGGGACCCCACATCGTTCTGTGGTTCAGACACTTGGGGCTCCTCCCTGTGGGCTGCTTGTGGTTTGCCCCGGCAGCAGGGATGGGTGGCCTGGCAGGCTCCATGGATCACTGAGTCTTCCTTCAGGCCTGGCCCAGCTCCCCACTTCCTGATTTCCCAGATCCTACCCTGGCTTTAGGTTCAAACTTAACCCACAATGAACCCCAAAGCCCTTGCAGGCAGCGTCCTCTGAGTGCTTGGCCTGAGGCCTGGGCAGGTGACTTGCAAAAGCCTGGTCTGTCCCCACAGCAGGAGGTAGCAGGGGTAAAGAGCCCTGATTCCAAAGACCGGGTCCCAGGGAGGCCCAGCCGCTGTATGGCTGTGCAGCCCTGAGCCTCCAAGAGCATCAAATTGGAAGGGGCACACAGACCCCTTGGTAAGTGAGAAGGAAGTGTGGAGAAGGCAGGGAACTGCTCAGGGGCCGCTGAAGCCCCAGACAGTAATAAAATTATGGCCTCTGGAGCCAAGGGTCCGGGTCACAGCCTCAGGCAAGGTACTTACCTTCGATGAGCCCCAGTTTTAGTACATTTAACTCAGGGAAATTACACATGAAACATGGTTACACATGCAAAGAATAGAACCTATCTGTTGGCCATTATTATCTTTTAAATGAAAAAATGACAAAACAGTATTATAATAAACATGGTAGTCTCATATAAAAGCTTGATCTTGTCTGAGTGTCCCGGGAGCTGCATGCGTAGCCCTTTTGGCTGTGAATGAGTGCGTGAGGCCAAGACCCCTAAGACCCACTTCCTCAGTCGCCCCCACTCCCTATGGCCTGGAATGGAGGTGATGTCTTTTCCACAGTGACCTGGAGGGGCCCTGACCGAGACTGGACTCTGAAGATGGGTGGCCTGGCCAGTCCCGAACAGTGTCCAGGCATTTGGTCCATAGTCCCCTGTTTGTTGCCATCCTCAGCTACCTGGACAGCCTGGATCGGATTGGGGCCGCCGACTACCAGCCCACCGAGCAGGACATCCTCCGAACCAGGGTCAAAACCACTGGCATCGTAGAAACCCACTTCACATTCAAGAACCTCCACTTCAGGTGAGGCCCAGAGAGGCCCCCAGGCCCTGGCGAGGGCTAAGATGGGACATGCCCAGCCTCTCAGCGCATTGCGTTTACAGCGCCCAAACATCATCCTGCCCCAGGGAACCTGCGGGCTGGGGCAGGCAGCTAGATACTAGAAGGAACCTGTCTGTGTTTCTGCCAAGGTTAGGGGCTGGAGTGAGCAGGGAGGCTTTCTGGAAGAAGATTCCCAGAGTGGGGCTGTGAGGAACAGGGAGGATTTGGACAAGGAGGGGCAGCCTGTCCCTGAGGTGACTTCCAAGGAGGAGGAGGAGGTGGGCTACCAGGGGGCCCTTCCAAGGTCACCTTGGGGGGAGGAGCCAAGAGTGGGGCTGGGTAAGCCCAAGCTACCTCTGTGAGACCCTGAGGACCCAAGTAATCCCAGAGCTGGAAGGAGCAGAGAGAGCTGACCCACCCTCTCCTAGTACGCTTGGGAAGCTGAGGCCTGACAAGAGCAGGGCTTTTCCCAGGCACAGAGCACAGCTAGAACCCAGGGGCTCTGGGGCCTCAGAGCAGGGGCCTGACGGGTGAGCTGGTTCCCAGGGTCCTGCTGCAGCGCTGTGTCCCCACCTGCAGTAACATGCGTGCACTGAGGCCTGCTCCGTCCTGTGGGGAAGAGAGGCCAGCAGAGAAGGGGAGGGCAGGGACCCCTGCTGGGAGAGCTGGATTCTAATATTCCCTGCCTCCCATGTCCCCAACTCCTGCCCGCTCCTGTTCAGACTGAGGGGCCGAGGCTCTGGGCCCAGGAACCCCTAGGCCTCCGCAGATCTGGGGAGCAAAACCTTGGGCAGAGCAGCCCTGAGGGGCCTCTCTTGCCTTCCCAGGCTCCTTGGTCTCTCCTGCTCCCCCACTGGGAGCACAGGATGGGGATCTCAGCTCAACCCAGCCCAGCAAGGCGGGGTCTGAGAATAAGCATTCTGGAGGGGCCACAGAGGCCATCTGCCAACGCCCCTGCATTTCAGATGGGGAGGTGGGATCCAGGGGAGGATCCCCTGATTGATGGAATGAGAACCAGACCCATTCCTTGCTCTGAGCCCACACTAATCTCTGCCTGCAGTCACTCCGTTGTGTCCGGTGGGACCAGAGATCCTTCCCTGTCCCCCTCTGGCAGGCTGTGTGTCAGCAGGCATCCCAGATCTAGGAGGCTACAGGACTCCTCGCTCTGGGGATTGGGGTGGGAGACTGACCTTTTACTTCCAGGACGTAAGTCCCACCTGCCCACAGTCTCTTCCAGAATTTTTGTGCCCCCTCGGGAGTAGAGTCTGAGAGGGGGAAGAGGCCAGGCTCTGATCTGCCAGAAAGGGGCCGTACTGGGCAGAGGTGAGAGCGCCAGCTTTGTCCACAGCCAGACCCAGCTCCACCACAGCTGGACTCTCGCCAGCTTGGGCATGTCCTAAGCCCATGGGTGGCTCACTTCTGCCATCCACATAACAGGTGACATCTCCTGCCTGCCTCCCTCCCAGGCTGGTTTGGAGTTTGCCCAGAGCAAACCCAGGAAGGAATAGACTGAGAGGAGGGTCCTCATGCGAGGAGGACTCTCAGAGGCACTTCCTGGGGGTGGCTCAGGTGCGCCCTCTTAGTAAAATGCTCCTCAGATGCAAGGGCAGGTCTTTGAGTCATGATCTGTGAGCACAGCCAGTCCCAGGACAGACTCCAGGGGTAGTGCCTGGGGATGGCAGTGATCCAGCTGTCTGTCATCACCTGGAGTGACAAGGTCTTCTAGTGAGGGCTTTTAGCAAGGCTCTGAGCACCATGGCCCCCATCCTCTGCCTCTCAGCGTGCTCACAGCTTAATCCCCAGGCAGCCCTCACCTGCCTGGACCCTGCGCCTACCAGCTCCCTGCCTCCTACAGGCTGTTTGACGTCGGAGGCCAGCGATCTGAACGCAAGAAGTGGATCCATTGCTTCGAGGACGTCACGGCCATCATTTTCTGTGTCGCGCTCAGCGGCTATGACCAGGTGCTCCACGAAGACGAAACCACGGTGAGTGGCCTGGGCCCCCCGGGCAGGGGGCAGCGCTGAGGAGACGGCCGCAGGATAGGCCAGCCCTCTGAGCACTGGGCCTCGGGTGCCCACAATGGCTCTGGGGTCCAGCCAGCTGTTGTGGTTAGAGGTTTCCATCATGGACAGGCCGTGCCGGCACTCCACCAATTCTGTATTGCCAAGGCAAATGCCTCATGATGCCAGTGTGGCAGAGCCTGTGTATGCAACCTGATCACACAGAGCCGTGCAGAATGTGCCTCTTCCATAAACTTGGTGGAGTCACAGAGGCCATCAGGCCATAGCAAATTTAAGCAAACCCTAAAAAAACCAGGAGGCAGCCAAGCAAGAATGTACAGGCAACAGAAATAGCAGTCTTAGCCTGACAGCCATCCCTGGGGCACTGGCGTCAGATGCTGCTGAAGCAGCATGGGGCCGGGGATGCTGAGGGAGAGGTGGGGAGGGCCCAGGATGCTGCAGGAGAGTTGCGTGGGGTTGGGGGTGCTGGGGAGCAGTGTGTGGGGCTGATGGGCCAGGAAGGGCAATGGGGATGAGGCATGCTGGTGAGTGACAGTCGTGGCTCTGGGCTCCTTTGCCAAATGCCAGACCAGGCTCCTACCTTCTGTCTTGCGTCACATTCAGCCTAGGGCCTCAGTGAGGGGACATTCCCCTGGGAGAGTGCAGCCTTCCTCTGGGTCTAGTCCTGGCTCTGCTACTCACTGGCTTGCTGCTGAATTTAGGCAGCACCCTTTCTGGCTCAGTTACTATTTTCCATAAAAGGGAGATAATAATAGTACCTGCCTGTGGGGGGCTGTTGGCAGTGGGGTGGGTGATGCGTGTGCAGCGCTCTGGAGCTGTTTCTGGGACAGCAGCGCCAAGCTGGTGGTTGTACAGTTGCTGGTGATTGCCCTGAGCCTGCAGGTCCACTGCGTGGTCCCCTTCTGGGCTGCAGCCCGCCAGGCACCGAGCATGGCCCACAGGGTCACTGGAGACAAGCCCCAACACTCCTGACAGCGGGGCCCATAGGCTATGGGGTCACAGCCTGGCGTCTGTCATCTCCTTCTGTCTGGAACACATGCAAATCCCCCACCCCACGCCTCTGAAGGCTGGCACCGAGGGTTTGAGGTTGGAGGTGGGGCTTGTTGTCATGCTGGGCCTTGAGCGAGGCCTGTCCTCTCTCTGGGTCTGTTTCCTCGTCATTTCTGGCCCAGCTGGTCCACTGGGCTTTGTGAGGATGGGATCAACTTTGGGGTGTGGGCTACGGGGCACAGTGCTATAGGGAGGAGGAGCCGCCGCCCTGAGGGGCTTACACAGAGTGATGGGGCTTTGGGCTGGTGGTGTGGGTAGTCTGGACCCGTTCCGTGTACAGGCTTACCCACCTGACTCTTCCTATTTCAGGCCCACCTGTACCCCTGACTTGGGTTTCTGCTGTAATTGTTCTCAATGGCATCTGCAGGCAGTGATGTCAGTCACCAGCCCAGTCTTGATGCTGAGTGGGGCAAGGGTGGATGCGCTTCCTGGGCCGTGCTTGGACCCAGACTCACTGACCACCCAAAGCCCAGGTCAGCTTCCTGGCCATGTGCCCCTCACAGTGACTACCCAGACATTTCCCACTCCCCACTGCTAGACTCTATGCTATTACGGCCACTGCTCCAACTCCTGGGGTCTGAGCTCCACTTGGCTCATCTTTTTTCCCCCATGTCCACCACGGTTTCAAAGAGAGCAAAGGAGCTAGAAGCAGGAAGCCAGGAGGGCCCTTCCCCCTGGAATCCAGCCTCTCCCTGGACCTGCCCTGCCAGGCCTGTGGATGGCTTCAACCCAAGTCCCAGGCCCACCGGCCATGGGGCTGGGCTCTCGCTCACCTCTGGAAGATGGAAGCAAGGGACGTCTGGGTGAGCCTAGCAGCCACAGGCCCTGAGCTCTGCAGCCCATGGGTCCCCAGTGAGCATGAGCCTGGTGCTGGGCCTGGCACTGGGTGACCTTCCAGCCTGCGGGCCTTGCTGCCTGGAGCACTTGCCCTCCGGTCTTCTCCACCTTCTCTCACCTCCCTTTTTCCCCATTTCCCCCACCCTTCCACACAAGGGCTGGAGCAGAGGACCTTGGAGAAGCCAAAGCAAATGGAGCCAAGGTCACAGGCAGGCTCTTCCTGTGTCCTTCCTTCCCCAAGGCTGGCCACCTTTGCAGCCCGGGGAAGAGTAGCAGCTCGTGCAGGGAATGGGGATGACTTTGCAACCTGACAGCAGCCACAAAGGCAGCTCATTGCCGTGGTGGCAGCAAGAACAATACTGGCGCTGTAGAACTAAGCAGTCATCGCCGTGCGCTGGGGGCGCATGCAGAGGTGGACAGCTTGGGAGTCAGACAGATCTGGTCCAGGGTCTAGCATCACCCCTGCCGCCTGTGTGATCATGGGCAACCGCCCCACCCTGCCCGGGCCTGCACCTCCTCCTCTGTAGATGGTGACAATGGTAGAATGGACCACCGGGCTAAAAGCTGTAAAAGTGCCTGTACACAGGAATCATCACTCAGTGAATAGCTCCTGTGGCTACAACATTCAGATGCCATGGCTAGAGGTCAGGTTCTAGGATGTGGGAGCTCTGTCTGCCTCAGGGAGGCAAGAGCCAGGCCCCAGGAACTCAGGCCTTGGTCCTCAGCCATCCTCTCTGGTCAGCGCTGTGCATCCCTCTCTGGCCTGGGGTGAGAGCCTGCAACAAAGGTGTCTGGAAGCAGCTTCTGGAGCCAGGCCAGGAGAGCCCTGGGGCTAGTGGCTGCCACTGGCCATCCAGCCGCCCTGTCCGCTGCATCCCGGGAGCCCGAGAGCCTGGTCCTGGCCTCGTACCTGCTCTCAGCACCGCCCAGCCGGGCCTGCGGCTGCCACAGCTTCTCCACTACCACGGTCGCCTCCACTGCCTGCAGGGCCTTATCTTGCCAAACCAAGGCCAAAACCAGTTCTGAGAGACCCTCCAAGCCCGGAAGGTATGAAGCACCTCCCTCCAACTGAATCCATCAGCTAAGAGTTGAAAGCAGCAGGTTCTCAGGGCACCGCTGGGTGACTTTGCTGTGATGCCTGCCCAGCCCGCCCCTGCGCCCACACTCCTCTCCAGCCACTTGGCCTGGGCTCATCCCACCCATCCTGCATCTCTTGCCCTGCAATCCACAGGCCCAGGATGGCCATGGCCCCTGTGAGCCCGCACCGGGCTCTCTGCAGGAGCTAGCCAGGATGCCCTGGCCCTGAGACTGGTTGAACCAATTTTTCAGTATTTTTCTCTCTTTCTCTTGTTGGGTTTTTATCTTCTCTGTTTTCATCTGTTTTGCTGTGTTTCATCTTGGGGTTCCTCTGGCCCCTCTACTGAGAAACCAGCCCCAACAACCAGTTCTCCCAGAGCCTCCCCCGCTCCAGCCCACCAACGAGACCACCAACCACACCAAGGCCACAGCAAGCTCACCCCCGAGACGCTATTCCCTGGTGTCTGCTTCCAACTCGGGATTAATTCGAGGATCTCTTAGTCCTCAGTTAATGTTTCCCAACTGAATGCGTGCACCCTTCCAACCTTGCTGTCAAAACCGAATGAGACCCTGGTAGAGAAATCTGCATGAGCAGGGTTCCGCGCAGATGCGTTCGGTGGTGGTTGCGGCCCCTGCGCTGTACGTGCATGGTGCATGTCCTCTCCGTGAGCTGGAGCCTCTCCAGTGACCTCACTGCCCCCACCTGGGGCCAGCTCTCTTTGGAAGGGGGCAGCATCCCCCAACCCTGCCCGGCCCTGCTCCGCCCCGCCCTGCCTGCGTGTGGAATGAAACAGGACCACGTCCCGTCTGTCCTTGTGGGTCCTCCCGTCTCCGTCCTGGTGGTCTCCGTCCCGGTGGTGCATCCAGCCACATTGGTGGACCTTCCCTTTGCTTGTCCCGCTGTGTCATTGGCCGCGGTGGGTCAGGGCCCTGGATGCTGCCGCCCCTCACTCACCCCTCCACTCTGTTGCAGAACCGCATGCACGAATCCCTGAAGCTTTTTGACAGCATCTGCAACAACAAATGGTTCACAGACACGTCCATCATCCTGTTTCTTAACAAGAAGGACATATTTGAAGAGAAGATCAAGAAGTCCCCGCTCACCATCTGCTTTCCTGAATATACAGGTAGAGACCCCTCCAGGGACAGCAGGCCCCCGAGGGAGCGGGCCCCGTTCCCAAAGCCCAGTCCACCCTTCCTGTGCTCTGTGGATGCCCCTGACTCTGCCACAGAGAATCCACACAAACGGTCCCCCACCCTGCCCCCAGATTGTGCTCTAGAGAGGAGGGGCAGCTAGCCGGGGCTTCCTCATCAGGGAAAGCCGGTAGAGCCCTGGCTCTGCCACTTACGAGCTGTGTGACCATGGCGGCCTCTGGGAGCCTGAGCTCCACTGTCTGCGCACAGGGGCTCTCTGTGACGAGACGAGCAAACGCCGAGAAGATGAGGGGCGGGGCACAGAGGCTTGGAGTTAGGCAGCCCAAGGTTTATGCCCCAGCTCCGCCACTCACAAGCAGCTCAGGCAGGTCATGCAGCCTCTCTGAACCTCAGTCTCTGGGTCTGTGAGATGGGGTGATGGCTGTGATTGCCCTCGCCTCCCTCACCAGGTGCTATGAAGAGGGAATGAGCTGATGGGCACGCAGAGCTTCGCGTGGTGCCGCACATAGGAAGCGCTCCCTGCCTGTCTGCTCTTGCCTTTAGGGTTATGCCTGTAACTCACACGGGGCTGCTGCAAGACTCAAATCACAGAGCTTTGCAAGCAGCAGAGCCCTGGCCCCCTATATAGGGTGCTGGGGATGAGAGGCCAGCCCTGCCAGTGCTGTGGTGGGTTTACCTGACCATGGGGTGGGCGGGCAGCCAGGAGGGCAGCATGACCAGGGCCCCTGAGGAGCTGCAGGTTGGCAGCTCTGGTCAGTGACACCAGAGCGGTTACAGGGCCCCAGCATAGCTCGGGTGCCCATCAGCTCTTCTGAGATGGCCAGACCCTGTCCAGAGAAGTGAGTGGGAGGAGAAGTGGGGCACCCTCAGCCCGACCTGCCCTGAGGCCTTGGAGGGCACAGAGCAGGGGCAGACAGAGTCCCAGTGGGGCATCCCGGGGGCTTGGGGCCAGGCAAGCAGCACAGCTCTCCTACCTCCTGCCTCCGCCCATCCCCCCATATCAGGCTGAGTGCCTGGCAGGCCAGGACCCAGGCATGTCCAGCTGGAGTTGAGTAGGGCTCAGCCTCCCTGGAAGCTCCCAGCCAGCTTCCTCTCTAGCCATAGTTGAGGGCCTGTGGATCCTGCCCTAGTGACCCGGGCTTGTGGCCTGTGGGGCAGTGGAAACAGGTGGGGTCGGTCAGTTACCAAGGCCAGTGTGGGCCTGGAGTGGGGAAGGAGGAGGGGACAAGGGAGGCTGAGTAGTCAGCTGCAGTCCTAGGACACTCCCCAACCTCCAGCCCAGATTGAGCAAAGAGCTGAGGTCTGGCAGGCCCTCCAGGCTTTCTGCACAGCAGCCCACTCCAGCTTAGAGCTGCGGCTCTGAACTCCAGCTCCCCTCCCTGCTGCCCCCTCCACAGCCCTGCTTGCACCTGGCATGGATTCCTGGAGGCTGAGGGCCTTCAGTGCAAAGCTGGGGTCCTGTTCTTCTGCCCCTTCCCAAACTAGAAGCTTCTCTCCTAGACTCTCCTCTCCCTGAGCCTACCTGAGAACCAGCTCAGTGTGTTGCCCCCTGAGGAAGGCAGCATGTGAGCCAGGCGGTTGTTAATCCCCTGTGAGTGGACAGCAGAAACAAGAAGTTTATAGGCTTCTTCTCCCATCTGGCCCAGCAGTGGCCACAGGAGGTGATATCAAGGCCTGCTCTGTGGACTCCCAAAGGAAAAGGCCCACCCACAGGGTGTGCATCGACCAGGGCTACCTGCATGAGCCCAGTGCCCTCAAACTTCCTTGCTCATGACCCATGATAAGATATAACATTTGCCTTAGGAGTCCATAAATGGCTGGGCATGGTGGCTCACACCTGTAATCCCAGCACTTTGGGAGGCCGAGGAGGGTGGGTCGCCTGAGGTCAGGAGTTCGAGAACAGCCTGGCCAACATGGCGAAAACCCATCTCTACTAAAAATGCAAAAATTAGTGGGGCGTGGCAGCACGCACCTATAATCCCAGCTACTTGAGAATCACTTGAACCTGGGAGTCGGAGGTTGCGGTGAGCTGAGATCACACCACTGCACTCCAGCCTGGGCGACAGAACAAGACTCCATCTCCAAAAAAAAAAACAAACAAAAAAGAAAAACAAAAAGAGGAGTCCATAAATGCATGTATAAAAGGAAAATGGAAGTTTCACAAAACGTGCTCCTTTTAATACAGGTGATTGGCCGGGCACAATGGCTCACGCCTATAATCCCAGCACTTTGGGAGGCTGAGATGAGAGGATCACTTGAGCTTAGGAATTCAGGACCAGCCTGGCCAACATAGTGAGATCCCATCTGTATTAAAAATAATAATAATAATAATAATAAGCCAGGTGTGGTTTCCAGCTACTCAGGAGGCTGAGAAGAGAGTATTAGTCACTTGAGCCCAGGAGGTAGAGGCTGCAGTGAGCCCTGATCGTACCACCACACTCCAGCTTGAGCAACAGAGCAAGACCCTATCTCAAAAAAAAAAAAAAAAGATAAATACAAGTGATATACTGGGAGACCTGATATTTTGTATCTTTCATGACTTTTACACTGGATCTGTCCCACTGACTGGATCCAGGACCCCCTATTAACTTTGCTGACCCCTCAGGTCCCCTCCATCAGGTTTTCCCTGTGCAGTTGTCTCTGAGAGGCCCAAGGCCGGATGGCCACACAGGCCAGGCTGGGGTCGTCCATGCCAAGCAGTCCCATGGGCCTCTCGCCTCACCACACCTTGCCTGTTTGCTCTGCAGGCCCCAGCGCCTTCACAGAAGCCGTGGCTTACATCCAGGCCCAGTACGAGAGCAAGAACAAGTCAGCCCACAAAGAGATCTACACCCACGTCACCTGCGCCACGGACACCAACAACATCCAGTTTGTCTTTGATGCTGTGACGGACGTCATCATCGCCAAAAACCTGCGGGGCTGTGGACTCTACTGAGCCCAGCCGCCCTGCCCGGCACCCTTGCCCTGCCTGGCCTGCCGCCCCCCCTCCCCTGGAACCAGGCTCCACCACTCTCAGACCACTCTTTGCACTTGAGGAAGAAGACCTCAGAGGCTGGCACCAAGGGAGGGAGGAGGGAGCATCCTCCACCCGCACCCCCCAACAGAACTTGTGGTAACGCAGGGGCGGGGCGGGGCTGCTGAGTGCATGCTGCAAGGCCAGGAGACTCCACGCTCACAGCCTCTGTGTCATCTCTGAGTGCTTGATCGGGAAGCTGGGGGGACAGGGCAGGGCCCAGATGGGCACACCCTGCACCTGATGACTCACTGGAAGCCTCGGAGTGTCCTCCTGTCATCTTGGGTGGTGCAGGGGCGCAGATGGCCCTGCAGCAGGGTGCTGGCAGGGTGGGGTCATAGGAGCCATCCTTCAGCTTTGCCTGGGGTCTCTGGTGGAGGGCAGTTCCGTCAACAAAAGCCAGGGTGGGATCAGGCCAACTTGGTGTGGGTTGGAGGACTCAGGCCTTGGCGATGGCCTCCGTCTCCCTGCTCCCTCCCCTGGGTCTCAGCCCTTCCTTCTCTGGGTCATCCTCCCTTGCCTTTGCTCTCCCAGAGAACTCCCATCCCTGACTCCTCCGAGTTCTGGAAATGCTTCTTGAGACTGATTTATGGCTCAGATAGATGGTGGCGTGGAGCGGGGGGAGGGAGAGATGGGAGGTGCGGGGAAGGGAGGTGGAAGCTCCTGTGTCACCTGGGCTGGGGCCTCCCGCCCAGTCCTCGCAGGCCAAAGGGTGACCCATTTCTTTTTTCCAGTCACCAGGAGCTCGGATGGTCACTCTGAGGTGTGAATAGATATGTTTTTCCTTCAGTCCACACTGAATTCAACTCAAACCAGCAAAGGCCTTTGGGCTGGGGATTCTGTGGTTGCAGAGGTCTAGAGGGGGTGGACTTTTGCAGCCAGTGCCTCCGCCTCACCGTCTTGGTGAAGAAATCAGCGAGTTTGTTCACAGCCGTTGGTGTCTTCCCAGCCCCTGGGGACAGAGGACAGCAGGGGGATGGAGCTGACACCCTGGAGTATTTGGACCCAGGCCAGCACAAACACACCCCCCTGTCCCCAACTCTAAAGGGAGAGTCCTAGGACTCCTTAGAGGAGGCTTCACTGCGGAGATCCCTGAGCAGAAGGGGGCGGGGTAGCTTCTCCCGGTGACGGTGACGCAGGTCTGGCTGGCCTTGGGCAACCAACACACCTCTCCCACTCCAAGATGCCTCCAGGTGGCTGAGGCCAACGCCCACACCCAGGCCAGTCGTGTGCTTGTACAGCAGGCTGTGCCTGGGGACCTAGATGTGCCATGGGAGGGAGGAGGGTACCCACTGACAGGCCTCTGCCTCCCTCCTCAAGCCCTCTGTTCTCCCTGCCCCCACTCTGGACACTGCTTAGTCCCCAGCCAGGCAGGGCCCCTGGGTTTCCACTTGCAGCCCCCGGACTGCCCCAGAGCCGGGAAGCACCAGTGCCAACAGCTCTGGACTTGTTGGACCCACAGGCACAGAGCTCTGAGTGGTGCCCAGGAGACCCAGGAACCTTCCCTAGTGCCAAATGCCTGCAGGGACCGGTGCCTGGGGAGCCTCTGGCAGCCGGACTGCAGGAGCCACCCCATCAGCCCAAGTCCACCTCTGTTTTGTTCACCTCGGTCATGTTTTGGACCTTGCACCAGGTGCTGGGACGTGGCAGAGGACAGGCCCTGGGAACCAACAGTGTCCTACCATGGACAGCCAGGGCCAGCTAAGCTAAGCCATCCCGCCCAACACAGAAGACATGGCAGTTATTTCTCAGCAGCACCACGCTGGGTGAGGCCAGTTGTTCCGCTTACTCTGCTCCGAACTGTAACCCCAGGCTCAGAAGCAGCCGGCAAAAGGGGGATGCTGGCCACGCCCCACCTCTAAGGCCATCACCCTGGAGGTGGAAGTCACTGGGCTGGAGGGCTCTCCATGTCCCCCAGCAGCCGCCCTCAGAACACAGTGGCCAGAGCACCAGGCTGGGTCCAGGCCTCCAATCCAGGCCTTCCCTGTCCCTAGAACTGGGGCTGGAGGAGTGGGTGCTCAGCCCTTCCTGCCCTCCATCCCCAGCCTGCCTTTCTCTTCCTTTGGATGCTCCATCCTCCTTGGTTTCTTGCACTGCTCTCAATCCTCCCACCCTAGCCTGGGGGTGGTCCTTGGTCCTCAGGGGTATCCGGGGAGAAATTCTCTCCCTGTGCATGACACCTGTCATCCATGTCGTAACCAGCGGCTCCATCTTGTGGGGTGGTGACTGAGGGTGACAAATGAGATTTGGCTCCGTCGTGGATGTGGATGTGGGAGGAATGTTGCGAGTGACACGTGTGGGTTTCTAATCCACAGTGGTCCTGCGTGTGCCCTGAGGGGCCATGGTAACCTCTCCGATGGCTCGGATTTAGCAGGCCAAGCAGAAACTGATTTCTACGAAGAGCGTCTTTGCCAAACTCATGAAAATTGTGCCTGCCACTTTCATGCCTATGGGCCAGTTTTGTGACCTGCGCCGCTGACCATCCTAAGAACCAGGTCTTGGCCTTCCCTCTGAGCACTGATAGAGGTCCCCAAGGCTCTCTGGCCTGAGGAGGGTGTGGGGTCTGCCCAGCCCCAAGCAGAGAGCACAGTCTGGGCCCCTGACCAACAGCTTTGGCATTCTGGGTTCCATGGGGACCCTAGAGCTCAGGCACAAGAACAACACCATACCTGCTGCCAGGACGCAGCTGTCTCCCAGGCCCTCCCCACAGCCCAGCTCCCACTGGCAGGAACTGGACACATCCCTGCCCTCCATGGTCTGCACTGGTCTTCTCTGAGTATTCTTAGGAGCAGAGGCAGCCCCAAGTTCCAACTTGCAAGCCCTGTAACTAAGCTGTCTATAAACCCCAGCAGGGAAGGCCAAGGGATGGTCTCACCCATGCCCTTCCCTTTGGCCAACATGAGTCCTGCAGTGGGGAGCTTAGCCCCTGCTCCCACCTAACACTCTACAGTTAGCACCCAGGGGTTGATTCAGGAAGTTCTTCCTTTTTCTAGCCTGCATCCTTCCTGGCCACCCCCTTTATTTCTCAGTCTGACCTGGTGCACTCTTGGCAAGTGAGTCCATTGCAGTCCCAGGTGGATATTTAATGAGCACTCGGACTGTTTCCTCCAAGTCAGCTAGTGGCCTGCCCTCCTCCTTTTCAAGAAGTCTGGGGCACAGAGCCTCCTCTGGCTGCCTCTTCTCTTCTCTGAGCCTCTGGGAGCCTTCAGGCAAAACCTGGCAGTTCTCAGGAACCCAGACCTGAGGCTCCAGCTCCGCGGCCACCAGAGATTCAGTGTGCAGTGCCGAAGGCAGTCACCCCCAGGCAGTTCCTGCTGTCAGGCCGCAAGCCTAGAGCGCAGGATCCCAGCAGCCCAGGGAACAGGGCCGGCGTGTGAGCTGCTGCCGTGGGGTCTGTGGTAGGGCTCCCCATCTCCCACCCCTCAGCAAGAAGAGTCCTGACCCCTGACCCCACCCTGCCCAGAGAGGAGCTGGGGCCTCCAGACAGACCCCACTGCAGCCAGATGAAGGCCCCTGTCAAAGAAGGGGCAGGCTGGGGGAAAAGCAGAAAGAATGGCCCCCAGTCCAAACTCCTGGATCCCCTCCATGAGAGAGGGGCTCCCCCTGGAACAGAAGCTCTCATCCCCAGGCCCAGTGCACAAGACCACCAGCAGAGACCCACCGCCCTTCCTGGCAGAGCACCACTTCCTGGCAGTGCAGCTCCGAGGCACCACTACTGTCCTCCCCTTCCCTCCCCACCCCTCCCCTCCCTTTCCCTCCTCTCCCCTCCCCTCCACACCTGCCCTGTTACTCCCACAGCTCTGGGCAGCCAGGCCCTCCCCTCCTGCCTCCTGGTCTTCTCTACTCCGCTGGTTCTGACCCATCCCCTGGCTCTGCCCGCCGTCCCCCACCCTGCCCCTGCTGAGTATCTTCTTCCTCCCCACGCACCCCCCTCCCCCATCTAGGCGAGGTGGGCTCGGGCGTCCCAGGCCCTCCTTAGAAAAGCCGTCTCTCTCGAGTGCAGTGGTCCCACCTCCCAACCCCATCACTGCTGCCCACCCCATATTAACTGTAATTTTGTAAGAAGAGTGACTTGTTGGTTTAATAAATCTCTAGTTATTGTAATAATTTATTGGCTGCCATAATGTATTTATTAGTCGCCTACCGTTAATAAAAAGTGCCCGCTTTCCTAGCGTGAGTGTGATGTGTTGTCAGGGCCCAGGGAGCTCCTGCCAGGTGCACTTGCACGATGTGTGTCCTCGGGCCCTGCCCCATCCTGGTCCCAGGACTGCTGGCAGCCTGGCAGAGTGGGCACACTCCTGCTGGGGACAGAGGATCAGGGCGACTGGGCGCCCTGCCCCCCTGTCAGGATCGCCATCTGGTGGGAAGTTGCTCCGTTCTGCGCCGAGCCACCTTCCTGTCCTGGAGAGCTTGGTGGCCACCTGGACACTGCTGTGGGTGACGTGGCAGTGGCCATGGTTGCGCTGGCACTGCTTCCTGCTGCTCCTGGGCCTCCACTGCAGCCTGGGGCAGGTGGAGGTCTAGGGGGTTGGCTGTCAGCCATCTATGATCTCTGACTTCTTTCTCTTTTCTCAAATGGTGGTATCTCTTCTTTGAATGTACCCCGGCGTCTGCTTCCTCTGGGGAGCTTGTAAGGATGAGCTGTGCTCTCAGCTCCTTGGCAATGGGTTCCAGGCAGCGTGCCGAGGGAGGGCAGTCAGGCCTGGGGGGCTGGCAGGGGTCTCAGTGCCGGCGCCTCCCCTGCCCTGCAGGATCTCCCCTCCTCACTGCCCTCCCCGAGTCTCCAGGATCAGCCGCCTTTTGGGGCTCCCTCCAAGGCCCTCTCCCCATAAAACCAGGTTTGGTTATGCCTGTCCTCTGCTCCCCAAGTCCTCCCCTGCACTGCCACTCCTGGGACCACAGACTGTGATCATCTTTCTCCAGCTGGACTCTGAGCTCTCGGAGAGCAGGAGCCTGATGTGGTCATTCTTACATCCTCGGGGCAGCCCAGCAGAGAGCCCTGCACACAGATGCCAGGCAGTACTGACTGGAGGAGCGAGTGTGGTGTGAGTCGTGCTCTGTGGCCCTGAGATGTAGGGGCTGTGGCGGGGGCTCAGCCTTAACCAGTGGAACTGTGGAGCCTAAATGAGCCGGACTTGATTTCTCCTCCACACCTAAGCTCAGTGGCCAAGGGGGCACAGTCCCCACTCCCAGCTCAGGTCACTCTAGTGGCTGCTCCTGGCAGTGCCTGGGAAGATGTGCAGTGGAGGAGGGAGCTTGGCTCTGGCTGTGGGTTTCCAGCTCTCTGTTAGGCAGCTGCAGGCCAAGGTGGCTCTGTGGAGTGGGGAGCATGTTCCTGTGGAATCCTTGGGGTCTCAGAGCCTCACCACTCTGGCCTCATAATGTGGCTCAATGAGCTTGAGTGTGGACAGCCCGAGGCCCTGGACACAGGTTCACTGGGCCTCCCAGAAGCCTCCGGCTGCCCTTTTCTGAACAGATCCCAGTGAGGTGGCTCAGGGCAAGCGAGACCTGCTCCTCCCCGGAGGGATCACACAGATGACAGGGAAATGCTCCTGGGGAATCAGAATGAAATTTACTGATTGAGGATAGGAGAGTGATGAGATCATATGAGTTTACTGAATCTGTTTAGCAGAATGAAAGGGCAGTGCCGTGTACTACAGCTCCTGGGGGGTGGGGAATAACGCCATGCCAGCTGTCCAGGTGCCCCTGAGAGGCAGCTGAGAACGCTGCCCTCCGCCGACCAACTTCAGCTAATAGGAACCAGGGGCTGGGGCTGGCCGCCTCTACAGGTCATGGTAGAATGATGTAGGCACGGGGGAGATACTGAAGGGAGGACTGGCCGTAAGACGCACGGAGCCCGCCATGCTGCTGTTAGTATCGATTCCTCGAAAGCCCCACAGCCTGCTGATATGGACTGGAGAGACCCATTGCATAAGTTCTGGATCTGGCCCAGCTGTGTCACCGCGGTGTCCCCTCAGGCCAGATGAGGTTAAGTGACATGGGCAGGGAGAGCGCTGGCACAGTGTGGGCCTCAGTGACTGGTGTGGTCACTTCATCTTCATTGCCCTCCTTCTGCTCAGAGGGGGGCGGTGTGGCAGTGGGACCAGCAATTCCTCAGCACCCACGGTGTGCTCACCCCTGGGGGAGGAGGTCATCTCCCCGTAGATGCCCAGTGGCATCTACACCAGCTGTCTTCTTTTTCTTGTTACTTGTGTCACTCTTCTTATTTCAGAGGTAGAGTTTAGCCTGGTTCACCTCTGGGCTTTAGATCCAGAGAGCTGGGTTTACAGTGAGCAAGTTCCCAGGGCTAGGACAGGGTTCTTGGGGAAAATAAGGGAAACTGTCCCTTCCTCCCACTCCCTGTGCAGAAATGGATTCGTTCACAGAGAAAGATGCCCTCTGTGCTGCTGAGAGACAGACTCTGCCCAAGTGAATGAGCTCAGCGCCCCAAAGCAGAGTTTTTGCCCAGGGCAAGAGGCTGCCCCCGTTCGGCATCTGTGGGGCGCCCATCACGTTCATCCATTTGCTAAACAGGCTCCTGTGTGCAGGGCAGCCCTCCACATCTGCCTTGCTTAGAACATCATGCAGTGTCAGATGCAGCTGAGTAGGACCCAGCCAGAGGAGGTGTGGCCAGTCCCCCAGGTGCTCCTGGAGGTGGCCCTGCCAGGAGCCTCTCCCCTGAGTGGTGGCACCCAGGATGCTGGCAGGACCTGGCATGCCTTCCCCTGAGACCATAGGAAGGGCCCGGAGTCTCTCACCACTCCCAGAGAACATCCCCCTACCCAGGATGGGCCCAGGAGGAGAGGTCTAGGCAGGAAGGGCCAAAGCCCAGCTCTCCGGCTCCGGTCCAGACTCCCCCAACGCCCACACACACAGGCACACACACAGGCACGCACACACACTCAAGCACATGGATGCACACAGGCATGCACACACAGGTGCACACACATAGGCACACATGCACACGAACACACACAGGCACACATAACAGGTGCATGCACACACACACAGGCACATGCACACAGCCACACACACGTGTGCTGGGAGACCCTCACATAGCTGGGAACTCTGCAGTGGGGAGAGCCCGGGTCACCCTGTCCTCAGCCTCCCCAGAGAGCCATGGCTGGTGTCCAGTCCAGTCTCTGCCTCTGGCCCCGACATGACGGGTTCTCCGGAAGCAGGGAATGAGATGTGCTGTGAGGTGTAACTGACTCAGGTTCCATCTGGCAGCCTCTCGGAGGAGCTGCCGAGTAGCCCAGTCCCTCTCTGTCAAGCCTAATTCTCTCCTTCTCTTTCCCTGTCTCTGTGTCTCCCTCCCGCTGTCTGTCCTCTCTCCTCCCTTCCTGCGGCCGCAGAACCGCATGCACGAGTCTCTCATGCTCTTCGACTCCATCTGTAACAACAAGTTCTTCATCGATACCTCCATCATTCTCTTCCTCAACAAGAAAGATCTCTTTGGCGAGAAGATCAAGAAGTCACCTTTGACCATCTGCTTTCCTGAATACACAGGTGGGTGCCAGGCAGTCCTGTGCAGGGGGAAGCCTGCCCCTGACAGGGACCCATGGCTCAGAGAACAGGCTGCTCGGCCAGCACTGCTGGGGCTAGCTGGCGAGCGGGACCCATTGCAGGAGACTGGTGGGGCGCAAAAGAAAAACAGTGCTGTGCCACCAGGTTTGGGCTTCCCAGGACACAGCCCTCAGCGTGGTGGAAATGGCCCCTCCTAAGATATATGTGTTAGGACCAAGTGACTCAGGAGTGGTGGGGAGCAGGGGGCAGGACAGGATCACAGGCTTCCCCCTTCCTCCTGGTCACCCTCTAGAAGAGGTCTCAGGACAGCCTCCTGTAATCTCAGCAGTGGCCTCCCCTCACCCCTGCCCAGAGCCCCACAGCACCTTTGCATGAAACCGAAAAGTGGACACGTGGCCTGTGAACAGGGCCTGGACTGCCTCTTGGCCCCACCTGCTTTCCCTGCTCCCTGCTTTGGTGCCCGGAACATGCTTCATCTCTGTGCAGCCGCCCAGCCAGACCACTCCACCCATCCCACATCGTGCCTGCCCTCCCTCCCCAACCCCAGCCCCATTGCGCCTCCTCTCTCCCCTTCTTCCTTCGTCCCTGGTCTTTGCCCCAAATCCAACCACTCCAGCTATCTGCAAGCCTCCTGTATCACTGCCTCCCTTTCTTCTGCCTTCTCTGGGGCTTTCTTCTTGCTCTCAGGGGAATGTGTCACAGACCTTCCCCCCCACCCGGCTCAATGACGCTCTTTCCAAATGGATGGATGAGGGATGGTGGCTTCCGTGGAATGGGCCAACTCTGGGCTACTGCTAATGCCTAAAAGCAGCACTGATGGGATGCCAGAGCCCAGCCCTGGTCCCTCTAGGGGCTGGGAAGCTTCTAGGGGTCCCTGGGGTAGGAGTTGCCTTTGCAGACTACAGAGTGCACAGGGCCAGCACCCTGCCATGGAGGAGGAGGTGTCCTGTCATCCGCCAGGTCAGGGCACAGGTTGGCTCGGCCAGGAACCCATGTTCTGACAGCCCTGGAGTAAGGCTTTGGGCATGGGCTCAGTCTCAGGGCCACACGGGTCCCCAAGCTCAGCCACAGGGTGCCTACATCCAGCATAGGTCGATGCTGGTCTCCCCACCCTTCCCCACAGCTGGGAGCAGTGTGTGAAGAAGGGCTGTCAGCTTGTTCTGAGCACAAACCGTGTCCTCACTGATGGTCCGTGCTAATGTGAATTTGCAAGGTTCTTGCCCTTCCCAAGGTGCAGAGCAGGAGGTGGGGCCAGGAACTGTGCCCTGCACTCGAGGCTCTCCAGCAAAGTCCCAATAGGGCAGAGAGCCCAGGTAGCCTCTGGAGCCAGACCACCTGCAGCTCAGCAAGTTGCTCAGTCATCTGTGCCTCATTCTAATCTGGTCAACACAATGGGTAATCATGCCCACCCCAAGGGTGACTGGAAGGACAGCTGCTTGGTGCCAGGTCTACTGAAGTGCTGGCTGTGGCTGCCATTGGTATTATTCAGAGGATGGAAACTAGGGGAGGGGGAACTGGCCACGGAGAAGGTGCCCTCTGCAGGATGGAGTGAGGGCAGGAGGGCACAGGACAAGCCCTGAAAGGCCAGCCCCAGGTGGCCCTTGGGCAGAGCCAGGCTGTAGCCCACTCTGGCAGCCACTCCTGACCTCTCCCAGCCACAACGATGGAGTCCAGTAGGCCCCCTCAGGCCAGGGCTACCCTCAGAGACAGGCCCAACCCTACGGCTCTTTCTTGCCCAGTGTCCCACTGGGGCCTGACTTGGGAGTGGCCAGTCTCACTGCTGTGGAGTGCAAGCACTAGATGCCCCAGCGAAGGGCAGTTGGAACCTGAGAAACAAGTTCTCCAGGGCCTTCAGAGGAATCCAGTTTGAATTCAGGTATCATGGATGACAGATGGTCACCAGTGCAGTGGCCCCATGGAGTGCAAACCTGTGAGGGCACAAAACAAGCAGCAGGGGTGGGACGGGAGGTGGCCGGCTGTCTAAGGGACGTGTGGGCCAGCATGGCTGGGTGGCAGCAGGGCTGTGTGAGGACGCTGGGCTCGGCAGACACAGCGAAGGCACGAGGCGCTCCTCCCACCTGGACGGCTTCCTGTGGCCACCTTCCACCCTGGGCTGTGCCCAGTTCGGCTCTCTCCAGACAGGAAGCTCCTGGGCAGGGTCCACACGGGCTGCTTTGTCCAATCCTTAACAGCTGTGCTGTGGGCTTGGCATCTCTGCACCAGTGGATCAAGGATGAGGCTTTGCACTGTGGGTCCAGGCACTCCTGCTGGGCTGCCCAGAGCTGGTCTCAGCCATGACAACCCACCCAAGGCTGTCCCAACCCCCTGCCCCTTGCCCCTTGTACACCCAAGGAATTGGTGGGGACAGAGGGCCCCCAGTTGGCATCATACATGCTGATGTCCCCTTAAACTTCCCACCTTGGGGACATCAATGCCCCAATGTCCTGGCCACTCGCTTAAGAACCACGCCTACTAATGATATGCTGCCAGCCCTGCCAAGTGGCCTCTTCTTAAAGGAAACCAATGAGGAAGGAGTGCAGGTCCCTCTGAGTGCCCACCACCCTCTTGGGCAGGCCCCTCTCCAGACTTTGTTTTCATGGTTTACTGGAATCAGCAGGATTGGTTTAGACCATGGGGCGGTGCCTCAATTTGCTCATCTAGGAAGCAAAAGCGTTCATCTGTGGCCACTGCTGTCCCAGGCGGGGCTTCCGGGTGGATCTGGTGTGAAAACAGTAAGAGATCTTGCAAAGTCCAAAGCCAGGCAAATGCTCAGCCTGTGTATGGTTGGTGCAAAAGTAATTGCAGTAATTGCAGTTTTGCTATCAAAAGTAATGGCAAGGCCAGGCGTGGTGGCTCACGTCTGTAATCCCAGCACTTTGGGAGGCCGAGGCAGGTGGATCACCTGAGGTCAGGAGTTCGAGACCAACCTGGCCAACATGGTGAAACCCCGTCTCTACTAAAAATACAAAAATTAGCTGGGCGTGGTGGCACGCGCCTGTATTACCAGCTACTCAGGAGGCTGAGGCAGGAGAATCGCTTGAACCTGGGAGGCAGAGGTTGCAGTGAGCTGAGATCGTGCCATTGCACTCCAGCCTGGGCAATAAGAGCAAAACTCTGTCTCAAAAAAATAGTTCTTTAATTTAAAATGCAACTATGGCTTGGAACTGCCCAGCAGTTCCTACTGCTCCCTTCCTGTCTCATCCCACTTCCTGGGACACGCCACAACCCACTTCTTGTCTTCATGTCCCCAGCCCTGTCCACCCACAGCGCTCATCAGGGCCTCTCCCCGTTCTTCTGTGTCTTGTTACAGGCCCCAATACCTATGAAGACGCAGCCGCCTACATCCAAGCACAATTTGAAAGCAAAAACCGCTCACCCAACAAAGAAATATATTGTCACATGACTTGTGCCACAGACACGAATAACATCCAGGTGGTGTTCGACGCCGTCACCGACATCATCATTGCCAACAACCTCCGGGGCTGCGGCTTGTACTGACCTCTTGTCCTGTATAGCAACCTATTTGGTAATGATTCCAGCACCCACAGAACAGCTTGCGTGCGCGCGCATACACACACACACACACACACACACACACACCACTAACAAATGCAAGTTGGTAAATAAACTTTAAAGAGGCATAACAAAACCTTATATATATATATATATATACAAATATATATTTAAAAAATCTTTTTAGTTTGTACTAGAAAGAGCTGCGGACAGAACTGACCACCATCCCATAGCTCATGGAGGTTTTCCTGGGACGGCACGTGAGCATGCACGTGTGTGTGTGTACACACACTCACACATGTCCAGATGGGAGCTTGGTTTGGGAGTCCCTCCTTTTGAGGATAGCCCCGGGGTGTTCCTCTCAGCCCCATTTCTGAGAACAGGTGAATGGCAGAACAGCCCTGGCCTTGGCCCAGCCAGCTCTCTGTGTTGCGCCCTTAGAGCCTCTGCGCCCTCAGTTCCGTCCTGCTCTTGGCAAATTCCAGACCCTTTCAGAAATGGCCGAAGCCCTAAGCCTCTCCTCACTCTGCACTCCCAAAAACAGAACAATTTAAGGATGCTTCTCTTTCGGGTGGTGGTGGTTGTTAATTTCAGGAATTTAGAAGAATCATTGCTCCGACCAATCCACTGTCTCCTGAGTTTTCTTTATTCATGTTAAGATGGCAAGAATCAGAGAACAGGGAGACTTGGTCTGCTTTCTAAAAGCAGCTGACAGGAGGGGACTCAAGTTCACCTGCAGAGTTGAAACCAGCCCCGCTCCAAGAGGGCATGTGGGAAGGTGGGGAGCGAGGGGAACAGGCGTGGCGGGGAGGGCCGGACTTGTGGGCCTGACCCGAGTCAGGGTCTCAGGGGGGGGCCAGGCTTCCCCAGGTGCCCGGGATGGGCTTCAATGGGGTTCCTGACCCCTCGTGCTGCTGCCCCATCTCGCCCAACCCCAGCAGTAGTCAAAATGTTCTAGGGTTTTTTGGTTGGTTGGTTGGTTTTTAAAATCAAAGAAAATGGTCAGACTGGACCCCTTATCTCTCTCTCTACAGACTGCTTCACGGACTCTTTGCTGTTGACGTTGATCTCCTGGTAGCATGACCTTTTGGCCTTTGTAAGACACACAGCCTTTCTGTATCAAGCCCCTGTCTAACCTACGACCCCAGAGTGACTGACGGCTGTGTATTTCTGTAGAATGCTGTAGAATCCGGTTTTAGTTGAGTCTTCACATTTAGAATTTGAAAGGAAAAACAGAACATTTCTCATGTGCTTTGTAGCTTAAAAAAAGGAAAACTCACCATTTCATCCATATTTCTTTTTCTTGCAAAACAAACATACCCATCTGCACCGACGCCTGCCCCCGTCCCACCTCGCGGCGCAGCCCCTGGAGCTCCTGCTGGGGGGCAGGGCCCATCTGCCGCCTGGGGCTCCGGTGCGGTGCACTGGTCCGAGGAGTGTGCTCAGGCCGGGCTTTCCAGAAGGCCACAGGCCACTGCAAACCCTGCTGCCTGCCGGCCGCCCAGACACCACAGACGCCACCTGGCGGCCCTAAGCCACTCCCGCCACACGCTCACTCCAGGTTCGTATAGAAAAAGCACAGCTCTCACTGGCCAGTAGCTGCCAAAAAGAACACCCATCGTATAAGGAAATCCAGCCCCATAGAAAACAATCTGCCCACCGACCCCCTTTCTAAGGATAGCCTTTGTAGGGGTTTTTTGGTTCCTTTTTTTTTTTTTTCAGTTTTTGTTTTTACTTTTGTCCCGCCGAGTACTATGTATTACCAGCCCCCCACCCCACAGATCAGTTTTCCTAGTCTTTGGGAAACGGGTTGTGTTTTTTTTCCTTTGCCGTGTTGGATTTCCGGTCCCGGCTGACACCTCCCTTCGTGTGTGCGCCCCTCCCCACCCCTGCCTTTGTTTCGGTGCCCTGTGTCCGCTCTCTCATGTGGGGATGTTTGTGCTGCAGACAAAAAGAACAAAAAAAAATTTTTAAATACCACAAGATGGAAAAAAAAAACAAAAAAATTTAAAAAGATGGAATGTAGTGTTTACATTAAAGCCGCCGTTTTCATGACCAATCCTATGTCATTTCTACTTTGACTAATACCCAAACCCTAAACCTCTTCACGGTTTCACTTTTAAGACTTAATCTTTGCTGAAGAAGACCAGTCACAGCCATTTCAAATAAAGAGGAGGCAAAAAGACAAAACACACAAAAAATTAAAAAAAAAAACTTAAAAAAAAAAGGAAAAAAGAAAAAAAAGCCCACGGGTCTTTGTAAGCCTTTCTATTCCCAATCGGTGAGGTTTCTGTGATATCTTACACACTGCCAGTCTACTTCTCTGACTAATGGAAAATTCCTGTGTAGCTCAATAAAAGAGAATGTTTGTCTGTACTCCTGAGTCTCACCCTGTGCCTTCCAACGATGGTTATTTGGGGTGGGCTTCATTCTGGCAGGAGAGGGAAGGAGGGACTCGGCCACACACGCTGGTAGGCCGGTGGTTAGGAGTCCCCCACAGGACCTTCCCATCCCCTCAGTGCCGTCACTGGAGCCCCAGCTCAGAGCACAGTTGACGCGACCACTGCCCAGTGCTGCCTGGGAATGAGGGCAGGGGAGCCGCCACTTTCTCCTGCGATGCCCTCTCCTCCCGGCTCCCGGTGCCTCCTCACCCTCAGTAGGTTTTGTTTGCTTTTGAGAAATGAGGTGGAAGTGGGGATTAGGAAGGAAGAAATGCAAGAAGGGCAGGCAAGCCCCCTCTCCTATCATGCAGGATCCTCTTTCTTCTGTAGCCGGCGGTTCCCCCACAGTGGGAGGATGGGTGGTCCCAAGAATGAGGCCAATTGCCTGAGCCCATCTGCACCCAAGAGTTCCCAGCCACTCACATGCCCAGGACGAGCTTGGGCCCAGCCTGACCAGGAAGGCTGCCTTCGATTTGCTCCCTGACTGCACCTGGATGCCAGGAAGCCCCCTGCAGGCCGAACACGCAGGAGGTAACCCAGCAGTGCAGTGGGGCACACGGAGTCTGATCCCTGTTCCTCCCCTAGACTGTAGGTCTCACCCGTCCCCTACATTGGCCCGCTTTTGCTGTAATAATTAGCAAATGGGTTGCAACGGGGACCTGGAGGCAACGGCAGCCCACTGAACTTGCATCATGTCCACACGCCACTTCCTGTACAAGCGGCCAAGAGCATCATGTATCATGCTGTCTTCAGTGAGATGGGGGAGCTGCCAAGAGGTCAGTTACCTGGAATCCTCTCCACATCTCAACAAATGGGAATTAGAGGCTCAGAAGGGCCTCTCTCGGGCAAGTTCCAGCAGTCTTTTGAATCAAGGGGGTGGAGGCAGGGGATATTGTTTCAGAGACTATGGAAGAACAAGAGGCACTGTGATAAATACCCAACCAATACAGGCACCCCTTAAACCTCTTCTGCTTTCCCCCTGGTTCCCCAAACCCCAACTTATCTGCAGAGAGGGGCACATGACCTACCCTCTCCATTGAGGGGAAGGTTTGCAATCCAGGCCACAGTTTGACTTTGTAACAAACCAAGATCCACATGGAAGGCTGAAGGAAACCATGACATTTTCTATATATGGCACATTTGAATTTTTCTGAAAACCAAGCCATATTCTAATAGGGTTCTTCCCAACTTTCAAATGAGTTTTGCAATAAAACCAACAGAAGTTTATTTGCCTCATTTTTCTTAGAAGGGAGGTCATAGCATTTTTTGGAAAGGATGCAGCAAAAAGGCCAATTAAATCGGAACAAGGAGAGTGGGGGCAGAACCTATCTGATATATATATTTTTAAAGATCCTTTTTCCCCCCTAGTTTATCTGTGCACACAATTGTAAAAAGCTAGTTCTAATTAGAACCAAATCAAATAGGAGATTTACTTCCAATGGCACCTAAATAGCTTCTAAAAGAAATTCTGAGAAAATTGCCTCTATTCAGGAGGTAAACAAAAGGTATCCATCATCACCACCTGTGGAATCCCTCCAGGTCTTTGATCTCTGCCCTGAAACTCTACTGAGAAAGTCTCAGAGTCGCTGTGAACCTCTTCTGGCTCTGGGGGCTGCCAGATTCCTGAACCATTCTTTGCCCAGTTAGACCACCCAATGAAGAGGGGCTCCAAAATGCACTTTTGTTGCCTAGCTGGCAGTTGCTTAAGGCAATAAGACAGGTAATTAAAAGAGTAATTCTCTAAAGGGGGGAAATGCACACAAAACTACTGAGATTATAAAAATGCAGATCCAACCCTTTTTTTTTTTCTAAACCAGGACTAATAACCGACACTGATGTTGGAATGCTAACATCCAGAGAATGATCCGAGCAATATTCCGGCTGAGATCAGATCAGATCTGAAACCAGTTAAAATCCTTTAAACGCTCAATCCGCCTGCTTCGGATCCCAGGCAAGATTTAAAAAAAAAAAAAAAAAAAAGTGGTCCTTTCACTGCTACAGCCAATTCCATTCCCAGAGAATTAGTTCCTTTGGTTTGATATTCATGTGACTTTTGATGTTTGGGGATAAGGCTTTGCCACTTAGGAGAGTATCTTTGGTTAAAAAGACTCAAAAGCCAGAAATATCAGCTGTTTGTCCCAGCTAAAATTGGGTAATATGAGATTTCAAAGGATTTTAAGAGCTCTACGGTTAGAAGTCAGCTTAATTAAAAACTGATATTCAGGATATATGTTTATCTTGGTAAGGCCTTCCTGCTTTTTCTCTTTTGGGATCCTGTTTTTGGTAATTTTTTTTCTAGTTGACTGGAACCCCCTCTCTAAAAAAAAATGATGTGCTTGTTTCCTCTGTGCACTTCAGTTCCTAAAAATCATCCTCCCGCTTACTTCCTCTCTTCCCTCTTTCTTCTCTGCCATCTTGGCTACCACATGAAAAGACCTAGAGGGGACCTCTAATGACTCAGAGCTCTTAAGGAAAATAGAAAAGGCACCACAGACTCCTCTCTTGGGGAGAAATCTGTGTTTCCCCCACAGAACTGGAACCCCAAGAGTTGCAAGTGGACAGATACCTCTCAAGTCAACTCTGCCCTCTTTTGTATTTCATGACTGGATCTCCTTGGTCCCAGAGACTGCTCTGTCCTGCGCTGTGAGAGCCTGACCTTGCGTGTGTGATGGCTGCCAGAGGCGGCTCACTGCAGTTGTTTACAGTAAATGACTCTATCTAAAAGCTCCACAAGTGATTCTAACATGCAGCCAAGGTTGGAACCATGTCTAACCTAACAGATGAGCAGCAGCCCTGCAAGATGGAGGCTCCAAATGACGGAGGGCCTTCGAGGGCAGGCAGGCGGCCGCTGCTCCTTGCCAGGGCTTGTCGGCAAGGCCATGGCTTCCTTTTCCATGTGTGTCCAGCTCCAGCAGGACTGAAAGTCCCCACAGACAGGATCAAGTTGGCTGGCTACAGATAAAAGGACACATTGTCTACTTAGCCCAAGTGGAAAATCAGGCCCAAGAGGCCGCCTGGGCACCTGGATTCACATCAATACAAGTGAAACAGCCACATGGCCCACCATCCTCTATGGTACAGAAGAGCCTCAAAATTCAAAACAAAACAAAAACTGAGGAGAACCTAGGAAGTCAAAACAGGGCCACTAAGAAAATGGAGAGGGCAACACAGCCTCATTCCAAAAGAGCCCACAGAGGCCAGGGGCAGCCCAACCACCATTCACCAGAGCACCCGGATGCTCCTTCTGCTGCGCTTACAAACCTGGACCCACAGCCCTGAGTGCTGCTTCTCCAGGGGCTGGGCGTGAGGACCATCTGCCTGACCCTGCAGCTGGCAGGGCAGCAAAAGTGGTCCTGGGAGGGGAAGCCCCCAGCATAACTGCCACTGCCCTCAGCACCTGTCCCGGACGCCCCCAGGAAGTGGTGAAATCCTCAAGTATCCAGGTGTAAAATGGAAGGGCGGACTGAGAACTTCACTTCTTGCATCATTTTAAGCTACTTAATAAGCTCCTGCTCTAAACACTGTGATATGGCTGTTTTGTAATGTG
Organism: Homo sapiens; assembly: GCF_000001405.40. Lineage (NCBI taxonomy): Eukaryota > Metazoa > Chordata > Mammalia > Primates > Hominidae > Homo > Homo sapiens. Next base: position 56,361,057 of record NC_000016.10, read on the forward strand.
TCAAGACCCTCTAAAATTGATCCAAGTAATTTTCTCTTTTCACACATCAGAAACCTGTGAACATGTGGAATTAGTGGCACCTACAATGGGTGCAACGTGTGAAGTATAATGTAATTCGAGGACAGTAAAATAATCTTTCGCTACACACTTACCTGAAAAAAAAAAAGATATAAATACAAGGGGAAGAAAAATGTAGTTCTGCCTTCCCCAAATACACTACTAGGAAAAACAAAAGTTCCCAATTCAAAAACATGGGAAAAAACCCTCCAACCAAAATAGTATACACAAAATCCAAATCAAAATGGGGTTTAACGTTGGCACCTCTGGAAAAAGATGCCTTAGCTTCCAGCCACACAAAAACATGCCTTAGCTTCCAGCCACACACAACACACCAATAGAGTTTGCTTTTTATTATTATTATTGTTTTACAATAAAAACAAATAGCTATGCTCTCAGCAAAACAAATTAAAAAAAAAAATCACAGAAATTTACTAACAGCATTTCAAGGTAAGGCTTTTGAAAGATTTATTGAAATAAATTATCTTTGCCTAAAAATTTACCTATCACCTTTTTCAATTACTTTTCAACATTCTAAAAACTTTCCGTTATGTAAAATACATTTAAACTTTGCCAATAATTGTGGATAATACTGGATTCTTCCCAAAAGGACTACCACAAAACAAAGCTTTCAAAGAGTAAAAAAAAAAAAAAAAAAAAAAAAAAAAAAAGTAATCCAATGGGGCATAAAACTGAGGTCTGTAACCTATGACTTCATGGTTCAAATCCTTAAAGTTAAACATGTGAAGAATTTGAAGAGATTTGGGACCTGGGCCCTCTCCAAGGCAGGTAGGTTCACACCTTACCTTCTCTGCTGAATTAAACCAGGAATAACACAGCTAGGAAAACGCAGTGCTCCCAGGATAAAAGATACAAAAGTTCTTTTTTATTTCTTTAATAAAGCCCTTCAAGGTTTACTCTCCCATCTTGCAAGGCCCACATCTTGTTCAAGGACCAAACCCACAGGCTTTAGCACTGCCTAATTTACTTCACCAATGAATGAAAACCATAAACCAAAGCTTGCTGCCTAACCACTCCCCAGGTCCAGACGGGACAAGGAAATGCTGAGAGGGGAGGGGACCCATGGGGCACACTCATGAGATGCAGGAGCACCAGAGTTCACGGAAATCAAGCCGGCTTTGGACTGGAGGCTCGGAAAGTCAGTCCCAGATGTAGTGGGACAGAAAGGGGTGACTTCATCACACCCTATAGCCCTGGACTTTCCCCTCCTCTGCTCCAGGTATCGAACCAAGAGTTCCTTTTCCAAGATGCCCTGCTGGCTCAGGGGTGCATGAGCCCGTGGGTCTGGCCTCTGGCACAGTCTACATGCTTCCACAACAACGACAGCAGTTTGATAACAGATGTTACCCCACGACGTGGGGGCGGGCTCACACTGTGCGCCTCCCCCACACTCTTCCCACTGGGTGTGGTGCTCAGGACACCTGCATTTGTGGGACGTACGCATGAGGCAGGAGTAGAAGCTGCCTGCTGCAGGCAGGCGACTGCTCACTTCCTCCTGATCGTCCCCCACCCCAAGCAGTCCAGTCAACACCAGAAGAGATCATACCTACAGTTAAAATTTGCAGTGTTTCTAAGGGGAAGAGAAATGTCACATAGAAAGTATTACAAAGAAGGATTAAATTTATCAGCTGTCCAAACACTATAAGACCACATGCTTTATACAGCGGCAATGCAGTCAAGCCCGCTTTTCCATGGAGCGGGCAGAATTGGGACAGGCCTCCTCCAGTCAGTCGGGCACAGGGCGCAGGAGGCAGCTGAGGAAGGCAAGGGAGCGCTAGGAGGTCTGCTGCTTCTGAAGCCTCCGTTCCGCGGCGGCAGCCAGCATCCTTCGACGCAGGGTCACGGGGTCAGAGGACGCACCTTCCGAGGGGAGGAAGCTCTCTGAGGCCGCATCATCTTCAGAACTTTTGTTCAAGAAACGTCTAGAAAAAACAGAAGACTTTTTCTCTCTCATAGGAGAGATGGGGAGCTGTGGAACACAGCCAGAAGGTTGATTTCACATCTCCCCATGTCCAGGCACCTTCATGAAGCTGTCACTCAGCACCACCCAATGACCAAGACATCCAGCCCCCAACAGATGGGCGCAAATTCTCTCTGCACCAGGGAGGAACCCTTCAGTGCTGTTCCCTGCTGTCTCTTCCTGCCCATCCCCTCCACCCACAGACACAGCACAGAACTCCCACAATCACAGGGTCTGCCAGGGCCCAAACCCACTTGAGGAACACAGTGCTGGCCCTGTCCTTAAGAGCTGGAACAAAACCCCCTCTATCCACAGGACACACCTGCTGTAGCTGCCACCAACCATGGGTGTGTGACGCACAGATGCGCTGAGTGTGTGTACAATGCTCAGCTGAAAGGCAGAGTGGTCAACAGGGAGGACCTGGGAGACAGACGCCAGGGCCAGGCCAGTGCTAACCTCTCCAGCCTCCATTTCTTCAGCTGTATGTCAGCTGAATGGGTTAACAGTGCTCCCTCTTAGAGCTGTTAAAGTAATTCATATAAAGGGCTTAGATCAGGTTAGCACACAAGTGCTCTCTCGGCAAGCGTGGCCAAAGGGGTCCATGGGAGATGACTGACAGTACCAGCATCAGAGGTAGACCAGTGGGGCCCAGTGTTACCAGATGCTCTGGTTTTTTCAAGAGAGGCTTGAAATCTGAGTTTTGGGGTGGCATGTAATGCCGTTTCACTGTTGGCATCTGTTTAAAAAGAGAAGACGGCCTGACAACGGCCTTCAGCCACTAGTTTTTGATCTGGATTATGCCAGGTGGTCTGGAGAAGCGACTCACTTGCGAGCTTGCTGGAGGAGTTCGTCCTTACGCTGCACCAGCATGCGCTGTCTCTCATCAGCAGACTTGGAGAAGCGGCTCCCACGAGCCTCGAAGTCTTCCACCTCACTGGGCTCCACTTCCACCTCGCCGAAGTCCAGCGTCTCCTCCAGGCGAGGACTGAGGTCCAGTGGCACACGCTCGGTCTGGACACGGGGCAGGAAGCAAGGAGGCAGCTGTGAGCACAGGCCTCCCTCCTAAGCAGGTTCCTCACCTACAGGGCACCCCAGACACGGCTGTTCTGGACGCAAAGAGAAGGCTGCTGCCAAGCAGGGAGGCAGAAACTAGGAACCACAAGCTACGGATAATGGAGCAGCAGCTTCCCTGAGGGCAGGCCTGCTGCCTATGGCTTGAGTAGTACTAAGAACAGGACCTGACTCACACAGAATGTTCGGCATCAGAGGGTAAGTAAATGATTACCAGCATGAAAAACGTAAGCACCTTCAAGCTGCACTCTTAGAATACGCTACCAACACGACAACCGTGAGTTTACATCCTGGGAATTTTCTGTTCACTTCTACTAATTGCTCAAACATTTAAACCAGTCTTATCCAATCTTCTGCACAAATTTTATATCCTCAATTGACTCTGAAAACAGAGGTAAAAAGGAAAACTGCTAGGCATCTATTTATTTATTTATTTACAGACAGGGTCTCACTCTGTCACCCAGGCTGGAGTGCAGTGGCACAATCTCTGCTCACCACAGCCTCAACCTCCCCAGGCTCAGGGGATCCTCCCAACTTAGCCTCCCAAGTAGCTGTGACCACAGGCTCGTGCCACCACATCTGGCTAATTTTTGTATTTTTTGTAGAGACAGGGTTTTGCTTTGTTGCCCAGGCTGGTCTCAAACTACTGGACTCAAGCAATCTACCCACCTCAGCCTCCCAAAGTGCTGGGACTACAGGCATGAGCCACTGTGCCCAGCCCTAAGGATCTTTTGAAAAGACACAGGATGGATTATATGGTTCCTTGGCTTTGGTTGAAGCTCCAAAGTCCACGACAATGCCCAGGCACCCCCAGGTCCTAGCAGGTGCCTGACCATCTGCGCTGCTCATGCTCCCAGATGCAGACCTGCGCTGGCCAGGGTCAGCCCATTGCCCGCTTCTAGGCTGTGACAGAATGGAGGTGGGTGCAGCTGAGAGGCAGGCTGTTTTACTTCAGAGTTCCTGCTGGACCTACCCTCACTTTTTCCTGCCTTCAGCTAAGCTCGAGAGGGAACTTCAAGAGAACCATTCGTATCCCCGAGAGTCAAAGGACGGGGGAACTGGTGGCTGCATACACTTGAGAAATCTACAGAAAGAAACTGGCAGGAGCCAATAAAATACAGGGCCAGGGGAGCTGTGACGGGAGCACGTTCACCTTCCACTGACTCCAGACAACACTGTGTGTGTCCTGGAGCTTGGATAGGGCTCCTGCAGGAGGGAACCAACCTAAGGTTGTTGAAAACAACTGTGCCCAAAAGGACCACTTGGAGAGGTAACAGGACCCCCATGAAGGTGGGAGTGGTCATCAATAGCCAGCCCAGGGTCAAAGGAGGAGTTTCTGGGGCCAGATGGGGACAGGGAGATAGTTGGCATAACATGTACACACACACACACAGACACACGTAGTTGGCACAACATGTAGGTACATACACACACACGCACACACACGCTGGAGTCTCACTGTCCTATTCTATCCCTCTCCTCTAAGCCTGACCCTAGAGCAGGTTAGAAAAAATGGTGAGTGAAGAGGCGAGATGTTAGAAAGAAAACAGCCGCCCACCGCAACCCCTGCTCTGTGCAGCTGCATGCCTGACTAATACCAGCCTGAGCGGGGCAGGGCAGAGATTAGAACAGAGGGAGAGTGGAGCTGACAAGCTTACTGGGCTACACTGAGGTTTCTGTTAACTAATTGTTATTCAAGGACTTTGTATTTCTTCACAAATGACCAAAAATGTTGCACAGCAAGGTTCCCTGTGAAATACATACTTTCCTCCATTATATATACATATATATATATAAAATCCAGAACTCTTCATGCTAACTCTAGAAGCAGCAGTGGAAAATCAAGACAGGGACTGAATATGCTGTACCCACAGATGCCCCCAAGCCCACAGCATCCATATCTCAGCTGCGCCAGCTATTCAAAAACTGGAGGCCGGGCGCGGTGGCTCACGCCTGTAATCCCAGCACTTTGGGAGGCAGAGGCGGGCGGATCATGAGGTCAGGAGATCGAGACCATCCTGGCTAACACAGCGAAACCCCGCCTCTACTAAAAATACAAAAAATTAGCCAGGCGTGGTGGTGGGCGCCTGTAGTCCCAGCTACTCGGGAGGCTGAGGCAGGAGAATGGCGTGAACCCGGGAGGCGGAGCTTGCAGTGAGCCGAGATCGCACCACTGCACTCCAGCCTGGGTGACAGAGCGAGACTCCGTCTCAAAAAAAAAAAAAAAAAAAAAAAACTGGAAATGTAGACATGGACCCCTTAGAAGCCATGCACCATTTCACAAATGATGCATAATCCAATTACATAGGTGGATATGAAAATCTTAACCCAGCAACAGATTTGAAGAAGGCCTAGTAGTGTTTACTGTTTCCTCTTTGTAGAGAAAAACACAAGAGGTGAAAGCTTGTGTCATTTACCAGTGCTTCTAGAGGAGACCTTGTGCACCCCAGTAAGGGAAGGCAGCACCACCCTAGACCCAAGCCTGTGTGCAGGAAAGCCCCACATGGCACAAACACAGAAAGGCCAAGGTGGGGTTGTCCAGTTTTTATTTGTGGTCGCATAAGAAAGTGCTCTGACAATATGGTAACTGAGGAAGCGAATGGGAACCACAGAAGAGGAGTGGGATCCAGGGCCACAGGTGTAGGGCAGAGGGCACGGGCAGGGGGTGGGGGGAGGTGGCACCTCGGCCCTGCTGCTTGGAGTTAGGGTGGCCACCTCAAGGCACCCAAAGTGGGTCAACAAACAGATCTGGTTCTCAAGAAAGCCATGTTTTCCCCCCAGCCCCACTCAGCTCAGGCGGTCTCAGTTTTGCAAAATGCATGGATGTATCTGGAAATCCTGAGTTTGACAAGTGAGGTGTGGGGGAGGGCATCTCAATGGCCTCGGCTCCCTGGAGAGCTTGCCCTAGGCCATCCCCATCTGAGTTTAGATGGGTCCAGGCACCCTCACGGTCCCGAGCCCAGCTTCCTTCTGTCCTTCCACGGGCTCTCACTCAGGCTCAAGGTGGCAGGGCTGGCCCCGGGGAACACAACCCCTTTCTCTTCCAGCACATGAGGGCAATCCCCAGGGAATGACTGCCAGCCCTGCGTGGAAACACAGGCCACACCACGGGCACAGCCTGATTTGCTACCCTTCATTATTGGGATGGATACAGCACAGTTTCTTTTGTACTCGTGCCCTAAGCCTTGCAAGCTTCAGGACTGAGGAAGACCACTGTCGGGACCACATTCCCCCTCCACAGCTCCATGAACTCACTCTCACTAGAGTGCGGGTTTTACCTGAGCAGAAGTTTCTCCCTCTTCCTGGTCACTGCTTGGCCTTTCCACAGGACTGTTCAATGCAGGTCTGATGCTATCTGACCGCTGGAAGAGAAACAGTACCAAAAACAGTCCAGAGTCACACAGAAATCAAATCACAGACTCAGGGAAACCCTGGTGTGCAGAGGGAGCTATGGTACCCAATCCAACCTGTAACTCTAAGGAAGTCTACTGCACCACAGAAATTAAAATGCCATAAAGATTAAAAGCAAGACAAAGGAGCCTGGGGCCTAACCTAGAGTTCCAAGTTTGAGAGTCAGCAACTGGTCCCACTTTAGTTTCCTTTTGAATAACAGTAATTAGACAACAAAAACAATGATAACAGCAGAGAACACTGACTGAACACCTAACTTCGGCATGGCACCAAGGAAAACTGGGACATGGCTGTCTCGTCTATCTTCACGTCCTATGAAACAGGTGCTGCTGTTACCGTCCTTCTAGCCAGTTTAAGATCTCACACAATGCTGCAGACACTCTGGGGACCAGCCAGTAAGGTCTCGCCACCTCAGTGCTGGCTGGCCAGTGTCTGTATTTCATTGCCTGAGGACTTTCTCTGGCTGCATGAGGTAGTTCAGCCACCCCCAGAGGCAGCCCTCAACTAGTGAGGGAGGGAATTACTCTGTGAACACCCCAGTTCCTCATCTCCTGCGAGGGATATGTTCTGCACTGGATCCCAGAGGCCCCAAATGGGAAGGGGCTTGTCACCCACAGTGATAACAAACCTGCTTGATAACAAACCCATTACTGGCCACCCTCCCTTCCCCAGCTCACATCCCCACCCACAACCTGTGATTCCTGGGACCACTTCCCAAACTATGTGCATTCAAATCCTTGTCCCAGGGTCCGCTTCTGGGGAAATCCACAGCCAACAGCCAGGTCAAAGAGCTGAGAACTGGGAACCACATCTAATATCTCAGCCCATGTGACTGAGTCTATGCTCTTTCCTCTTCAAAGAGTCTCAGGTTTTATAATTTTATTAATAGATTTCCACATATTTTTACATACTAAAATTGAATCATTTGGGGTAGATTATTCCCTGGTCATACACAAATTCCACGGTCCTGCCAGAAGGCTCATCTATATTAATACTTCTTATGCTCATCAAAGTAGAGATCTGAGCTTTTCAAAAATCAAAACCACCACCTCAGACAGATGAACGGTAGCTAGTGGAACACCACACCAGTGTGCAAAGCCAATTAGGGACAGATGGCACAGCTCCTAGAGCAGGGGGTTGGCAAACTACAGCCTGAAGGCCAAGTTCACTACTCTATTTATTTTTGTAAATAAAGTTTTATTGGAACACAGTCTTGCTTATTTACTTAAATACTATCCATGGCTGCTGTATGACAGCAGAGTTGAGAAGCAACAAAGATCGTGTGGCCTGAAATGCCTAAATATTTATTATCTGCCTTTTAAAGAAAAAAATGTGGCCAATCCTTGTCCAACAGGAACCAATACTATGACTTCCTAGACTGGCAAGGGCAGGCTGGTGTAGAGTGTATATTTGAACAAAAAGTGACTCAAATACTCACCTTATCTTTGGTGTGTCTGTTCTCAGTTATTAATTTGGGAAAGTTAGAGAGTTTATAGAAACCCTTCATTAAGTCATAAATGATATTCAGCTGTTAAGTAACTAAAACAGTTAACCTACAGTATTCAATCTTTGTGAAGATAGAACCCATTTATCATGCTTTAAAAGCCCAGTTTTACCTGTGTAGGAAAAGGTACTTGAATCCGTCCTTCTAAAATATTGTCTGTTGTTATTTCAACTGAGCGTGTCAGCTGGAGGTCCTGCAGTACCAGATGGTATGGAACCTGGGGAAACATCTCTTGAATCTGATGAGCCTACAGGAATACAAATACAGAGTCCACAGAAACGTTCACTGTTAACAGTTGCTCACTGACGTCACAGTGTCTGGCAGGCTTTGGGCAGTGAATGTGGCATCATGCCCTGAAAACACAGGTAAGGGAGCCACCTTTATTCAGTAGGTCACCTTCACACTGCAGTCCCTTTAGTATTTTTCCAGGAAGCCAAACAGGCAACTGTGGACAGCATCAATTTCAACATAAGGAGAGCTCAGAAAACCAACTGGATCCCAAGAGAGGCTCGACTAGAATATTCCAGTTTTAAAAAGTGTTCATTTTAACTACCATTCGAACCAGCAATCCCACTACTGAGTATATACCCAAAAGGAAAGAAATCATTATATATGAAAGATACCTGCGCTCATATGTTTATTGCAGCGCTATTCACAGTAGCAAAAATATGGAATCAACCTAAGCGTCCTTCAACACAGGATTTGATAAAGAAAATGAGGCACATATATACCATGGAATATTACTCAGCCATTAAAAAAAATCATATCTTCTCCAGCAACACTGATGAAACTGGAGGCCGTTATTCTCAGTGAAGTAACTCAGGAACAGAAACTCAAATACCGTATGTTCTTATAAGTGGGAGCTAAACAACAAGTATGCATGGCCATCCAGAGTGGAATGAGACACTGTACTATGAAAGGTGGAAAGGTAGGGAGGGGAGGGCTGGAAAACTACCTATTGGGTACAATGTTCACTCTTTAGGTGACGGTAACACTAAAAGCCCAGACTTCACCACTGCGCAATACCTGCATGTAAGAAACCTGCACTTGTAACCTGTAAACACATCAAATAAATAAATGTTTTAAAAGTATTCATTTTAAAGCTCAAAATATCTTGGGTATAAAAATGTGTTTTCCTTAAAGATATAATTCCTAAAGGGAACAAACTTCTGATACACATAGCATGGATAAAATTCAAATACATCATGTTAGGTGAAAGAGGTCTGACTCAAAAGCCAGGCATATGATTCCATTTATATGGCATCTGGAAACAGGCAAAATTATGGGGAAAGAAACTTGATAAGTGGTTGCCAGGGGCTGAGGATCAGGGAAGGAAGTGGTTGCCAGGGGCTGAAGGTTGGGGAAGGACATGACTACAAAAGGACCTAGTGGAGTTCTGGAGGGTGCGGATCAAACTGTTGTACATCTTGTTTATGATGATACACAATTATGTGTTGAACTGGATGTTAAAAAGGGTAAATTTTTACTCTATTTCAATTATATCTCAATTTAAAAAAATTATAGAGAATGCAAATTCCTTATACGGCCCTGGAGCTGAGTTTTCCAACTGTACTCTGGAGACATCTCAGAGTTTATGTAGGGCTCTAGGGTGGGTGTGTGTGTAGGGAGAGCAGGCATAGGCCTGGCCACACCACCACCCATACTTTCATCCAAGCAGCTCTGGATTTTTTTTCCACATATGTAAATTAACTCTATAAATGTTTACATTCAAGGTTTTATTTTTGGAAAAGTTCTAATAACTATAACAAAAAAAGGAAGAAAAAAATAATTGCCTTAGGGGCACAATAAAGCCCTCCTGAGATATTAGCTCCTAGGGACACGTTGTTCTGACTATAGAAGGAGCAGGGAGTATGTCAACGTCAGGACCTTGAAGGAAAAGGTCGGCACCGGGCTCTGCTTAGAGCTCTTGCTGGGGGTGGAATGTTGGCAACATAAGCAGTGCCCAGGGCCCCCAGGGCCTCCTCATTCCTGCAGTCAGCTTGTTTATGTAAACATGAGTTGATCATTATTTTCCCAGGTCAGGTCAAATCTAACTGGGCAAGAGTCCATAAAAACCTCTAAAATCAGATAAAACTTCTCTTTATTCTTAAACAGCTTCCTCCTCATTTCCCAAATTTAAAAAATGCCTAGGATTCATTTTACTAGACCAAAGCTTTTCTACCAGAAAATCCAGCAAGTTAATTATTAGATCTTAATAAAAAATGCATGGTTCCAGTAAATTAGTTGTACCAAAAGTAGTCCACTCCAAACCATCACAGAACTGGAGGAAGAACAGCCAGGGCCTGCCTGAGAATTCTAAACAACTCCCAGAAGGGAATTCTGATTCCAACACCCTTGAAGTCTTGACTTTTTAAAGGAGGTCGGTGGGGTGGTCCAGCTGCAGAGCTTCAACAGCTGCCTGACCCCAAAGAACCCCTGTAATGCCTGCCATGAGCCCAGCAGTAGCTGCACTGGGCGACCACACTCCCAGGCCACCTATATGCACCAAGATGTCACCCTCACTCTCTGTTGGCAGTCCAGCTGAGGTTTAAGGAGAAAGAGGAGCCAGGAGAGTCATGCTTCCTTCTTCTTTTATTATGGCCCCAAGCAGATAAAATTTGCCATCTTAACCATTTGTCAGTGTAAGTGAGCCCTCAGTACCACTATATAGGTGAGTTTCACAGGCTGATTCAGCCAGCCCTGGAGCAAGTGTTACACTGTTGCTGACATGTACTGTATAGTTAGGCCGAGGATGGCTGTGTCTGTACTGAACATGCACAGGCTTTCTTGTCATTATTCCTAAACAATACAGTGTATAACAACCATTTACTCAGCATTTACATTGTATTAGGTATCAGAAGTAGTCTAGAGATGATTTAAAATATATGGAAGATGTGCGCAGGTTATATACAAACAGTATCCTTCCCCCATCTTTTTTTTTTACCTTAAACTATTAAGGGTTAAAGTGTCCCACTTTATATCAGAGACTTGAGCATTCATGGATTTTGGTATCTGAAGGAGGGGGTCCTAGAACCAATCCCCAGATACCAAGGGATGACTACATAGTGTGGCAGAGTTAACCACAGGCACATGGCTGCGCAACAGATCTGAACTTTTTCATCTTGCAAAACTGAAACTATATCTAAGGGACAACACTCCTATTTCGCCTCGCCTCGCCCCAGCCCTCCTGCAGCCATCATTCTGCTGTCTGTAAGAGTTTTATGTGGTATTTGTCTTTTTGTGGTAGACTTATTTCATGTAGCATTAATGTCCTCCAGGTTCATTCATGCTGCAGCATGCAACAGGATTCCCTTCCTTTTGAAGTCTGAGTACTATTCTACTGTACAGGTTTGCCATATCTTCCTTATCCATCCATCTCCAGTAGACATTTCAGTTGCTTCCACCCCTTGGCTGTGAGCCACGCCTTCTTTTTAAACCAAATTTCAATACGCCCGTAGCTATATCCATCCCTCCTCACAACCCTCTCTCCTACTCAGCTCCCCACCCTAGCCTGTTCTTTCAGTTGACTCTTCTATTTGTTCTGTCCCATCAATCTCTGCCCCTCAGTGATCATTCCTATGCACATACCAGATGTGCTTTCGAATCTACCCTTAAAAAACAACAGCCTGACACAGTGGCTCACGCCTGTAATCCCAGCACTTTGGGAGGCCGAGGCAGGTGGATCACTTGAGGTCAGGAGTTAGAGACCATCCTTGCCAACATGGTGAAACCCCATCTCTACTAAAATACAAAAAATTAGCCAGGTGTGGTGGTGCATGCCTGTAGTCCCACCTACTCGGGAGGCTAAGGCAGGGCAATTGCTTGAACCTGGGAGGTGGAGGTTGCAGTGAGCCAAGATCTCGCCACTGCACTCCAGCCTGGCGACAGAGCAAGACTCGGTGTTAAAACAAACAAACAAACAACAACAACAAAGAAAACCATGGAGGAAAACCTGACTTATAACTGACAAATTGGTACAGACTCAGTGTAACAACTCTGAGATGTAAACATTCCAGGGCACTCAGGCAGAGGTGGCTCCCCTGTAATACTGTGAGATTCAGTGCCAGGAGTGATCAGGTTTCTCAGTAAATATCCAACAAGCATCCCTTCCTGCTTCCAGCACAGGGAGGGGAAAAAGCACCTCAGTGAAATCAGCCAGGGCACACTGTTCTTAACAACGTCTGCCCTCAGGAGAAACTACTCAACCAGAACCTCATCTGCTGGGGTCTGATCAAAGCTGCACCGACCGGAGGGAACTCCAGTCCACTCGAACCATCCTGTCCCACAGGAGGAGGGGAAACTGAGAAGTAGATTGAAGTTCACAGTCCAGAGCATGGGCTCACTAAAAGACGGAGCCCTAATCCCAGGACTACAGCATGCTTCTTTCCCTCCCCCGACACCTACATCACGACAGGCCTGTTCACCACAGTCCTTTTTACGCAGTACATCATGTTCAACTATCATGAAAAAATTATAAGGCATACTAAAAGGCAAAAAACACAATTTGAAGAGACAGAGCAAGCATCAGAGCCACACAGAGCAGAGATGCTGAAATTAACAGACTGGGAATTTAAAACTATGATTAATATGCAAAGAGCACTAATGGATAAAGTGGACAGCATGCAGGAACAGACGGGCAGCATGAGCAGGCAGATGGAAATCTTAAGAAAGAACCAAAGAGAAGTGCCAGAGACCAGAAACACCAACACGAGTGAAGAATTCCCGTGACAGGCTTATTAATAGATGGACACAGCTGAGGGAAGAATCTCTGAGCTTGAGATACACACTTTGAAAATGGAAAAGCAGGCCAGGTGCAGCGGCTCACACCTGTAATCCCAGCACTTCGGGAGGTCAAGGCAGGTGGATCACTTGCGGTCAGGAGTTCAAGACCAGCCTGGGCAACATGGTGAAACCCTGTCTCTACTAAAAATACAAAAATTTAGCCAGGTGTAGTGGTGCACACTTGTAATCCCAGCTACTGGGGAGGCTGAGGCAGAAGAACTGCTTGAACTCAGGAGGTGGAGGTTGCAGTGAGCCGAGATCGTGCCACTGTACTCCAGCCTGGGTGACAGAGTGAGACTCCATCTCAAAAAATGGAAAAGCAAACAGAATAAAAACTGAAAATAACAGAGCAGAAAATTCAAGGACTGTGGGACAACTACAAAAGGTGTAAACGCACTTAATGGGAACTGCAGAAGGAAAAGAGAAACGAACACAAGAAATATTTGAAACAATAATGGCTGAGAACTTGTCCAAATTAATGTCAGACACCAAACCACAGATCCAGGAATCTTAGAGAGTACCAAGCAGGACAAAGGTAAAAAAAAAAAAAAAAAAAAAAAACACTACATCAAATTCATCAAATTCAAATTATAGAGAATCAAAGATTAAGAAAAAAATCCTGAAAGAAGCCAGAGGGAAGAACACCTTACTTTTAGAGGAGCAAAGTTAGGAATGACATCGACAGCTCCTCAGAAGCCCCACAAGCAAGAAGACAGCGAAGGGAAATATTTAAAGTGTTAAGAAAAGACTCACCAACAGAGAATTCTATACCCCACAAAATTATCCTTCCAAAAGGATGCAGAAACAAAGACTGCCTCCGACAAACCAAAGTTGGAATATGTTGCCGTGAGACCTACCTTACAAGAAATGTTAAAAATATTAAGTCGTTTAAAGAAATTGATATAGGTCAGAAAGCTCAGCTCTACATAAAGAAAGGAAGAGCATCAAAGAAGGTATAAATAAATAAAAACTGTTCTTTAACATAACATTCGATTCAAAATAACAGCAACAGTGCATTCAGTTATGTGTGCTTGTGCACGTGTGTGCTTATGTACTCACATACAGGTGAAATGAATGACAACAATGATACAAGGGACAGGAGCGAGGAATTAGGATTGTTTTGTTATCAAAAGGTACTCACACTTCCCATGCAGTGGTACAGTGTTATCTGAAAATAAACGAATTAGTTGCAAATGTATATTACAAACTCTAGGGCAACCATTAAAACAAGCTTGTCCGACTCATGGCCCACACAGCTTTCAATGCAGCCCAATACAAATTTATAAACTTTCTTAAAACGTTATATTTTTAATTTTCTTTTTTTAGCTCATTAGCTATCATTATTGTTAGTGTATTTTATGTGTGGTCCAAGACAATTCTTCTTCCAATGTGGCCCAGGGAAGCCAAAAGATTGGACACACCTGCATTAAAACAAGTAACAAGTATACTGATATGCTAAGAAAGGAGAAAAATGGAATTCTATAAAATGTTCAGTTAAAACCACAAGAGGCAGAGAAAGAGTGGAAGACAAAAATAGGAACAAAAAACAAGGGCAACAAATAGAAAACAGTAACAAAATGGTAGTTATTAATCCAAATACATTAATAATCACTTTGAACATCAATGGCCTAAATGTGCCAAGTAAGAGAGGTTGTCAGAGTAAATAAAGAAAACCAAGACCTAACTGAATGTTGTTTACCCACTTTAAAATAAAGACACATACAGATTAAAAGAAAATGGATTAAGAAAAATATACCACACCAACACTAACCAAAAGAAACCAGGAGCAGCTATATTACTTTCACAGAGCAAACGTCAAAGCAAGCAAAGTTATCAGGGATAAAGAACAGCATTACAAAATGATCATGGGGTCAATTCTCCAAGAAGACACGACATCTTTAAAGTATATACACCTGCTGGGCACAGTGGCTCATGCCTGTAATCCCAGCACTTTGGGAGGTCGAGAAGGGCAGATCACTTGAGGTCAAGAGTTTGAGACCAGCCTGGCTAACATGATGAAACCCATCTCTACTAAAAATACAAAAATTAGTTGGGTGTGGTGGCACACGCCTGTAATCTCAGCTACTCAGAAGGCTGAGGGAGGAGAATCGCTTGAACCCAGGAGGTGGAGGTTGCAGTGAGCCGAGATCGGGCCACTGCACTCCAGCTTGCGCAACCAAGTGAGGCTCTGTCTCCAAAACATAAATAAATTAAATAAATAAATAAATTTAATAAATAAAGTATATACATCTAACAACAAAGCATCAGACAAACTGAGGCAAAAATTAAAAGAACCACAAAGAGAAACAAAATAGATTTGGAGACTACAACACCTATCACAAATGAACACTCAAGCAGGCAGAAAATCAGTTAAGAACATAGCTGAACTCAATAACACCATCAATCAACTGTATACAATCAACATCTGTAGACTACTTCATCCAACAACAGCAGAATACACATTCTTCTCAAGTTCACATAGAACATTCAAGACAGACCACAAGCTAGGTCATAAAACACATCTTAAAATAAATTTAAAAGAATATAAATTACACAATGTCTGCTCTTAAAGCAGAAATCATTAACAGTAAGAAAACCGGAAAATCCCAAAATACATGAAGATTAAACAACACACCTCTAAATAACACATAGATCAAAGACGATATCTCAGGATAAATTTTAAAATATTTTGAATTAAATGAAAATGAAAACACAAGTTATCAAAATTGTGAGATGTAGTAAAGCAGTGCTTGTAGGAAAATGTATAGCACTGAATGTATATATTAGAAAAGAAGACATAAACAAGTTTCCATCTTAGGAAATTAGAAATAGAAGAATAAATTAAATCCAAAGTAAGCAGAAGAAAACAAATAATCAAAATGAGAGCAGACATCAATGAAACTGAAAATAAGGAGTCAACAGAGAAAAATCAATGAAACCAAAAGCCGGTCCTTTGAAATGATCAATAAAATAGATAAGCCTCTAAGCCAAGCTAACTACGAAAAAAAGAGAGAGGACCTAAATTACTAATACAAGAAATATTATACAGATAACTTCTTATAATTAGAATTGCCAAAACTTATGCAAGAACAAATAGACAATGTGAAGTTGTATAGATAATTAATAATCTTCCACAGCAGAAGGCATCAGCCCACATGAGTTCGCTAGTGAATTCTGCCAAACATTTAAGGAAGAAATTGTATCAATTCTCTACAATCTCTTTCAGAGGACAGAAGCAGAAGGGATACTTCCTAATTCATACTATAAGGTCAGCATTACCCTAATACTAAAACCAGAGAAAGAGATTACAAGAAAACTACAGACCAACATCTCTCATAAACACATATGTAAAAATCCTCAATAAAATATTAGCAAATCAAATCCAACAACACATAAAAATAATTATAAACTACATCCAAGTGGTATTTATTCCAGGTACATAAGGCTGGTTCAACATTTGAAAATCAATTAATATACTTCTATATTATCAACAGGCTAAAAAAGAAAAGTAACATGACCGTATCAGTAGATGCAGAAAAATCACTCAACAAAATCCAACACCCATTCATGATAAAAACTCTCAGTAAACTAGGAATAGAGGGAAACTTTGTCACTGTGATAAAGAATATCTACAAAAACCCTACCACTAACATCATGCTTCATGGTGAGAAACTCAAAGCTTTCACATTAAGATCAGGAACAAGACAAAGATGTCCCATCTAACCACTGCTTTCCAATGTCATCCTAGAAGTCCAAGCTAATACAATAAGACAAGAAAAGAAAAGCAAACAGATTGGGAAGGAAGAAATAAAACTCTGCAGATGACATGCTCACCTATGTAGAAAATCTGGAAGAACTGATAAAAACACTCTTGGAACTAATAAGCAATTACAGCAAAGTTGTGAGATACAAGGTTAACATACTACAGTCAATTGCTTTCCTATATACAGAAACGAGCAAGTGGAATTTGAAATTAAAAGCGCAGTATGCTTTATATTAGCGCCCACAAAACAAAATAGGACAAAATACATATAAGTTCTATATGAGGAAAATTACAAAATCTTGATAAATGATATCAACGAAGAATGAAATAAACGAAGAGATAGTCCATGTTCATGGGCAGAAAGACTAAATATTGTCAAGATGTCCATTCTTCCCAACTTGATGTACAGATTCAATGCAATCCCAATTAATATCCCAGCAAGCTATTTTGTGGATATTGACAAAATGATTCTAAAGTTATATGAAGAGACAAAAGACTCAGGATAGCCAATACGATATTGAAGAAGAACAAAGTTGGAGGATTTGACACTGCCTGTCTAAAAGATTTATTACAAAGCAACAGTAATCAAGACAATGCGGTATTGGCAAAAGAACAAATAGATCAATGGAACAGAATAGAGAGCCCAGAACTAAACCCACATAGCTGGGTTGACAGCTATACTAAACCCACATAGCTGATTTTTGACAGAAGAGCAAAGGCAATACAATAGAGAAAAGATAGACTTTTCAACAAATGGTGCTATAACTGGCCATCCACATGCAAAACAATAATCTAGACACAGCCCTTATACTCTTCACAATAATTAACTCAAAATGGATCACAGGCCTAAATGTAAAATGCAAAACTATAATACCCCTAGAAGATAACAGAGAAATAAATAACCTAGGGTATGGCAATGACTTTTTAGATACAACACCAAAGGCACAATCCATGAAAGAAAATAATTGATAAGCTGGACTTCATTAAATGTAAAAAGTTCTGCAAAAGACAATGTCAAAAATAAGATGACAAGCCAGATTGGGAGAAAATATTTGTAAAAGACACATCTGATAAAGGACTGCTATCCAAAATATACAAAGAATTTTTAAAGCTTAACAATAAAAAAACAAACAACCTGATCAAAAAATGGGTATAAGATCTTAATAGATACTTCACCAAAGATAGATGTACAGATGCCAAATAAGAATATAACAAGTTGCTCCACATCATATGTCATTAGATAAATGCAAATTAAAACAAGACACCACTACATATATATTAGAATAGCCAAAATCTGGAACACTGACAAAACCAAATGCTGGAGAGGATGTGGAGTAACAGGAACTCTCATTCACTGCTGGTGAGAACGCAAGATGATACAGCCACTCTGGAGGATGATTCGGCAGCTTCTAACAAAACTAAACAATTTTACCATTTGACCTAGCAATCATGCTGTTTAGCATTTGTATTTGTCGTTTTCTCATTGCTGATAAAGATATATCCGAGACTGGCAATTTACAAAAGAAAGAGGTTTAATCAACTTACAGTTCCACATGGCTGAGGAGGCCTCACGACCATGGCAGAAGGCAAGGAGGAGCAAGTCACATCTTACATGGATGGTGGCAGGCAAAGAGAGAGAGCTTGTGCAGGTGAACTCCTCTTTTTAAAACCATCATATCTCGTGAGACTTATTCACTATCACGAGAACAGCAGGAGAAAGACCTGCCCCCATGATTCAACTACCTCCTACCAGGTCCCTCCCACAAAACGTGGGAATTCAAGATGAGATTGGGGTGGGGACACAGTCAAACCATATCATTCCGCCCCGGCCCCTCCCAAATCTCATGTCCTTATGTTTCAGAACCAATCATGCCTTCCCAACAGTCCCCCAAAGTCTTATTTCAGCATTAATTCAAAAGTCCAAAGTACAACATCTCATCTGAGATAAGGCAAGTCCCTAACGTCTATGAGCCTGTAAAATCAACAGCTAGTTAGTTACTTCCTAGATACAATAGGGGTATAGGCATTGGGTAAATACAGCTGTTCCAAATGGGAGAAATTGGCCAAAACAAAGGGGCTACAGGCCACATGCAAGTCCAAAATAAGGTAGGGCAGTCAAATCTTAAAGCTCCAAAATGATCTCCGCTGAATCCATGTCTCGCATCTGGGTCACGCTGATGCAAGAGACGGGTTTCCGTGGTCTTGGGCAGCTCCACCCCTGTGGCTGTGCAGGGTACAGCCTCCCTCCCGGCTGCTTTCACAGACTGGCGTTGAGTGTCTGTGGCTTTTCCAGGCACACAGTGCAAGCTGTCAGCAGATCTACCATTCTGGGGTCTGGAGGACAGTGGCCCTCTTCTCATAGCTCCATTAGGCGGTGCCCTAGCAGGCATTCTGCGTAGGGGCTCTGATCCCACATTTGCCTTCCGCACTGCCGTAGCAGAGGTTCTCCATGAAGGCCCTGCCCCTGTGCCAAACTTCTGCCTGGGCATCCAGGTGTTTCCATACATCTTCTGAAATCTAGGCGGAGGTTCCCAAACCCCAATTCTTGACTTCTGTGCACTCGCAGGCTCAACACCACCTGAAGGCTGCCAAGACTTGGGGCTTCCACCCTCTGAAGCCCAATGGCCCCTTTCAGCCATGGCTGGAGCAGCTGAAACACAGGGCACCAAGTACCTAGGCTGCACACAGCACAGGGACCCTGAGCATGACCCACGAAACCATGTTTTCCTCCTAGGCCTCTGGGCCTGTGATGAGAGGGGGCTGCTGTGAAGACCTCTGACATGCCCTGGAGATATTTTCCCCATTGTCTTGGGGATTAACATTCAGTTCCTGGTTACTTATGCAAATTTCTGCGGCCAGCTTGAATTTCTCCTCAGAAAATGGGATTTTCTTTTCTATCGCATTGTCAAGCTGCAAATTTTCCAAACTTTTATGCTGTTTCCCTTTTAAAACTGAATGCCTTTAACAGCATCCAAGTCACCTCCTGAATGCTTTGCTGCTTAGAATTTTCTTCTACCAGATACTCTAAATCATATGTCTCAAGTTCAAAGTTCCCCA